>NC_000017.11:77837210-78137620 GCF_000001405.40 Homo sapiens | reverse complement strand
TGCCTGGTGTCTGATAGAATCGTTAGGTTGAAACCCAGGCCTTGAGGATGGGATTAGAGCAGGAAGCCCCACAGCCAGGGCAGCCACACTACACCATGTGGCAGCAGTGGCGCCCCCTGGAGGTGTGCGGCGGTGCAGGCAGCCCTGCTCACAGCTTCTCTCAAAGGTGACTAAAGGGGCAGGAACAGGGCTCTGCACAGTTTGAGGTGAGCTTTTTGGGGAGAAGGAAGGGAGGGACAGGCCCCGCCGGGCTGCCAGCCACCTGATAGTCACAAACGTTGTAGCCGTAGGACTCACAGCTGCTCTTGTCTCTGCCAATGCACAGTATGGTCTGACCCAGGGAGACGGAGAACATCCCCAAGCTGGCCAGCTTCAGCACCACGCACCTGGGGGCAGGGACCTTGTCAGGTGGAGGGGCCCAGGCACATGGGCACCGGGCTCTACCCAGGCTATAGGTGTGGCTGATGTCCGAGTGGGATCATGTTGTGTCCTGGGCCCAGCCTCCTTCCAACCTGCTCTGTCTGTGGCAATGTGGTCCAAAGTGCGTTCTCAGAGTCCGAGTCTCCAGGCGATTCATGGGAAAAAGGGTTCTGTGTTTTCGTTTTGTTTCAAGACCGAGTCTCACTCTGTCACCCAGGCAGGAGTTCAGTGTTGTGACCTCGGCTCACTGCCACCTCTGCCTCCTGGGTTCAAGCGATTTCTGACTAAATTTTGTATTTTGAGTACAGACAGGGTTTCGCCATGTTGGCCAGGCTGGTCTCGAACTCCTGACCTCAGGTGATCCACCCGCCTTGGCCTCCCAAAGTGCTGGGATTACAGGTGTGGGCCACGGCGCCTGGCCAAGGGTTCTGTTTTTAGATCAGTTTGAGAAACACTGCACAGTCCAGCCATGTTCCCTCATGCCTGGTGTGGAGAGGCACATGCAGCAAGCCCTGCGGTGGAGAAGCCTGTGGCCTTTTCAGGATCCTGACTGCAGGCGAGCTCCTCCTTTCCTCCGCCGCCTATGGACATTGAAGCCCACTGACACAAGCTTGCATGTCATAAACACGTGCCACACATATGTACTGCACAATGCATGACCAGACCAAATAGGTGATTGTCTAAACGAAACATCATCACATGCATGTTATCTGTTTTTGCTTTTTTTTTTTGAGATAGGGTCTCACTCCATTGCCTAGGCTGGAGTGCAGTGACGCGATCACAGCTCCCTGTAGCCTTGACCTCCTGGGCTTAAGTGATCCTCCCACCTCAGCTTCTCTAGTAGCTAGGACTGTGTGTCCTAGTCTTTCATCATGCCCAGTTAATTTTTTTGTATTTTTTGTAGAGACGGGGTCTTGCCATGTTGCCCAGGCCGGTCTCAAACTCCTGGGATCAAGTGATTCTCCCATCTTGGCCTTCCAAAGTGTTGGCCTTTACAGGCGTGAGTCACTGTGCCTGGTTGCGTGTTATCTCTAAGGGTGAACATTCCCACTGCTGATATGGGGCTACAGAGTGGCTGGGAACAGTGGTTCTCCTGTTGAGGGAGCTAGGGGTAGGTGAGAGCTTTTTTTGTTTTGTTTTCTTTTTTGAGATGAAGTCACACTCTGTCACCCAGGCTGGAGTGTAGTGGCGCAATCTCTGCTCACTGCAACATCTGTCTCCTGGGTTCGAGTGATTCTCCTGCCTCAGCTTCCCGGGTAGCTGGGATTACAGGTGTGCACCACCACACCTGGCTGATTTTTGTGTTTTTAGTAGAGACAGGGTTTCACCATGTTGGCCAGGCTGGTCTCGAACTCCTGACCTCAGGTGATCCACCTTGGCCTCCCAAAGTTCTGGGATTACAGGCGTGAGCCACCATGCCCGGCCTCAAAAAATAAAGTTTCAAAGCAAACCAAACACAGCTGACTTTGAGGAAGCAGAGGGAAAAGCAGTTAGGGCAAGTGGTGACTGAGGGTGGCGTGAGGGAGAGAAGCCAGTGGGAGCTCAGGTGGGCTTTACACAAGAATTTCTGCAGCTGGATGAGGGGTGGAGAAGTAGGGGGTCTAGACAGGACCTAAGTGCTGAGACAGAAGATGGCAGAACCTGGGAGTGGTAGTCCCAGCTGCTCCGGCGGGAGGATCGCTTGAGCCCAGGAGGTCGAGGGCTTGCTTTTGAACTTGCACCTGGCAGGCACGATGAGCTTGACTTTGGCTGGGCGCTTCACTCATGTGAACCTCAGTTTCCTCATCCCTCAAGGGGGATGAGGATGGTCTGGACTTCACGGGTCACGTGAGGGTTGTCCAGGTAAGGGGAGTAAACCCTCGGCATGTAGAAGCTCTGCATGTCCCGTGTTGCTGGTTTTCCTGTGTGCAAAGCCCATTCCCAGCACCCCTGGCCACAGTCCCTTGCTCCACTGAATGGCCGGAGCTTGGTCCAGACTGGCGGCTTCCTTTGGAGGTGGGGGATTGGAAAGCCTTAGACCTGGGGCCCTGAGGTCGTGTGCTGTGAGGTGTGTACCTGCCTTCCCTTGGGCCACTAGTGAAGGGGGAAGCCTCTCAGCTGGGGACCCCAGGTGCCAGGTGACAACCAAAAGAGAGCAGCAGGATGCAGACTTGTTACATGCCCACTTGTCCCCACCAAGGGTGGCACTCACCAGATCAGAGTGAGGTTGACCTCCGTGTTGGGAGGGTAGTTCTCCAGCTGGACCAGAAATGTGAACAGCAGGGGACCCAGGAAGTTGACCAGGGCGATGACCCCAGGGGGCAGGTACTGGAGCAGCAGAAACAGGGACTCCTGCGGGAAAAGGCAGGTCAGGGGAGCCCGCGTGCTGGGGGGCCCCTGTCTGCTCCCCGCCCCCCACAGTGCCCTAAAGTGTAACTCTGGGGCAGGCCCAGAATAGGGTCGCCTGTAAGCTATTCCCTGCAGCAGCCTGGCAGTTGGCGGGAATATCCAGTGGGAGCCCGCCTGCCTTGGCCGTGACCTGTGGCCACGACCGATTGAACCTCTCTGAGCCTCGGTTTCCTCATCTGTAAAATGGGATCATCCTGTCTCACCCCCGCAGTTCTGGCCAGGATTAAATGAATGCAGTTGCCTGACACCTCCTTGTTGTCCTGTGAGTACTTGGTAGCCCAGAAGATGGCGCTGATGGCCCCAACCACCAGGAGCCCGTTGAGTACGTTGACCCGCAGGTAGGAGAGCAGGCGGCAGGCCGTCTGGGCCCGGGTCTGCTGCTGCATCAGCTGGAAGCGACGGCCCTCCTCCAGCTCCACCTGCCCGGAAGGGTGGGGACAGAGGCAGCTGCAGGCGGGGTGGGCATGGGAGGAAAGGGTGCAGGAAACGCTCTCACACACAGTCACAACCATTCACGCTCACATACACAGTCACAAACTCTCACACTGTCATGCTCCCATAGACACTCAGATTCACACATTCACAGGCGTGCTCGCCATCACCCATTCAGTCACATGTGCCCTCACACTCGGCCACACATGCACACACATTCACACGCTCTCCATCACGCTCCCACAGGCTCCCTCCCACACACGCTCACACACACTGGCACGGTCGCACTTGCTCGCACACACCTGGAACACGTGGCTCTCACGCACTCGCTCCCATATACCTGGAGCTTGTGGATCTCAGGCACTCACTCGTGCACACACCTTGAACTCGTTGCTGATCTCATGCTTCTTGATGGTGGCTGCTTCCTGCACCCGGATGCAGAAGTCCCATGAGGAGAAGACCTTGGCGCTGAGAGGCGCCTGATAGCCCTGACCCAGCAGAGTCTTCTGCGGCAGCCCCTTCACCATCCTGCGGGGCAGGAGACCAGGGGCTGCTGGAGGAGGGGCACCTCTACCATCCAGCCTCAGCCTTGGCTCGGCTCTGGGTCTGGGAAGGCCCCTGCAGCCCCAGGTGCAGGTCCTGGTGAGTGAGGAGTCGGGGTAGGGGGCGGTGGCCCTGTTCCTAAGGTTTGCGGCCAGAGCCTGGGCTGAGGAAGCACCCAGGAGCCTGCTGTGCCGGGCCATGGGCCTTCCTGCCAATGGGAGGGTACCCTGCCAAGGAAGGGGTGATCAGGGAAGATTCCCTGGGGAAGGGGTGAAGGTGTGGACCTCGCTCTCACCGCCGCAGAGTCCCACAGAAGCAGAGGAGCAGGCAGGCCAGCGGGCTGAGGAGGTAGGCCAGGCGGATGCTGTACACGGAGCTGCTCTCCGGCCCCACTCGGTACGCACCGTAGAAGAGATAGGTGTTGGTGAAGGCCTGGGGACAGCGACGAAGATACCCAGCCCGGGTGAGCACCAGGCTCTGCTCAAGTGCTTTCCATATATGATCTTGTTAGCCCCCGTGCAATCCCCCCATCAGGTAGGGAGTGTCCCGTCTTACAAGGGCCCACAGAGGTTCGGCAACGTGCCCACGGTCACAGGGCTTTGAGAAATAGAGCCACGACTGGAACCCAGGAACCCCATTGGTGACCACTCGATGGCTTCCCAGGATGAGGGTGGGGAAGTGCTTCTCCCAGAGGCCGGGGCACTTTTCCCCCTTTGTCCCTGGCACCGCCTACACCAGCTGGGCTCTGAGGACCACGGGCATGTGTCCATGAGTCTATGTTGGGCACAGTGGCCTCAGCCTCTCTCTAACCCCACCACCGGCCAGGCCAGTCTGTCTAGGTAAGACCATCCCCTGAGGAGCCGAAATGTCCCTGGAGGAGCAGAGGTCCTCTTAGACTTGTGTCCCCTGAAGCCAGTTCCCTGGGTCTCCCAGACTCTGGACCATAGCCGGGACAGACCTCACTCACCCTGCCAGTCAAAACATGCCAAAGTTGATTGTGGAACCTCAAAACGCCAGGCGGGGACTGGCGGCTACCAGGGCACTGGAGGGCTGTTGAGGAGGAAGGGGGTCAATAGAGAGGGATCCCCAAGGCATAGGTGAGGCTCTGCGGCTACTGCTCTATAACCCCCAACCCTGGGGAGGCCTGGGCAGGGGGCTGAGGATGTGCCAAAGGCGTGCCCCACACAAGGCGAGGTCAGGGAGAGAGAGCCCCGGGGCCTGCACGGCAGGACCACGCCCAGCGTTGTCGCCACGCTCTGGGCCCTGGGCCAGCCCCCCCATGGCGCAGGTGGGCACCGGAGCACTTCCCCTGGTGGGCCTCACACTCACTCAAGTTCAGGGTGGGGCCTGGGTCAGGGGGGCGGAGCCAGACCAGGGGCAGCAGCACGAAGCTTGCGGTGAGCAGCAGGCTCAGCAGGTTGAGTAGCAGCAGGAAGCGGAGGAAGGTGAAGTAGGACCGAATTCCTGTGCCGAAGAGGCCTGCAGTGGGAGAGCAGGGTGGGTCAGGGAGGCCGGGGCCGGGGCTGGGGCCGCGCTGAGAGTCCAAGGGCGGGCCCACCGGACGGCGTGGGGTGCCCGCCAGGCTCCCACCCGCCCGAGTCCGGAGGTACCGCTGACAGTCACCTGGGGGTGCTGCGTGGGCCCGAGGTTTGCGGTGCCTGCGGGCGGAAGGGGTGGGAGGGGGGAGGGGCCGATTGGTCGGGGGACCCGGGTGAAGGCAGGTGGGATGATGCCACTCTCCTTTTTCCGATCTGGGCAGTGGGGCTCCAGAGAGGGCAAGGGGAGGTGCGGGTCGCGCGGGTCCTACCCCCGATCTCGTAGAGCGCCCCCTCCCAGAGCCCAAGGCCCCGGGCCAGCCGCTGCGCTGCCTCCCGCAGGCGCCTTTCCACCGTCTGCCGCCGGCGCTGCCACCGCTGCCAGCGCAAGGTCTGCACCCCCGCGGGCTCCCGCAGCTGCCTGGACGGGGGTGGTGACAGGGGCGCCCCTGAGTCACCCGCCCTGCCCACCCGGGCCAAGCAGACGGGGTGCTCCCACACCATCCGACGGGGCAGCCTCGCAGCACCCCCCCCACGCACCGTCTGGCGCCCGCGTGGCACCCACCAGATGAGGCGCTTGTCCATCATGGCATAGGGCAGCCCGCGCACGGGCGTCCCAGAGCCGCGCAGCCGCTCCATCTCTGCCTCCCACAGCTCCTCCGGCTCCGGCACCCCAGGGGCCCGCTCCGATGACACCGACCGCGGCAGCAGCATCTCGGCGGGCACGGGTAGAGGCTGGGGCGCCGGGCTGCCGGTGGGGGGGATATGAGTCCCCGGTTGGATGAGCCTTAAGGCCTTGGCTATGGCCTCTGTGCACGCTGGGCTGGGGGCGGGCCCTTCCGTCCCCTCTGCGCCGGCGTCGGGGCCTGGGCTCCTGCAGCCCTAGGGTTCACTTGCCCGGGTCTGCCGCTCTGCCACCTCCGGGGCTCAGAAATGAGAGAGAATCCTGCTGCGGTCGAATTCGGGCCCAGCCCCGCTCCAACTCTCAGAGGGACACACAGCCACGGCCTCAGTCTCCCCATCTGTCAAATGGGGTGAAAGATCCAAAGGGCACAGAAAGTCTGGACCGGCACAGGCAAAGAAAGCCAAGACCTGCTGCACCCCGCATCCACCTGTGCCTGGGCCCACCGTCACCCCAAGGAGAGACAATTCCCTCTCTTCTCCACGTGGCAGTTTGCCCTTCCGGAAGAGCCTGTGTCCCAAACCCCACAGTTCCTGGGACTCGGCATCTGCCACATCTGACTCTGGATGTCGGGGGACCCCCTTCTGTCTTCCTTCTTGTGGTCCAGCCTCCAGTCCCAGGTACCCCGCGAGCCCCTGATGAGGACCTGTGGCTACAGCCCCAGCCGTGGGGACAGGAGCAGGGACCCACTGCTACCCTTGCAGGGCTCTAGCTGGCCCCCACAGCCCCTCACCCTCTGCATTCTCCCTCCACTGGACATCCAGCTCACCTGGGGACCTAGGGACCAAGTCCCTGGAGGAGTCCCCTTCTCAGACGACTCCTGCCAAGCCAGGCAGGGTGGTGAGGGAGCCCAGAGGAGGGGTCATATGACAGGAAACCCAGCTTCCCTCTCCACTACCTCCCTCCTCCCCTCTCACCCCATGGTTTCCTCTGCTTTAAACTGAGGCCAAGCAGGCACTTCCTGTGGGCCCCTGAGATGCAGAGGTGAAGGTGACAGGCGTAGGCCACTTGGCCTCCCAGGGAGCTCTGTGCATGCTGGGCTGCGGGTGGCCCACCCTTCCCCTCTGCACAGGAGTCAGGGCCTGGTCTCCTGCAGCCCTAGGGTCCACTGGTCCGGGTCTGCCGCCTGGCTGCCTCCAGGGATGTCCAGCCTGCAGCTGAGGCCCTCTCTGTTCAACTCCTTCCAGCCTGGATAGGCAGGACTTGACCTCGAGGCCTGAGCTGGGAGCCTGACATGGGTGGGGATGGGAACGGTGGGGGCACAGGGGCCAAACTCTTTATCTGCCGGCCTCACCCTGGAGGGTGTGATAATGACAGGATGGTGGGCTCCCCAGAACCTGGCTGCTGGGTTTCCAGATACTCTTGGTGTTACTGCTGTACTTCCAGCCCCTGTCATTGGCGTTATGGTTGTGCCAAGACCCAGGCCTAGCACCTGGCCGGTAGTAAGTGCTCAGGAATTGGCTCCATTCATGCTCTCCCAGGCTAGATGTTTAAGACATATCTTTGCCAATTCTCTGTCCTTGGGCCCCTGGGAAGCCCGCAGCCCTTCCTCTCTGCTCCCTCTCTACCTGCTATAGGGCCCAGTCATCTCAGGTCTGAATGTTCATAGCTTTTCTGCCTCTCTGCCCACCTCCTTCCTGGTTTCCAGAGTCCTTTCTGTGTGTCAGGCGCAAGCTATGTGCTGGTGCTGGGCACACAGTGGGCTGGGGTAGGAGGGGGCACAGAACCACAGATGTACATGTCAATAGGAAGTGGTAGGTGCTCCACCAGGGTTCAATCTGGGGAGGCTCCCCAGAGGAGGTGGCATTCATGCAAATTCAGTGTGGGTATGCAGGGAGGGGGAAGCAGTGGGAGGAGAGGCAGGGGCTGGGTCTCCATGCCAGGGTGCCACTTGCCAAGAACCAGCTTGGGGTAGCCATCTGAGGACCACACTGGCAGCTCCAAAAGGCCCCAGCCTTGACCCCTGCCTGGTCCTCGCTTTTGCTTGCCTGCTCTCCCCTGCAGCAGTGCCCTCTCCTGCCCTCCTGGGCCCCAGCTCACATTCACCCTGCCTGCTTCATGGCTTCTCCCCGCCAGGAATGACCCTCCCTTCCAAATGGGCTTGGGGTGGGGGGTACAATCTCAAAGGCAGTTTCCTCCATAGAGTTCCCAGGTGGACCACTAAGTCTCCTGCTTTGGCTGGGGGCACCCTAAAGGGTGATTAACTTCTCTCAGCCTCAGTTTCCTCATCTGTGAAATGGGAATATCAGTGCATACCTTCCTGGCTCATGGGGAATAACAGAAAACAGGGCAACGGGTACAGCACCTGGGGACAGTCACCTAAGTGTCAGCGTGTCCTCCTTTTCATCCCCTCCTCTCCACACAGCACACAGGAAGTGAGCCAGAACTCTTGCTAGATAAACAATGAACCCCGCCCAGGTGTCAGGAGTGGGAGATAACCAGGCTCCCCCCGCCGGGGTCGGGGAGAGTCAGCAGGAGGCTTGCGGGGGCGGCGGGGGGGGGGGCGCTGCCCAATCTGGAGTGAGATACTCTGTGTCCCTGGGGCTTTCGGCGGCATCTTACTTGGACGATCCCTAACCATGGGAAGCAGATGAGTCTGGAAATATTGCCCCTTTTTGGAACTTGGGGAAACTGAGCGTCAGAAAAATTGGGGACTTCAACCAGGGGCTGGAATGAATCCAGCCCAGCTCAGACCTCAGGAGGAGGGGTCGGAAGTTGGCAGGGGAGGAAGGCATAGTCGCCGCGGGGCGCCCGGAGGAGGGCGGGGGCGCCGCGGGCCGGGCCGGGTCACGTGATAGCCGAGGCCCGCCCCCCCCCCCCCCGCCCACGTGGGCCGGGAGGTGCGGCTACTCCCCCGGCCCCGGCAGACCTGCGACTGGCCCAGTCGCCCCTGGGGCCCTTTGCCACTCCCTTGGCAAGGAGAGCCGAGACCTCAGTTCCCGGCGGCTCTTGCGGGGCACAGGTGAGCCCTGGCTGCGCGCGCGGCCCCTCCTCCCCGGCGCCTCCCAGGTGAGCGGCCGCGATCCCGGTCCCGGGTCCCGCCAGCCCCAGCTGCTTCTCCTATGCGGGGACAGCGGCAATCCCCCCTGAATTCCTTTCGGCCTCTGGGGCCATTTGGCAGCCGAGTTCCCTCCCCGGGTGCTCCTGGAGCTCCCAGGGCTTGACCCTCCGGCTCGGACAGAGCTGGGAGCGGCAGGGGCGGGGAGGACAGTGCGGGGAGCAAAATCCGCAGCCCCCACCCAGGTCCCCCAGCCGAGCGCCAGGGCACGGGGAGGGGAGGGGAGGGGGTGTGGCCGGGATGGGAAGGGGCGGGGGACAGGGAGGCCGGCTGGACGGGTTCGGTGGCCCCAGAGTTGCAGCCGCTCTGGGCTCTGGGGCCAGGTTGCGGTTCTCCCTGGGTAGCGGCTGCTCCCGGGAAGCTCGCTGCCGGCTGGGGTGGGGGTTCCTGGAAACGGGCGCCACCCAGCCTCTCCCCACCTAGCTCAGGAATGGTGCGCCTGGAAACTCCGCTGGACTTGCCTGGGCCTCGGGGCGGAGTGCTGGGGCGCTGGGTGCCCGAGTCCCCGGGTTCCCTGAGCTTAGAAGGGCCTGTCTGGAGGAAGGGATTCCAGCTCTAGGGACTGGGTGGGGCGTCCTCAGCCCCTCTTTCGGCAGCTGTCCCGTGTTAGGCTGGGTGGGGCCGCCTCGGACCCAGCTCTGGGCTGGTTTTCCCACGTCTTTGCTCCTGCTGGAGGGAGGGGGTGGTGTGGGGCCTGGGCCCGAAGATGGCACCCAGGACACTGAGGGAGGGCGCCGTCCGGTCCTGTGACTGGCACCCCTGCAAGGAGCTGCTCTGTCGGGGCGCCCCCGGGCTTTGCCTGTCCGAGGAAAGCGCCCTTCAACCCGGCCGACTTTGAGCCCTGAGTTCCTGAGGGTGAGCGCAGGAGGAGTCCAGGGCAGAGGCCGGCAGGACTCGCTGGTGGCTGGGAGCTGAGTCCTGGCTCCACTCTCACAGATGAACGGGCCCCGAGCCCAGGGCCCCAGACAAGGCTGCTCTGGTTCCAGTTGTGCCGGGTGACGGCAGAGCCAGGACAAAGGAGGCCTGTTGAGGTCCTGGCCACCCCCAGCCGGCCGCCCTGGGATGATGGAATGCAGGGCAGTGGGTCTTCTGAGAACATGAGGACCTTGGCGCCCTGACGGCGGTGGCATGGAGTGACCTCTGTGTGTGGGGGAGGAGCCCCCTGTGCTGCTTCCGCCTGGGGCTGGTTGGGGGTGAGGGCTCCAGCAGCTAATTTCCTGCTAGAGGAAGTTCTTTGAGGTCACAGGGCAGACGCAGAGAAGGCCTACAGCCTACTCTGACCTTTCTCTCCAAAAAGGAGGTGTCTCTGTGCCAGAACCCTGGGCATGGAGATCCTGAAAGGGGCTGTGTCTACAGGCACCCTACCTCTTCCCCATTTCCCAGGGACTGGCGACATCGAGGAAACAGATGTGGAACTGCAGACCCCACACCCTTCCTTCCTCTCTCCCCTCCCCTGACACTGGAGGGGGCCCCCCATTCCATTCTGGCATGAGGCTTATTCGGTGCCTCACCATTTATGTACCTGGGGTGATAGGGGGGTGGGCGGGACTGTCTGGGCTGTGAGTGGCACCTCCTGTGGTTCCCCCAGGAATGGGTGGTGTGGACAGCTGCCAGGCGTTGAAGACCACCCCTGGCTCTGTGCCCCTGTCTCATCAGATGGGGGCTCCGGAGGTGGCGCCCAGGCTCTGAGCTACCCTAGGTCTGCAGACTAGCGGGCATTGGCCAGAGACATGGCCCAGCCACTGGCCTTCATCCTCGATGTCCCTGAGACCCCAGGGGACCAGGGGTAAGCGCTCTGGGGCTGGGGGCTGGAGGCTGGAATGTTCCACCCCCCACGGAGAGGTCACCTGAGCAGGGGCTGCTGGAAGGAGAGAGGTGGCTGGAGCCTGACCCCCCCGCCAACCCCCTCTGCAGCCAGGGCCCCAGCCCCTATGATGAAAGCGAAGTGCACGACTCCTTCCAGCAGCTCATCCAGGAGCAGAGCCAGTGCACGGCCCAGGAGGGGCTGGAGCTGCAGCAGAGAGAGCGGGAGGTGACAGGTGAGCTCAGGCCTGGATGCTGGGTGGTGTGGACCAAGACTTGGGTGCCCCAGCCCCTCAGGACGGGCCTCCCAGCTCTGCAGGCCTGGGATGGGGTGGGAGATACTGTGGCCAATGGCATCTCCAGGACCCCTGGTGAGTCTTTCTTGCTTTGTAGGAAGTAGCCAGCAGACACTCTGGCGGCCCGAGGGCACCCAGAGCACGGCCACACTCCGCATCCTGGCCAGCATGCCCAGCCGCACCATTGGTGAGTGGGACCCTCAGCCTCGGCCTCGGCCCCGGCCCCGAGTTGACCCCAGTCCCTGGGGCTGGGCTGGGCTTCCTGCCAGGCATCTCCCTGGGTAGTGGCTGCTCCCGTAGCTCAGAGCCAGGCCCAGGGCGGGCTCCTAGCCCATCCCATCTGCTGCCTGGGGGCCCAGCACAGCCCCATGTGGCCCTCGCTGGGCTCCAAAAATGACTCCAGAGTCATCACGGGGTAAAAATAGGCTTTCGGAATGCAGTGGTGCCTGAAGTCTTTGTTGAAAGGATTTTCCTGGGTCCTGGGAAGGGGTGAGGGACGCAGAGGCCTGTGGTGAGCCCATCCTGAGGGGAGGGAGGCCTGGCCCTGCCCGGCCCGGCCCTGCCCAGCTGCCTCCATAGGCCGCAGCCGAGGTGCCATCATCTCCCAGTACTACAACCGCACGGTGCAGCTTCGGTGCAGGAGCAGCCGGCCCCTGCTCGGGAACTTTGTCCGCTCCGCCTGGCCCAGCCTCCGCCTGTACGACCTGGAGCTGGACCCCACGGCCCTGGAGGAGGAGGGTGAGTGAGTGGGCACTGGAGCCCCAGTGGCGGACACCGGCCTGGGGTGGGGTGCAAGAGGCCAGCCTGGCCTGGGCGGTGGCTGGGGTGCTGCAGAGCCAGAGGCCCCTCTCCTATCCCTTAGCAGGCTGCCTGAAGGCCCCCCCGTCCCTCTGCAGGGACCCACGGGGACAGGGAAGTGGGGGTCTTACCTCACAAGCGCCTTGGAGTGCTTGGAGGGCTGTGGCCCTGGGCCCCGAGTCGGGGACCGTGCGTGGGAAACAGGCCCCTGTGCTCTGTGAGCTTCCTGCTTGTCGCTGACTGAAGCAAACACACGGCTGATTGGCGACTGAAGCTCAAATAAGGGCACCGAGGTGTCTCGGGACGGTGCCGCAGGGACACACAGGCCTGACCAGGGTCCCGGCTTCGGGCTGCAGGGAGGGGCACTTGGGGATGGGCAGGACCTCCCTCTCCCTCTCGCAGAGAAGCAGAGCCTCCTGGTGAAGGAGCTCCAGAGCCTGGCAGTGGCACAGCGGGACCACATGCTTCGCGGGATGCCCTTAAGCCTGGCTGAGAAACGCAGCCTGCGGTGAGCAGCCCCGACCCTGACCATGCCGCCGCTGCTGCGCCCCCAGACCCACTTCCTCAGCTGGGCTAGGTGGTGGGGGAGAAGGGGCTGAGCCCGTGGGTGGCCGGTCTCCAGGAAGGAGAGAGTCAGGCCCCTCATTGGTCCAGGCACCTATGGCTGCCTCTGTCCCCAGAGAGAAGAGCAGGACCCCGAGGGGGAAGTGGAGGGGCCAGCCGGGCAGCGGCGGGGTCTGCTCCTGCTGTGGCCGGCTCAGATATGCCTGCGTGCTGGTATGGGCCCCTGGTCTGCCCTGGGGCTGGGGCGGCTGGGCAGGGCTGGGGTGGCCTCAGTGCCTCCTCCGGCCTCACCCTCAGGGCCTCTCTGCCTGTGCCCGCAGGCCTTGCACAGCCTGGGCCTGGCGCTGCTCTCCGCCCTGCAGGCCCTGATGCCGTGGCGCTACGCCCTGAAGCGCATCGGGGGCCAGTTCGGCTCCAGCGTGCTCTCCTACTTCCTCTTTCTCAAGACCCTGCTGGCTTTCAATGCCCTCCTGCTGCTGCTGCTGGTGGCCTTCATCATGGGCCCTCAGGTCGCCTTCCCACCCGCCCTGCCGGGCCCTGCCCCCGTCTGCACAGGCCTGGAGCTCCTCACAGGCGCGGTGAGGAAGCCCTAGGACTGGGGGACGGGGGGTGCCTGTCTTCTGCTACCCTGGTACCGTGTTCCCTTCTTGTCCCAGCTCCCCTGGGGCCCCCAACCCTTGCCCCGCTGTGACTCCAGGTGGCCACAGCCAGCTCCCCGCCTCCCCCTCAATGACCCTGGATGCTCATCGTGCTGGGGTTCCCATGGGGCTGGAGGCCCAAGATTGCTGTGGCCAAGGCCCCTCCCTGTTTCCCTCACTGCCCCTGCCTGGCCTCCTCCTGCTCTGCCCCTGTGGCTGTCAGGCCTGAGGGTCGGGTGGGGCGTGGGGAAAGTCCCTGACTCGGCTGGATCTCCCTGTGGCAGGGTTGCTTCACCCACACCGTCATGTACTACGGCCACTACAGTAACGCCACGCTGAACCAGCCGTGTGGCAGCCCCCTGGATGGCAGCCAGTGCACACCCAGGGTGGGTGGCCTGCCCTACAACATGCCCCTGGCCTACCTCTCCACTGTGGGCGTGAGCTTCTTTATCACCTGCATCACCCTGGTGTACAGGTAATGCCTCCACCTCATGACCCAGGCTCCGAGCTCCACTCATCCATCCATTCATCTTTCGACCCATTCATTGATTCTTCCCTCTTCCTTTCTTCCTTCTGTCCATCTACCTGTCTGCTCTCATCCACTCACCTATCCAACTATCCACTTACCCACCCATCTACCCATCCATCTACCTACCCACCCATCCACCCATTCATCCATCCACCCACCCATCCACCCACTCAATTCACCCACCCATTTACCCATTCAGCCATCCACCTACCTATCTACCCACTCAATTCACCCCCCCATCCACCCACTCAATTCACCCACCCATCCATCTACCCACCCATTCACCCAATCAGTTCACCCACCCATCCACCCATCCACCCATTCATCCATTCACCCACCCATCCATCCATTCACACATTCACCCATTCACCCATCCACCCACCCATCCACCCATTCATCCATCTACCCACCCATCCATCCACTCAGTTTAACCCACCCATCCACCCATTCATCCATCCACCCACTCATTCATCCACGCATCCATCCATTCGCACATCCATCCACCTCCTTATCTATCCACCCATTCATCCACCCATCCGTTCATCCATCCACCCATCCACCCACACATTTATTCATCCATCCATCCACCCATCCACCCATGCATCTACGTATTCCACAAACATTCTCTGTGCTCAGCTCAGGGCAGGATGGTAAATGTCCTAGGGGGGCTTGCTGTCTCTGGGAGAAGATGGACCACTGAATGGGCTGGGACAATCCATGAGGCTTAGTGGTGTTTCCCCAGTGTTATGGGAGCACTGGGGAAGGAGTCAGGCTGCTTCCCAGGGGAGGCGGCACTTGCCCTGAGAGGGGAAGGTTAGATAAGAGTGGGGATGGATAAGGAAGCAGGGAAGATGTTTTGGTCATTGGGACCA
Source organism: Homo sapiens (assembly GCF_000001405.40). Taxonomy (NCBI): domain Eukaryota; kingdom Metazoa; phylum Chordata; class Mammalia; order Primates; family Hominidae; genus Homo; species Homo sapiens. The sequence goes on along the minus strand of NC_000017.11, from coordinate 78,123,062 downwards.
GCAGTGCAAAGGCCCTGAGGTGAGCCCAGCATCTTCTGGTCCATGTCTCGCTGGGAGGCAGCCAGCCAAGTCCGCGGTGAATGCAGCCCTGCCCCCTCTTCTAGGCAGATGTGGCTGGTGGGTGCTATGTTGGATGAGACTGGTGTAGAGGGCTGGTGGTGGGGCAGGGGTGTGGCAGGAGGCCCAGTCAGGGCCCAGATGGCTCCTGAGTGGGTGGTGGGGTCTGGCTGCCCAGAGCATCCGGTCTGCCTTCTCCCCTTGGCCTCTGCCCGTCAGCTTGTTGGTTGCCATGTCTGTGTCTGCTTCTCCCCAGCATGGCTCACTCTTTCGGGGAGAGCTACCGGGTGGGCAGCACCTCTGGCATCCACGCCATCACCGTCTTCTGCTCCTGGGACTACAAGGTGACGCAGAAGCGGGCCTCCCGCCTCCAGCAGGACAATATTCGCACCCGGCTGAAGGTGAGTGGCCCCGGAGCACCAAGCTGGCCTGCCCAGCTCCCTGCAGGCCTGGCCCTGGGTCCACTTAGGACCATGTGACCAGAACCATGGTCTAGAGGGAGGGCCAGCTGTCCGTGAGCTGAACTCGGGGCGCTGGGCAGGCGTGGTCTTCTGCTTGCAGTGACGGGCAGGCCCTGAGTTTTTCTCTGGCACACACCCATCAGTTAGGGGCTGCCTCTGTTGTCTGCTAGCGCGTAGTAGCGCCATGGCCCCGTGGGCACCCGGGAGCCAGCCCTGAGGCCTCAGGCCCCAGCTGGCACATGCTCCCTGGCTGGCGTTAGCTTGGTTGGTGGCCATAGGAGGCCAGTGGGTGAGGACTGTCACCTTCTGTGTGCCTCAGAGAGGAGACTGAGGCATAGAGGCCGAGGCCCTCGTAGAGGTTGCGGGGCCAGGAGGCTGCAGAGCCGGGCCTCGTGGAACATTCTCTGCCTTTCTGGGGTTCTGTGCTTCAAGGAGCTCAGAGCTGTGACCTGTCATGAGCCATTCCGTGTAGGGGGGCTTCTGGTCACTGGGGGCCACCCACATCCACAGGGAACAGGAAAGGACCTCTGAGCAAGGCCCCTGCCCCAGCGGGCAGGGCTGGGGAGGTGGGTGGAGAGGGGTTGAGGCAGGCCTCGGGAGTGAACGCCAGCCCAGGCACAGGGGCCTCTCGGCAGGGGGACTGGGTCCTCTCTGCGCCTGGAGGGAGGGCCCTCAGCAGATGAAAGGGCAGGTGGGGCATGGGGAACTGGCCCTCTGTCCTGGTTCAAGCCTCCTGGTGTGTCTCATGTGTGTTGTGTGTGTTGTGCTGTGTCTGCACGTCTGCGTGTGCCCGTGCTCTGGTGTGGGTGACGGGGACACGGTGCCGCCTGCAGGAGCTGCTGGCCGAGTGGCAGCTGCGGCACAGCCCCAGGAGCGTGTGCGGGAGGCTGCGGCAGGCGGCTGTGCTGGGGCTTGTGTGGCTGCTGTGTCTGGGGACCGCGCTGGGCTGCGCCGTGGCCGTCCACGTCTTCTCGGAGTTCATGATCCAGGTGCGGGGATGGGGGGAGCCTGGCCCTTGCTTGGAACGTGTCCCCAGTGACTCTGGGCACCTGCCCCCTGGGGAGGCAGCCTTGCCTCTCCTCCTCCACCCAGCCAGCCCAGGGTGCCACGTACGCTGTGCCCCGTGCTGGGGCCCCCTCCGAGCCCCACTTCTCAGCCCCTTGTCCTGTCTCACGGTTTTATTTTTTGGTTTCTGGTTTCTTTTCCACTACTTGTACCCCTCCCTGCTTCCTGTGTGGTTTGAACTTGAGGCCTGGGGAGGGCCAGATCTTGGAGGAGGGAGGTGCTACCTGCCAGTTCCACCCCGGGCCCTTCCCTGTAGCTGCCCGCTCCCACCATGGATGGGGGGCTTCCATGACACCGCTCCCTGCACCCCTGCAGAGTCCAGAGGCTGCTGGCCAGGAGGCTGTGCTGCTGGTCCTGCCCCTGGTGGTTGGCCTCCTCAACCTGGGGGCCCCCTACCTGTGCCGTGTCCTGGCCGCCCTGGAGCCGCATGACTCCCCGGTACTGGAGGTGTACGTGGCCATCTGCAGGTGTGTGGCCGCACATGAAAACATCATTTGGTGCTGGAGCTGATACTGGTTGTTTAGCTCCGGGTGTATCCAAACCTACTTAGGATGAGGCCGGTGTGACCAAGCCCCTGGTGGGGGCCCTGGGGTGCATCTTCTGTCCCCTGTACCCGCCCCTCAGCCTTTGCACCCCGCCCTCCGCAGGAACCTCATCCTCAAGCTGGCCATCCTGGGGACACTGTGCTACCACTGGCTGGGCCGCAGGGTGGGCGTCCTGCAGGGCCAGTGCTGGGAGGATTTTGTGGGCCAGGAGCTGTACCGGTTCCTGGTGATGGACTTCGTCCTCATGTTGCTGGACACGCTTTTTGGGGAACTGGTGTGGAGGTGAGGGGGTCCTGGGCGGACTGGGTGGTGAGTGTTCTCCCCTTAGTGGCCGGGACGTGTGGCCGGGAGGTTCTCAGGCCTGGACCTTTCCCATCAGGGCCCTGTGTCTCCACCCTTCAGAGGAAGACTCAGGAAATAGAACCGAACTCATTTTTAGATTGGAAAGGAAAACAGGTTTCAAAGTGATGTGTATGGCCAGGCATGGTGGCTCATGCCTGTAATCCCAGCACTTTGGGAGGCTGAGGTGAGTGGATCACCTGAGGTCAGGAGTTTGAGACCAGCCTGGCCAGCATGGCAAAACCCCGTCTCTACTAAAAATACAAAAATTAGCAGGGCGTGGTGGCGCACACCAGTAGTCCCAGCTACTCGGGAGGCAGAGGCATGAGAATCGCTTGAACCTGGGAAGCGGAGGTTGTAGTGAGCTGAGATTGCGCCTCTGCACTCCAGCCCGGGCGACAGAGCAAGACTGTGTTGCCAAAAAAAAAAAAAAAAAAAAAAAAGTAACGTGTATATGACACAACCTCAGTCTAGGATACAAAGGAAAAACACACAGCAGGGAACAGACAGCGGAGGAACATTTAAAAAATGTTCCAGGTATTCCGCTGTGGGTTCTGGCACTTCAGCTGTTTTTTTCCTCTTGGTGTTTTCTTCGAGAATATATGAATTTAATAATAATAAAAAATAAGATTAAAAAAATCAGTAGGAGGCCCGGTGTGGTGGCTCACGCCTGTAATCCCAGCACTTTGGGAGGCTGAGGTGGGAGGATCACTTAAGCCCAGGAGTTTGAGACCAGCCTCGGCAACAGAGTGAGACCTTGTCTCTAAAGAAATAAAAATAAAAATAAATAAAAATTAGCTGGGCCTGGTGGTGTGTGCCTGTAGTCCCAGCTACTCAGGAGGCTGAGGTGGGAGGACTGCTTGATCCCAGGAGGTCAAGGCTGCAGTGAGCCACGATTGCGTCACTGTGCTCCAGCCCGGACAACAGAGCCAGACCCTGTTTCAAAAAAGAAAAAATCATTTGGTGCTGGAGCTGATACTGCTTGTTTAACTCCGGGTGTATCCGAACCTACTTAGGATGAGGCTGGTGTGACCAAGCACCTGGTGGGGTCCCCCAGGCTGGTGGCTGTCTCTTCTTGGCATTATCTGTGGAACGGCCAGGATGTCCCCTGGCTGGGGGCGGGGTGCCTCTGGGTGTGGGGACTCAGGCTGGCCTCCCTGGGCATGGCTTTCCCATCTAACGATCCGGGGTCCTCGGAGGCAGGATTATCTCCGAGAAGAAGCTGAAGAGGAGGCGGAAGCCGGAGTTTGACATTGCCCGGAATGTCCTGGAGCTGATTTATGGGCAGACTCTGACCTGGTGAGGGTCCTCTGCTTGCCTCCTACTGTCTGGCCCCTCGGTCAGTGCCCCTTTCCCCCCGGGGGTCCTGTACCTGCCTCCCCCTGGGGCCACAGCCAGGCCCGGCCATGGACCCTGGAGTGATGCAGACCCTAACCCCGGGGACTCAGTTTTGGCCACTGTCACATGCCCTGCCCGTGGTCTGGAACCAGCCTGATCTCGGGGAGGGGAGGGCACTGGAGCAGCCCCTGAACTGCCACCCCCTCCCCAGGCTGGGGGTGCTCTTCTCGCCCCTCCTCCCCGCCGTGCAGATCATCAAGCTGCTGCTCGTCTTCTATGTCAAGAAGGTGAGGCTGCCAAGGCCTGGGGAGGGCTGGGCTGGCAGGGTGGCCGGCAGTGGGGGCAGGACTCAGCTGGGCAGAGCCTGGGACACTAGAACCCTCCCCACCTGAGTGGAGTGGGGCTGGCGGCTCGGGGCTGCCCTGGCCTGTCCCTCCGCCCAAGGGACGGCTGACCCCTCTTGGCATCACTGTCTTCGGCAGGCTGGGAAGCATCGCTGGGTTCAGAGGTCATTAGCAGGTACCTGTGTGCACCTGGCCAGGGGTAGGGCCAGGGCTCTGGGAGACACCAAGCCTTGGGACCTCTGGGTCCCTGGAAAAGTGATGCTGGGCCTCTCTCCGCAACTGGGTCATGCCCAGTGGCTGAGAACTGGGACCTTTCTTCCCATCCTGGCTCCTGTCTTTTTATTTTATTTTATTTTTTGAGACAGAGTCTTGCTTTGTCGCCCAGGCTGGAGTGCAGTGGCGCAATCTCGGCTCACTGCAAGCTCCGCCTCCCAGGTTCACGCCATTCTCCTGCCTCAGCCTCCCGAGTGGCTGGGACTACAGGCGCCCGCCACCACACCCAGCTAATTTTTTTGTATTTTTAGTAGAGATGGGGTTTCACTGTGTTAGCCAGGATGGTCTTGATCTCCTGACCTTGTGATCGCCCACCTCAGCCTCCCAAAGTGCTGGGATTACAGGCATGAGCCACCGCACCTGGCCATCCTGGCTCCTGTCTCGTCTGGCCTTTTGTTTCCTCATCCCTGCAGTGGGGACCATGTTCCAGTGGGGACTGAGGGAGGTGGTGTGTACAGTGTTGTGTGCAGAGCCTGGCATGGCAGCGACCTTCAGCAGATGGAGGTGCTGTTGGCATCACCCGTTTGCGTGCAAGTGACCGGCAGGCTTCTGTCTTCCTCTGTAAATGAGGAGGCTGCAGGGAGCAGGGTCCAGGCTCTGCCTGGACGCACAGCCCTGGTCGCCCTTCCCTCTTGAGCTCCCCCAGGGCTTGGAGGGGTGCTGAGGGGTAGCAGGATGGTGGCAGAGCGCAGCCTTTCCCCACAGACCAGCCTTCTGGCCAACTGCCAGGCGCCGCGCCGGCCCTGGCTGGCCTCACACATGAGCACCGTCTTCCTCACGCTGCTCTGCTTCCCCGCCTTCCTGGGCGCCGCTGTCTTCCTCTGCTACGCCGTCTGGCAGTGAGTGGGGCGGGTGGAGGGAGACCCTTCTGTGTCATCTGGGGGTTGGGTGGTGGTGCCTGGGGGGCCCAAGGCTTAGGGGTGCAGAGGACGGGCTGGGAGGGAGCCGGGTGAACTGTTGCTCGGGGTGAGGGTTCCTGGTCGGCATCTTCCCCAGGGTGAAGCCCTCGAGCACCTGCGGCCCCTTCCGGACCCTGGACACCATGTACGAGGCCGGCAGGGTGTGGGTGCGCCACCTGGAGGCGGCAGGCCCCAGGGTCTCCTGGCTGCCCTGGGTGCACCGGTACCTGATGGAAAACACCTTCTTTGTCTTCCTGGTGTCAGCCCTGCTGCTGTGAGTCCCGCAGGTGGGGGCGGCCCTGGGGAGATGGCCCTCGCTGGGCCTGCACCGTGTGGGGACTGGCCGCTCCCGGGCTGTGGCCCTGGGCCCTGCCCGACAGCCCCTCTCCCGCAGGGCCGTGATCTACCTCAACATCCAGGTGGTGCGGGGCCAGCGCAAGGTCATCTGCCTGCTCAAGGAGCAGATCAGCAATGTGAGTGCCCCTCCTGGGCTGCTCTCAGCCCCCACCCTCTCAGGTCACCTGAGGGTGACGCTCCCCTCCACTCCCCTGTACATCTCCTGTGGGCCTTGGCTGGTGAAAGGGTTTGTTTGCCAAACAAGTGACCCTGATCAATACGTGCACTTCAGATCAAGTGACGAAGTAGCCGTGAGACAGAGCCAGGCTCCTGATCCCCAAGGACCCGCAGGGCCCCACTGGGACCAGGGCTCTGGGGGGTGGGGTGTGATTTCAGCCCCCGGGTGTGGCCCCGCTGAGGGTTTAGACAGTCTCTGTGAGGATTTTTGGGTCCCTATGGACTCTTCACTCATTTTACAAACAGGTGGATTAAGGTTGAGAGTTAGGACTTAAAACTTTTTTTTTTGGAGACGGAGTCTCGCTCTGTCACCCAGGCTGGAGTGCAGTGGCACAGTCTCAGCTGACTGCAACCTCTGCCTCCTGGGTTCAAGCAACTGTCTTGCCTCAGCCTCCCGAGTAGCTGGGAGTACAGGGCCTGCCGCCACTCCGGCTACTTTTTTGTGTTTTTCGTACAGATGCAGTTTCACTGTGTTGCCCAGGCTGGTCTCGAGCTCCTGAGGCAATCCACCCACCTTGGCCTCCCAAAGTGCTAGGATTATAGGCATGAGCCACCGTGCCTGGCCAAAACATTTTTATGAAGAAAACAATGTTTGACCGGGTGTGGTGGGGCTCATGCCTATAGTCCCAATGCTTTGGGAGGCCAAGGTGGGAGAATGGCTGGAGCCCAGGAGTTCGAGACCAGCCTGGGCAACAGAGTGAAACCTCGTCTCTATAAAAATTTTAAAAGTTAGCTGGGTGTGGTGGTGTGCACCTGTAGTCCCAGCTACTTGGGAGGCTGAGGGAGGAGATTGCTTGAGCCCAGGTTGAGGCTGCAGTGAGCTATGATTGTGCCACTGCGCTCCAGCCTGGGTGACAGTGAAACTCTGTCTCATAAAAAAAAAAAAAAAAAAGCCTGGGCATGGGGGCTCAGGCCTCTAATCCCAGCACTTTGGGAGGCCGAGGTGAGCAGATCACTTGAGGTCAGGAGGTCGAGACCAGCCTGACCATCATGGCAAAACCCCGTCTCTACTAAAAGTACAAAAATCAGCTGGGCGTGGTGGCGTCCACCTGTACCAGCTACTCAGGAGGCGGAGGCAGGAGAATCAGCCCAGATTGCGCCACTGCACTCCAGCCCGGGCGACAGAGCGAGTTGCTGAGGCCCTCATGCTGTGTCATGGGAGTGAGTTGCAGAAGGGGGTCGGACCCCATACCGGAGAGGCAGCCCCCAGGAGTACTGTCCACCCGGCAGCTGGTCCCTGTGCCCACTCCCTTCGCCCCTGTGCCCACTCCCTTCGCCCCTGTGCCCACTCCCTTCGCCCCTGTGCCCACTCCCTTCGCCCCTGTGCCCACTCCCTTCGCCCCTGTGCCCACTCCCTTCGCCCCTGTGCCCACTCCCTTCGCCCCTGTGCCCACTCCCTTCGCCCCTGTGCCCACTCCCTTCGCCCCTGTGCCCACTCCCTTCGCCCCTGTGCCCACTCCCTTCGCCCCTGTGCCCACTCCCTTCGCCCCTGTGCCCACTCCCTTCGCCCCTGTGCCCACTCCCTTCGCCCCTGTGCCCACTCCCTTCGCTCCTCTCTGCCCAGGAGGACCTCCTTGCCCACTGGGCACCCACCAAGTTGGAGACAAGGCACTTTCCCCCCGGGCTACCCAGCCTGGCCTCCTCCCCGAGGCCCCTCCCCTGGGGAACGGCCCCCCGTGAAGCAGGTCCTGTGGCTTTTCCAGGCTTGCGTCCTGCTGCTGGGCTCTGCCCTCCCCCTAGGGCTCCCCATCCCCTCCCATTGCCATTTGTCCTCCTGCAGGTTTTCACTCTGGGGCTGGTGAGTGCCAGTGTCCTTAGGCATGCTCCACACCAGGGCTAGGGGGGCGCTTGTGGGGATCAGCGGCTGGCGTCTGCCAAGGCGAGGGCAGGGCGGGGTGCAGCCAGTGGGCCTCGGCAGCCATGTGACCCTGCTGCTGGCTAGTTGGTGCCAGGATCCAGGGCTCCAGGCAGCTCGTCCCAGCTCGTCCCAAGCACTCATGGGACGGCTCCCACATTGCTTGGGTTGTAAACACTGTAGTACACACTGTCCCATCTCCTGCCTTTCCCGTTTCACCACATAGAGCTGAAAGCCTGGCATCTCGGCTGCGGTGGTTGTCTGGCTGTAGATATTGGAAGTGGGGAATGGCTCCTGCCCTACTGGGTGGCATTTCAGAGCCCCCAGGGGCCAGGTAGGGCCAGGTGGGTCCGGGCGGGGAATGCAGAGTGGTGCTGGGAGAATCCCAGCTCTACCCACCGTTGCTCTGGGATGGGAAGGACCTTTCTCCAGGCGGATGCTGGCTGTGGTGTCTACCCAAGGCCGAGCTCTGACCCGTCTTTGGGGCTGTCGGTCTGAGTTTTCCCCGTGCAGGTCGGCATGGCTCAAGTGCACAGCCCCTCCATACTCATCAGCAACTCGATAGAAGCTACTTAGGTTGTTGCTTAAGGGGCCCATGGTCTCTCCTTGAAGGTATTCTAAGTGGTCCTCCTAGGCTGAGCCAGGTTGCCAGGTGCCCAGAGCCAATCCGTGTGGCTCTTGACAGAACTCCTGTTCTCTGTGTGAAGCTCCGGGCGGGGAATCCCGGTCTGACCCAGGCACTGATGATCAGTGTTTCGGTGCACCAGATCCTTTGCTAAGTGCCCCCTCTGCTTGTCACATTTCATTGTCGAAAGAGCCCTGGGTCAGTCCAGTACTGGCCCCAAAGATGTCCCCGTCCTAAGACTGGATGGAGCCTGTGAATACGTTACGTTGCGTGGCTGGGGAATTACGATTGCAGGTAGAATTAAAGTTGCCAGTCAGCTGACTTTGGATAGGAGATGGCCCTAGATTATCGTGGTGGCCCAGCGTGATCTCAGGGTCCTTAGAGGTGAAAAACAGAGGCCGGAGTGTCAGGGTCAGAGTGGTGCCACGTGAGCAGGACTTGAGCAGCCACTGCTGGCTTTGAAGTGGAGGAAAGGGCTGAGAGCCAGGGGCCTCTAGAAGTTGGAAAAGGCGAGGAAGAGGATTCTCCCCCGAAGCCTCCGGGAGGAATGTAGCCCTGATCATGCTTGACTGGAGCCCAGTGAGACTCATTTTGGACTTCTCACTTCCAGAACTGAAAGTTGAGAAACCGGTGGTGTTTTAAGCCACGAAGTTGATGACAGTTCGTTACGACAGCAGCAGGAAACTAATGTAAACCCTGTGCCTTGTGTTATTATCCCCCTTTACAGATGCTGCCACTGAGGTCACAGAGTTAGTAACCCAAGGCAGAGCCAGTACGTGGCAGGGCTGGTTTTAAATTGAGTCAGGCTGGCTCTGGGCTGCTGATTACATTTCCCTTTTCACTTTGGCCACTAGGAAGCTTAGATCCACACATACGCCCACTTCCTGGCTCTTGGTTTTTCCTTGTCCTTGTTTGGTGGCCCTTTCACCTTTTCTTTTATGTTTTTGCTGCTTGCGATGTTGAATACACCTCGTGAGTTTTCCCTCAAATGCAGTTTGGAACAGGATGGCTCTGGATGGGCTGATGGATGATTTCTCCTCCCCTTTGTGTTCTGGCCTTTCTAGGAGGGTGAGGACAAAATCTTCTTAATCAACAAGCTTCACTCCATCTACGAGAGGAAGGAGAGGGAGGAGAGGAGCAGGTGAGGGTCCGTGGAGGGATTGGGGACACTCTGAGCCTGGAGGGGAGAGGGGCCAGGGCTGGACAGTAGGGCTGCCACTGGGGCTACACCACGACATTGCTGACACTTGACCGCTTTTGACCTACAAAAATCTCCCCCCCGGCGCCCACCTTCACTCTCTCTAGAGCCTTCTCTGGCCTCCGGAGCCTGGCCATTTTGACAGGGACCTAAAATACATCTCAGGAGAAAGGCTGTGGGGCGTCTGGCCTGTCCCTCGCCGGGCCTTGGCTGCGCCCAGCCAGGTTGCAGGGATGTTGATGTTTATGGGGTCCCCTCAGTGATGTCTCTTTCTGGCAGGGTTGGGACAACCGAGGAGGCTGCGGCACCCCCTGCCCTGCTCACAGATGAACAGGATGCCTAGGGGGACGGCGATGGGCCTCACGGGCCCGCCCAGCACCCTGAGACCACACTGTTGCCTCCCAGTGACCCTGCTGGGACACCAGGACAAGGAAGACAGTTTCGCCTCTCGAAAGCCGCAGCTGCGCCTAGGCTGGAGCTGGAAGGGTGGGTGAATCCGGCTTGGGCATCCCCAATGAACTCTGCCCTGCCTGGGACTCTATTTATTCTGATTAAAGGGGTTTTGCAAATGGGCTTGTCCCTTGGGGCTCTGTGTCTGTGACCACACCCGGGGCCTGCTTCCCGCTGCCCTGGGGCCACCTCCAGGCGCAGGTCTGGGTCCTGGGAACCTCAGCTGGAGTGGGGGCGCCCTCTGCTGGCCAAGCCCCAGATGGCAGGGGCTGGACCGCGCCAGGGCTTGATTCGCTTGCTGCCTTTGACCAGCCTGAACTCGCGCCCAGGAGGGGCTTACACCTGCACAAGTGAGCCGAGCAGGCACGGATTGTGACCAGAGCGATGCGTCAACCATTGGGTGATGCTGTAGCATCTACTGGAGCAGGAGACAAATTTAGAGAGGGACTTGGAGGGGAGACATATCAGTTGCAAATGAGTTGTGGGGACAGTTGCCTCCCAGGCATAGGTAACCAGCACCTGTGCTTGGAGGCGAACAGGGCTTGGTGAGGTGGGGCTGGCCCCCTGCTTCTGGCTGCCAGCAGCTGGCTGGGGGGTGGTGATCCTGGGTCTGACTGGGCTGAGTTTGAGGAGCCCGTGGGATACCGAAAACCGTAGGCTGTGGGGGGTGGGCACAGGGATTCGGGGACCAGCCCGTCATGACCCCGTGCTCCAGGTCTGCAGGGACCAGCCCATGACAGCCCAGGGCTCCAGGTCTGCGGGGACCAGCCCATCACAGCCCAGGGCTCCAGGCCTGCGGGGACCAGCCCGTCAGCCTCAGTTCTCCAGGCCTGCGGGGACCAGCCCGTCATGACCCCAGTGCTCCAGGTCTGTGGGGACCAGCCCGTCAGCCTGTGCTCCAGGCCTGCAGGAACCAGCCCGTCAGCCTCAGTGCTCCAGGCCTGCGGGGACCAGCCCGTCAGCCTGTGCTCCAGGCCTGCGGGGACCAGCCCGTCATGACCCCAGTGCTCCAGGTCTGTGGGGACCAGCCCGTCAGCCTGTGCTCCAGGCCTGCGGGAACCAGCCCGTCATGACCCCAGTGCTCCAGGCCTGCGGGGACCAGCCCGTCATGACCCCAGTGCTCCAGGTCTGTGGGGACCAGCCCGTCACGGCGCAGGGTTCCAGGCTTGTGGGGACCAGCCTGTCACAGCCCAGGGCTCCAGGCCTGCAGGAGCTGCGCTTGGGATTGGGGGAATGAACCCAGGTGGGGAAATGGTCAAAGAGCGATGGGCCCAGAAAAGGGTCAGACCCAGATGGAGATGCCACTGGCTGCTAGCAGACCCCCACGCTGGGTCTAGCCCACCCAATCCCATGGGGATGCTCCTGTGCTCTGCAGACATCTGGGTGCTGCCACAGGGGCCCGACAGAGTTGGCATCTGGGTGGATCTGAGCCAAGTGGTGCTTCTGGGCCTCAGCAAGTAGCTGGTGCTGATTCTGGGCAGCCAACTGTGGCAGCATCTTCAGGTGCGAGTGCTGCTGGGTGAAGCTGCGTGGGCAGTCCAGAAAGTGACGTGACAGTCCACAGGGACCGACGTAGGGTTTCCAGCCCCTATCTGTGCAGATGCTGTCCTCCAAACCATCACGGTCCCTCTCTGGCTGGGGACGTGCGCCTGCCACTGCTGGCTTGCCAGCATGATCATTGGTTGTGACCTGTTGAGCCCATCTTGCCAGCCTCACAAAGGACAGTACTAGCTGCTTATGACAGGAAAGTGGAAGAACTTGGCCTGGATATTTCTGGAGAATTACCGTGTGTGCTAGTCAGTCTTTCGTGTCAACCAGGCCAGGCTGTGGGGCCCAGTGATCTCATCGAGAGGGGCCGAGGTGTTGCTGTGATCGTGTGCTGCTGGAATGTGGTGAACACCTACAGTCGATTTCACCTAAAGATCATCCTTGAGAATGTGGGTGGGCCTCATCCTATCAGCTGAAAGCTTTAAGAGCAAAACCCGAGGTGTCCCAGAGAGGGAATTCTGCCTTGAGACGGCGGCTTCCCACTCCCACTGGATGTCCAGCCCGCGGCCCCACGGCTGGGTGAGCCCGTCCTCTCCTCGTTTCTGTCTCCGGACCCACCGTGTGGCCCCAGACCCTCCAGTGAGGACCTCCCGTATTTCTTCAGAGCAGCCCTTGCGTGCTGGAGGCCTGGGCTTCAGTGTGTCCCTGGGTGCCCTGGGGCATGTTCTGTGACCTCCCAGCTCCTCGCCTCATGGGGCCGCTGTATCAAGTGACACAGTTTGTGTGCTGCGTACCATGCCTGGCACCCATTTGAGGTGTTGCAAGGAGGCCATGTTTGCTCGATGAGAGCAGCCTAAGATCTACAAACTGTTGTTCGAGTGGATGGGAACTTGATGCTATTTTCAGGCTGAATGACAAGACTCCGCGATGCTTCTCGGCCTGGGCTGCACAACGGAATCTACCAGGGAGGTTTTAAAAACACTGGTACTTGCTGGAGGTGGTGGCGCCTGTCTGTAATTGCAGCTGCTCCAGAGGCTGAGGCGGAGGATTGCTTGAGCCCAAGAGTTTCGGTTTATTTGCTTTTTCAGAGTCTTGCTCTTGCCCAGGCTGGAGTGCAGTTCCATGATCTCGGCTCACTGCCTCAGCCTCCCAAGTAGCTGGGATTACAGGTGCATACAACCAGGCCTGGCTGATCTTCGTATTTTTAGTAGAGATGGGGTTTCACCATGATGGTCAGGCTGGTCAAGATCTCCTGACCTCAAGTGATCTGCCCGCCTCGGCCTCCCAAAGTGCTGGGATTACAGACATGAACCACAACACCTGCCGAGCCCAGGTGTTTTGAATCCAGCACGGGCAATGGCAAGACCCTGTCCCAACAAACAAAAAAACACTGGTGCCTGAGGCCCACCCCGAGAGATTCTGATTGAGTTGATTTGGATTTGAATTATCTTTAAAATTTTGGATGTGAATTTTTTTTTTTTTTCTTGGAATGGAGTTTCACTCTTGTTCCCCAGGCTGGAGTGCAACGGGACGATCTTGGCTCACCGCAACCTCCGCCTACTGGGTTCAAGCCATTCTCCTGCCTCAGCTTCCCAAGTAGCTGGGATTACAGGCATGTGCTACCATGCCCAGCTAATTTTGTATTTTTAGTAGAGACAGGGTTTCTCCATGTTGCTCAGGCTGGTCTTGAACTCCTGACCTCAGGTGATCCGCCCGCCTCGGACTCCCAAAGTGCTGGGATTACAGGCATGAGCCACCATGCCTGGCCGGATGTGAATTATCTTAAAAATTTTCAGGTAATTCTAATGGGCCAAGGTTGAGAACCCCTGCTCTGGGCCCATCCGAGCACCAGGCTGTCACAAACGCATGCATGCACTCACGCCCGTGGGCTTGGGGGGCTTCGGAAATGTGCTTCTGCTTTTTTGAGATGGGGTCTTTCTGTTGCCCATCCCGGAGCACAGTGGCACGATCACAGCTCACTGCAGCCTCGACCTCCTGGGCTCAGGTGATCCTCCCGCCTCAGCCTCCTGAGTGTCTGCTTCTGGTTTTCATGATGACCTGGGGCCCAGGCATACTACACTTGTGCTGTTCAGGGGCCAGTCCTGCACCAGGAGCCCATCAGCCACAGCTCCGCCGAGAAGCACTGATATGCAGAGCTAAGCAGCTTTGTTTCCACGTGGATCCTGCGTAGGTTTTCTTGGTCCATCCGTAGACACCGCACTCCTGCAGAGGATCTTCTCGGGATGCCCCACTGTCTCTGTTTTCCCTCTTCACTGAACACTCAGTCGGGGCTCGCCATGATGCCTCTGTGTCTGCTGGCTTCTCCCCCATTGGAACAGCCTTCTTGGCACGCCACACTGCTAGCTGCTGGGCACTGTGCTTTCTGCCTTTACCGTTCTGCCGTGATGTTGCCAAAATAGCAGCAACAACAACAACAACAAAGGCTGGGCACCTGGCTCATGCCTGTATTCCCAGCAGTTCGAGATCAGCCTGGGCAACATGGTGAGACCCTATCTCTACAAAAATAAAAAATGAAATGAGCTGGGTGGGGTGGCGCATGCATGCCTGTGGTCCCAGCTACTTGGGAGGCTGAGGTCGGAAGATCGCTGGAGCTTAACCTTGAGGTCAAGGTTGCAGTGAGCCGAGATTACATCACTGCACTCCAGCGTGGGAGACAGAGACCCTGTATTAACAAACAAAAACACAAACCACAAAGGGCAGGTCTGAAACTGCCATTTAAAAAAAAATTTAATAAACTTAAAAAAATATATATCCACAGATGCAGGTGAAGAACCTGTTGTCTTCCTCAAGCCTCTTTTTCACCCATGGGTGGAAATGGTGCCCTGGACACCCAGGCCCACGAGGTCTTTGCGTGGGGTCCCTACACAGGGCTTTAGCTTACACTGTGCTGCCCTCCTGTCCCCCGAGTTCCCAGTCTGTCAAAATCCAACCTGGTCTCCCAGGCCCAGGGCAAATGCCACCTCCTCCATGAAGCCTGCCACATCCTTTGCACACCCTTGGGCGCTGACCTTGTTCTCCCAGCGCACAGGCACGGGTACAGTTTGCCCCTGTAGTAGTAACTCAGGCACAAAACGAACTCTTGCTGAGGCTCGGCCGCGCAGAGCTGAGGGTTGCCGCTTCCAGGTTCAAGTGCATTTTGAGTTTCATTCCCAGCTTCCTTCTTTTTCTGGTCTTTAATTTCTTCTCCGGATTAGGTCCCACTCAATGCTTTCCTTCTCAATTTCCAAAAGAGTATGGTCAGAGCCAGCAGCACACCACCTTCCCCATGGGTGGGGGGGGGCCAGCCTGTGGCGGGGGTGCGGGTCCCATCTTTTCGAAGGAATTGACCCACAGTGGGCGGGTCCACCTTTGACCTTGCCCCAGGGAGCGCAGACAGAAAAAAGATCCTTGCTTAGTTTGAGGGGCCGCTGGGGTGCTCGGTTTGTCTTCAGAGGCCTGTCTGTAACACCAATGCCAACCCGGTGGCACTGACTGGTCACCCTGAAGGCCACGGCCAGTGTCCTAGGAAGGGACTCAATTTCTAGCTGTGCCACCTGAGATTCTGGGGTTAGGCTGGTTGTGCTTCTGAAGTTCCACTGTGCTCAAAGTGCTTGGTGAAAGTTAGCGAAGGTGATTTTACAAAAATAGATGCATAAAATGTCTAGGAAACACAAAAAATCCTCATTACTCTTCTCTCCAAATATTTTTTAAGCCCCAACTGGACCCTAGGCAAAAGTGAGTGGCACTCCTCTGCCAGGACTCCAGGCAAGCCCCGGCATCTTCTTGCTGCCGTCCCAGACAACAGAAGTTACCAGATGAACAGACTTGGATGGGCCACGGGGGTGGAGAGCTGGAAAGCTTGGCTGTGCCTCTCGATGATGATTAAGATTTCAATATTTACAGCAAAACCACAAAGCAAATGATAGAATAAAGCAAAACAATGGAAAATCTGAGTTCACTCGTGAGAGAGGTACGTATGTGAGCTCTGAGGAAATTACAGAGGGAACGCATGCAGCGGGACAGCTCTCCCAATCGCAGCGTGCAAAGTAGACATCCATAGTGTCTTTTGAAAAATGAAAAACACATTACTTTGAACAGCCAAGAAAAAAATTGCAATTTATTAAGATTCAATAAAGCGTTGTACTTTCGAAAGCAACTTTCGATGCATGTTCTTCAACAGTCACATTCTATGAGGAAAACATTAAGAGCCACGAACTTGTTGTTTAATCTCAGAGTTACAGACATATTAAGTTCAAAATAAAAGGTAAAAAAAACAAAAAACAAACAAACAAAAAACCCCTCAAACCCAACAAAACCCAAAAACAAACAAACATATTCTTGACTTCCATCCCCAATTTTAAAACAACAGTTTTTCTACAACTCAATGCTCGCCGGCAGCACGGGAAGTGGTATGTCGGACGCACATACGCACACGCATGCTCACACGCACACATATTGGATATACATACGCAGGTGTATGTCCATCGAATATATAGAACGCATGTAATGGCAATGAGATGCAGTCACTCTGAGGAAGGTTGGTTTTTCTAAATATCCTACTAAACTTGAGAAAAAAAGTCTTGAACCCAGTTTGTGCATAGTTCATGATCCTCTATAAAACCAGCTTTTGTGGATCTGCAGTCTTGCAGGACTTTTTTTTTTTTTTTTGTATTTTTTTTGTTTTGATAAAACCATTAAAAAGCTAATTAAAAAAATGTAATGCACAAGTTTCCTGATCAAGCAGGCAGGGAGCACAATGTTCATATATATATTTTTTAAAACATACTTGAAGGTATGTTATTCCATTGTCTTTCTTCCTTGCAAAACAATCAAAACATTGATCATTTTTAAAACATAAAGCAATTTTTAATATATAAAGCACTCTTCAAACATCTATTTCTTTTGAGTCCATTATTTGGTAAATATGTAACTGCTACACATTAGAGATTAGGTATTTTTCTTCTTTGTGTTTTTTTTTCCTCTTTTTCTTTTTTTTCATTTTTTTGTTTTGTTTTGTTTTTTTTTTTTTTAAATAACATCTTCAGTGCTAGGAGTTGGGTTTAAAAATACATGAAATGGTGTGGAGCTGCCCTCGGGAGCCCTGGCTTTCCTGAGAGCGCGTCCGGCATGTGCAAGACAGTGGCCACAACGCCTGTCACCTTGACGAAGGGGCGAAAGCAATCGACAGAGTCCACGACGATGGCCGAGGGAACAACACTGTCCCGTCCCAGAGCTCTGAAGGAACGCATCTGCATTCTGAAAATAGGTTTCTTTACGACGGAAGTCTTTTTTTTTTTTTAATTCCTTTTTAAATTTTTAAAATTTTAAAGTCTGAAGGAGAAAAAAAGGTCTGTAAACAGGTGGGAGCCCAAACCCCAGGCTCCCCCAAAAGCAGTCACAACCCACGCCCAAGTGCTTGTTTCTGTTCCTTCCACGGAACCATCCATTCTTTACAAGTATCTATGGCCACAGTTCAACAACAGTTTTTTTTTTTTTTCTCTTTAACTTTATATTCCAAATGGAAAAATGGTGCAATACTCTGGTAATAATTTTCTTGCATTAGTCCACAATAAAAAGCTGCTAAAGGTAGGTATACATGTTATTTCTCCAGAGATATACACTGTACTTTTTAAACGCAGTCACAGAGTCCTTGAGTAAACATTTACACATGAATTGTCGCCAGCCCTGTCCTAGGAATTCTCTGTAATGTATAGGATTAGCTAAAGGAAGGGCGAGGACACTCAGTGCAAAGTTAGAAGCTAATAATAACAACCGTTTGACCAATGCGCCAAAAAAAAAGCGTATACTGAATACAAGGGAAAACCCACAGTTAAATCCTCACACGCTTTCAAACACACAAACACAGAAAACTGCACGCCGTGCAGGAGCACGCGCCACACATGCACACACACACACACTTCTGTTTCAACACGCACACATACACACACGTAGGCTATGAACTTAGAAATTTTTCCTAGAGCCTGTTTCTGTGTACTGATGTCAACCTGGAAGTGTAGAATTAGAAAGTGTTCACATTTCACTATTGGCCTGCTGGATTCAAGTATTTGCATGTTTGATATGTCTTTTTTTAACTTTTAAAAAATATTTTTTGGGATAAAAAAATGACATGAAAAAGTAATGAAACAAGGGTAATGTGCATAGGCGGATCCAGGGGAACAGAGAGCAGATCGCAGCCCGCGCCTTCCGCTCAGCTCCCGCCGCGGAGCCGCTCTGCGCCCGGCGGTCCACACCAGACTCTGCCCTGATTACCGGCCGCCTCTGGTCATGTGCATAATCGTCACAGGCTCATTTTAAATAGGCTTCACGTCTCCCTCCCTCCCCCACAGATAAAATAACCCTTTCCAGCCCACAATCTGAAAAGTGCCCTTCATGATAGAACTATTCTAAGCAGCTTTTATACTTAAAAAAAAAAAAAAAATCAAAATGACAACACACTATACAAACATAAGACGCACAAAATAAAAAGCTACGAGGAACATCCTGTCATTAGCATGTGACGCTGACCCACCGCAGCCCGCACTGTTTTGCGAACAGTTCGCAAGGACTGCGGCCAAGGTTCGTCTTCAGTCCTGGACAGAGGTACTCAAAAGGGCGGCCGCTGCTGGGTTCCAGCGGGTCTGTGGGGCCGCCCAGCCGGGAGGGGTCCCGGGAGGGGTCGGCTCTCCTGGTGCTGATGATGGCAGAGCCTACAGGGACTCCCCGCTGAGCAGGTCCCCAGGCAGCAGGGTGGTTAGCGGCGTGGGGCTGCCTATCACCCTGCTGTCGTCGGCGCTGGGCGGGCCCCACAGGCTGCTGGAGTACTGGGGCACCCCGCCCCACAGCAGCTCACTGCTCCCCTTGCCACCCAGGCACGGGGCGTTCCAGTGGCCAGCGTCGCTGCGTACCAGGCCATGGGAGCTGCCCGCTGCGCTGAGCCGCGGCTGGCTGGACGCGCTGCTGGACTGCCAGCTGGAAGTGGGTGGCAGCGCCTGGCCTTGGGCTAAGAAGCGATTCACTTCTTCTTCACCAGCGAACTCGGCCAGGATGGTAGTGTTTCCCAGGACGCACCTGCAACAGCAAGATGGGGCACGTGAACAGGGCCACCCCAAGTCCTGCTGAGTTCGTGGCACTGGCTTTCTCTGTATTGGGAACGGCCCCACATGGAAGCCATCCTGTGGCTTCTGTTTTGCCACTGCTATTTCCAAACCCAGACTGTGAATGTTTTGCTCAGTTCAGACTTCTAGTGGCAACATCGTACTGGTACACAGAGTACATCTTCAAGTGCGTGAACAGATCATTAAATGTGGGCTCGTTTAGGGTCAGTGTCATTTGCATCCTGGGCTAAAAACAGGAATGACTAATTTCTAGGTTCCAACGTCTCAAGTGATGTTACTGATCAGGTCTACTCGTACTTCTATCAAAAGCAACCTTTCACTAGGGTGAAGGGTTGGCTGTGAGGACCACTGCTGGGCCCTGTGTAGGAATGTGTCACAGGGAGGGAGTAGACACAGCAACTCAGCAGCAGAAAAAAACCAGTAAGTCCCAAGATACCTGTGAGGAACTGACCTGTGTCGCCTTTCCCCAATTCCTTTGTTGAAGTCCTAACACCCAGTACCTCCCCATGTGACTACGTTTGGAGATGGGGTCTTTAAGGCGGGAATTAAGTTAGTTAGATGAGGTCACATGGGTAGGCCCTAGTCCAACAGGACTGGTGTCCTTATAAGGAGAGATTACGGCACAGACATGCACAAAGAGACGACCATATAAGAACAGAGGGAGAAGGCAGCTGTCTACAGCCAAGGAGAGAGGCCTCAGGAGAAACCAGCCCTGCCCACACCTTCATCTTGGGTATCAGACTTCCAGCCTCCAGAAGTGGGAGGGTGGCCAGCCTGTGGGATTCTGCTATGGTGGCTCAGGACACCCCTGCAACACCCCTAACCTAATGCTCTGGGGGATGGGGAGCTACTTGGAGCGCTGAGGTGGCTGTGAGAAAACATACATGTGCAGAGACTTCTGGGCCTTGGCAGCCTCCTCCTTGGAGCTGTACCGGACCACAGCATTGCCTTGAGTCAGATTCAGGTGGAATGTGATAAGAGGCCCATGTTGCAAACACAATGTCCGCAGTGTAGAACCATCAATCTGATAGAGGAAGCACAGGGACATGAATGAGCTTTCTTCTGATTTCTTTCACTACAGCCTTCCAAAGAAAAAACGTATGAAATTGGATACACTAAACACTAGGAATGTTTTTCTTTAAAAGGCCTAATAATATGTGGTTTTACAACATTAACGTTTTATATCTCTGTGGCCAAACGTGTAACTAAAAACTTGGATGCTTCAGTTACATTTTATAAGTTAGGCTAATCAGAGGAAGGAGAAAAACCCCATTTTGAATTCTGCTCTCCTTTCACCAGAGCACGTCGCACAGAGCCTCTGGTTTGCAAAAGGCACCTGGGTCCAGCTGCTGACAACAGACTTGGGAGACGTGCAGGTGGGTGTGGCCTGGGTCCCGGGAAGGGACTGGCTAGCCCCACAGTCTGATGTGGCCAAACGACTCTTTTAAAAAATGTTATAAAAATACACACATGGGGTCTTGCTATGTTGCCCAGGCTGGTCTCCAACTCTTGGGCTCAGGTGATCCCTGGCCTCGGCCTCCCAAAGTGCTGGGATTACAGGCATGAGCTACTGCGCCCAGCCAGGCCCAACCACTCTTGAATGGCTAGTTGTAAAATAAACAATTCTATTTACAGAGCACACTTTTCCAGCCTCTGGTGGGGAAACAAACAATTCACCAGGAACATGGTTAAAAGAGGCCCCTGGGCCCCATCTGCTGCCGCTGCTGGAGCCAATCCTGGCACTTGCTCATCTCCTCCCATGCAGCGTCACTTATGGACCCTGACCAAGAACCCCCAACTATCCTGCCCCACCAGACAGCCTCATCTGCATTGGGGGCCAAGCGGGAACCCTCCCTGGATCATGCTCAGTGATGCAGGGGCACCATATTGCACCTGGGGAGTGAGGTTTCGAAGAACGAGCCAGCTGCTGGTTCTTCCTGAGGTGTCGGTGCTCCAGGCAGAACCTGCAACAAGAGGGGAGAACCTGGTTGACAAGGCCCCGTGCCAGTGGATAGTGCGGCCCTCCCCACTTCTTATTGTGCTGAAGTGTGGGACAGCACAGGCCGTCACTGCGTGCTTTAGGAAAGCCTTTCTCAGCCTGGGAGGCCCATGCTATCTTTGGTAAACCAAAACCTCACAGTCCCTGCAGACCCCCTTCCCACTTCCCCGTGGTGACTCTGACTTTTTGGATCTTCCCACCAGCCCGGGAGGCCTGTGTTTTCCCATCTGTGCCAGGAGAGACGGGGGTGATGAGGCCCGAGAATCTCCAGGGAAGCTCTGCTCTCCACCTCTGCCTGTCCCCAGACCCGGTGTGGAATCAGTGCTCCCAGGTTCTTCTGGTTAATACAACAGAGCAAATCCCTGAAGGCTGCCGCTAAAAGGCAGAAACCATTACTTTCCAACTATCTGATACGGTTTGGCTGTGTCCCCATCCAAATCTCATCTTGAATTGTAACTCCCGTGATTCCCACCCCCACCCCAAAATCTGGCCATTAAACTGGCCCCAAAACTGGCCATAAAAAAAACTCTCTGCAGCACTGTGACATGTTCATGATGGCCATGACGCCCATGCTGGAAGGTTGTGGGTGTACCGGAATGAGGGCAAGGAACACCAGGCCCACCCAGGGCGGAAGACTGCTTAAAGGCGTTCTTAAACCACAAACAGTAGCACGAGCGATCTGTGCCTTAAGGATATGCTCCTGTTGCAGATAACTAGCCAAACCCATCCCTTTATCTCCCATAAGGGATACTTGTAGTTAATCTAGTATCTACGGAAACAATGCTAATGACTGACTTGCTGTTAATAAATACGTGGGTAAATCTCTGTTTAGGGCTCTCAGCTCTGAAGGCTGTGAGACCCCCGATTTCCCACTTCACACCGCTCTATTTCTGTGTGTGTGTCTTTAATTCCTCTAGTGCCTCTGGGTTAGGGTCTCCCTGATCAAGCTGGTCTTGGCACGGAAGCAACTTTGGAACTGGGTAACAGGCAGAGGTTGGAACTCAAGGCTCAGAAATAGACGGGAGAATGTGGGAAAGTTTGGAACTTCCTAGAGACTTGTGAAATGGCTTTGACAAATTGCTGATAAGGATATGGACAATAAAGTCCAGGCTGCAGCGGTCTCAGATGGAAATGAGGAACTTGTTGGGAACTGGGGCAAAGGTGGCTCTTGTTGTTTTAGCAAAGAGACTGGCGGCATTTTGCCCCTGCCCTAGAGATTTGTGGAGCTTTCAACTTGAGAGGGATGATTGAGGGTATCTGGCAGAAGAAATTTCTAAGCAGCAAAGCCTTCAAGAGGTGACTTGGGTGCTGCTAAAAGCATTCCGTTTTATAAGGAAAGTCGAACATGAAAGTTCAGAAAATTGGCCAGGCACGGTGGCTCACGCCTGTAATCCCAGCATTTTGGGAGGCTGAGATGGGTGGATTACGGGAGGTCAGGAGTTTGAGACCAGCCTGGCCAACATGGGGAAACCCCATCTCTACTAAAAATACAAAAATTAGCTGGGCATGGTGGCAGGCACCTGTAGTCCCAGCTACTCGGGAGGCTGAGACAGGAGAATCACTTGAACCTGGGAGGCAGAGGTTGCAGTGAGCCGAGATCACGCCACTGTACTCCGGCCTGGGTGACAAGAGTGAAACTCCATCTCAAAAAAAAAAAAAAAAAAAAAAGGAAATCCCATTTTCTGAGGAAAAATTCAAGCTGGGTGCAGAAATTTGCCTAAGTAACGAGGAGCTGCATGTTAATCCCTAAGACAATGGGGAAAATGGAGACTGTCTCTAGAGCATGTCAGAGGTCTTCAGAGAAGCCCCTCCCATCACAGGCCCAGAGGCCTACAAGGAAAAAATGGCTTCATGGGCCAGGCCCAGGGTCCACATGCTGTGTGCAGTTTAGGAATTTGGTGCCTTGTGTCCCAGCCGCTCCAGTTGTGACTGAAAGGGGCCAAGGTACAGTTTGGGCCATGGCTTCAGAGGGAGCAATCTCCAAGCCTTGGCAGCTTCCACGTGGTGTTGAGACTCTGGGTGCACAGAAGTGAAGAACTGAGGTTTGGGAACCTCCACCTAGATTTCAGAGGATATACGGAAATGCCTGGATGTTCAGACAATACTTTGCTGTGGGGCAGGGCTCTCATGGACAACCTCTGCTAGGGCAGTGTGGAAGGGAAATGTGGGGTTGGAGCCCCCACACAAAGTCCCTACTGGGGCACCACCTAGTAGAGCTATGAGAAGAAGGTCACCGTCCTCTAGACCCCAGAATGGTAGATCCACTGACAGCTTGCACCGTGTGCCTGGAAAAGCTGCAGACAATACCAGCCCGTGAAGACAGCCAAGAGGGAGGCTGTACCCTGCAGAGCTGCCCAAGACCATGGTAACCAACCTCTTGCCTAAGCATGACCCAGATGCGAGATATGAAGTCAAAGATCATTTTGGAGCTTTGAGATTTGACTGCCCTGCTGGATTTTGGTCTTGCATGGGGCCTGAGCCCCTCTGTTTTGGCCAATTTCTCCCATTTGGAATGACTGTATTTACCCAATGCCTGTACCCCCATTGTATCTAGGAAGTAACTAAGTTGCTTTTGATTTTACAGGCTTGTAGGTGGAAGGGACTTGCCTTACCTCAGATGAGACTTTGGACTGTGGACTTCTGAGTTAATGCTGAAATGAGTTAAGACTTTAGGGGACTGCTGGGAAGGCATGATTGGTTTTGAAATGTGAGGACATGAGATTTGGGAGGGGTCAGGGGCAGAATGATATGGTTTGGCTGTGTCCCCACCCAAATCTCATCTTGAATTGTAACTCCCACAATTCCCATGTTTCGTGAAGGAACCCAGTGGGAGGTTAACTGAATCATGGGGGCAGGTCTTTTCCATGCTGTTCTCGTGATAGTGAGTAAGTCTCATGAGAGCTGATGGTTTTAAAAATGGGAGTTTCCCTGCACAAGCTCTCTCTCTCTTCTTGTCTGCTGCCATGTGAGACATGCCTTTCACCTTCTACCAGGATTGTGAGGCCTCCCCAGACACATGGAACTGTAAGTCCAATAAATCTCATTCTTTTATAAATTGCCCAGTCTCGGGTATGTCTTCATCAGCAGTGTGAAAATGGACTAATACACTATCTGTAGCTGATTTTAAAAATTTTGTTATTTATTATTATTACACCCAGGCTGGAGTGCAGTGGCTCAAGCATAGCTCACTGTAGCCTCAATCTCCTGGGCTTGAGCCATCCTCCTGTCTCAGCCTCCCCAGCAGTTGGGATCACAGGTATGTGCCACTATGCCCCACTAATTTATTTTTTGTGGAGATGGGGTCTCACTTTGTTGCCCACGCTGGTGTAAATCTTCAGTTTCCTAAATTCCCAGTACATTTCTTTCATCTCTGAGGTTCGACATGCAGCACCTGAGAGAAGCTGCAATATTATGAGAGTTGTTTTTTCAAACTGGTGGGGTTTGTTTTGTTTTGGGCCTGCAAAAGCCTTACGTCCCAGTGACATCTTGTGGAGAAGCAAATATAAAAAGCAGAAATCCAGATCCCTGTGCGAAGGGGAGTCATGGGGGCAGAGAGCCTAAAGCGCTGTGCAGGCCTCTGATGGCCCAGTGTGGGGCAGCCACACTCCTGAGGATAGAATTGGCCAGTGTGGGCCCTCAATGGGTGCTGGAACTGCCTGGGACCTCTTGGCCCAGAGCAAACCTGCTGCGTGCCGGCACACCTAGGCTGATGCTAAAAACACCAGGCTCACCCAGCTACTGCCCTGGATGGACATCTAGGGTGGCCCTGGTGCCCTCCTAAGCCCTCCCAGGCTCCAGAGTTACAGGCAGGGGTCCTTACAAAGGAGGTACAGGACAAAGTGATAAGCACATCCCCTAAAGGGTAAGGCCCCCATCGGAACACGAGGAGCATGGAGCTTACCCGAGGAGTAGGAGCTGGTCCAGCCGAGGGGGCTGGCACCCCAGGTGGAGGAGGGCTTGGGATTGGTTAACCCTGGAGGTGGCCTCGTGGGTGCAGTACTGTTTCTGGGCACCTTCCATAGTTCATGAGACAGAGAGGCTTGCGTGTGGGAGGTAGGGCCAGAGGACCACGTCGATTTGATGTCTGACAGTTTACCTAGAAAGGCAGAGAGATGGAGCATATGCAGTCTTGAGACAAAGAAGAAAACTCACTGCTGTGTTTGGGGAGCCACACAGAGTGCTCTCTAACACCAGCAGACTGTGTGATAGGCAAAGAAACACCAAGTCAAGCCCCTGGCAAACTCAAGTAACCACAAATTCCCAGAAGTGTTTTGCCTCTAAGTTTTCAAAACCTTGCAGAGCCCTTGTCTTGTGGCCATGGGGGAAAGGAAGAGAGAAGGCAGTGGGCCCACACACTTGTATGGAGAAGACGTTACCACTTCCATGTGCGTGCAAGCTGATGTGCCCAGCGTGCCCACTGTGCCTGGGCAAGGCCCCCACCCATCCTTCATCACGCCACACGGCCTCCCAGCTCAGGGAGTGAGTAAAGAGCCAATAGGAAAAGCTGGGGCCTGTCAAAGTTTTGTTTGGGAAAAGAAAGAAAATGCTACCTGCAAGTCTAGAGGCCAGGCGCGTACCTGCAACACTAGGTGCGGATGCAATGCTGCTGAAAGAGCTACTGTAGCCGGAGGCACTGAGTGGCCAGGCACTCGAAGAAGGCAGCGTGGCATTCTGAGATGATGGCGGGGAGGACCCTGCAGAACCAAACACGGCACTGAGCAAGGTGGTGGCGGTGTCCGGGTTCATGACTCTAACTGTGGGGTGTGAGAACCATCAGGAATCAACCTCTCCCTAGGCTGCCATTTTTAATAGAA
Source organism: Homo sapiens (assembly GCF_000001405.40). Taxonomy (NCBI): domain Eukaryota; kingdom Metazoa; phylum Chordata; class Mammalia; order Primates; family Hominidae; genus Homo; species Homo sapiens. Next base: position 78,097,624 of record NC_000017.11, on the reverse strand, counting down.
GCCTGAACATGAAAGTGACATGTGGGAAAGAAGAAACGGGGCATGCCTCCTACTCTGGGTCCCTGTACCCACTCAGGGAGGCCTGGGATGTTGCTGAAGGCAGAGGAATCAAAGGGCAAGAAGCAGCATGAGCTTCTTTGAGAATTCCCGCCAGAATGCTTAAAATACCATGTTTTAAGAGTTTTAAAGGACCACACTGATTTCCTCTCCCAAATAAGGTAAAATAAAAATCCAGGGCAATCTACATCCTTTCACAGTTCAAACAATGGCCACAAAATGGAAGAACAAAACTCCAAGCCTTTTATTACAAAATTTGCCATAAAAATTTGAGTATTTCTTCTGACTGGGGTGTCCCATCAGCTTACACTCATATTTTGCTTAAAAAAAATTTTTTTTTAAGAGATGGGGCTGTTGCAATGTCACCCAGGCTGCAGCACAGTGGCTGTTCACAGGCATGATCACAGTGCACAGCAGCCTCAACCTCCTGGGCTCAGTGATCCTCTTGCCTCAGCCTCCGGAGTCACAGGGACCACAGGTGCATGCCACCACACCCGGCTCATGATTCCCTTTTTAAATACAGGAATAATTAAGAGACATCTGTCCTAATAACTGTGTATATGGACTTGAGTTATTCTATCCCTAGGACTGTAGTTTTTTGAGGAAAGCTTGTCCCTGTGCCTGAAAGGGAGACTTAGGATAAATGGGCCATCCTTAAGGCACCTCAATCCCTTGTGTAAAAGCTCAGCTCCTCGCTGCTTGGTTTTATTTCATATTTTCTAATGTGGCTCTCCCTTTCAATTCTGTGAAGAAAGCAAGAAGCTGGAGAAGAAGAGCGAGGATGGAATAATGGTGACAGTTGGGGTGAACACAGGATGGAAAGAGCTCTAATTGGGACAATGACTCTGCCAGTGCACGTATCCTGGCTAGCAGAGGGAACATGAGCACAGTCTGGCTGCTAAACTGATGACCATAAACAGAATCGGACGGTTTCTGAAAAGCCATGGCATCTCAGCCGTAGGCCCACATGGCGTTGTGCAGTGAATAACCAGGTGTGTGGCACCTCCTGGACACGTGCAGTGTCCAACCTGCACAGCTGTTTGCAGCTGCCCTGCTGCAAGGGACCTCTTTAGAATGAGGGCACCAGAGCTGAGGCAAGTTAACATTTATGGGTAATCTGCAGGTCTTCACTTTTATTTTTTCCAATTTTTATTTTGGGTTCAGGGAGTCCATGTGCAGGTTTGTCACACAGGTGAACTGTGCGTCGTGGGGGTGTGGTGTAGAGATCATTCCATCACCTAGGTAGTGAGCACAGTACCCCACAGGCAGTTTCTGAATCCTCTCCTTCCTCCCACCCTCTACCATACAGCAGGCCCCGGTGTCTGCTGCTCCCTTCTTTGTGTTGTGTGAACTCGGTGTTGGGCTCCCGTTTGTAAGTGGGAACGTGTGAGCTGTCTGTTCTCTGTTCCTGTGTTAATTCCCTCAAGAAGGTCTTTACTTTAAAAGGGTGTCAGCTCGGCCGTGCGCACTGGCTCACGCATGTAATCCCAGCGCTTTGGGAGGCCTTTTCTTTTTTTGAGACGAAGTCTTGCTCTGTCACCCAGGCTGGAGTGCAGTGGCCCAATCACAGCTCACTGCAGCCTTGACCTCCCAAGGTCAAGTGATTCTCCTGTCTCAGCCTCCTGAGTAGCTGGGACCACTGACGTGTGCCACCACACGCAGCTAATTTTTTCATTTTTAATTTTTTGTAGAGCCAGGGTCTCATTATATTGCCCAGGCTGGTTTCAAATTCCTGGCCTCAAGTGATTCTCCCACGTTGGCCACCCAAAGTGCTGGGATTACAGGTGTAAGCCACTGTGCTCGGCCTGCTAGTGCTTTCTGGTTAGCAATTTCTACGTGAAGAGATGTTCATTGTACTCCCCTTTCTTTCAATAACAAACCCTAATGTATCCCTAAACACAACCAAGAGAGGTACCAGAGTGGAGCAACAAGGTTCCTCGTGCTGGTCACGAGCTGAAGGGGAGGCCTGGCATGAGCCACATGAACTGGCTACTGCTGAATACTGATGTCTGTGTACAAGTGCCAGGGCAGGCTCAAGACCCAAACGTCGAGCACCCGGGAAGTCAAACGATGTTCACTTGGAGCTACAAGTCACCCCGGTTGGCAGGTTGGCTGGCTGGCTGGTTCTTAGGCTCAGGGCTGGAGATGCCATTTCCTTGCCTTATCTCAAAGGCCAATGCATTTCCTAGGCTTAGGTTCTCTTCTGCCCTCCCCGCAAGTTGATCTCCTTAACTGGGCAGGCTATGGAGCTGGAGGACAGCTGCATGTGGAGCTTGAGGACAGCTGTCACGTGTTTCTCGGGCCATCTTCTTCACACCATGGCACACTCAGGCGATGGCTGAGGCCACTCCCAGTGGCCCTGGTTCTGCCTGGAGGCTAAGGGGCTACCTGATGCTTCATCTGGGCACCACTCGGGAAGCTCTGCCATGCAACTTCGATTCTTTCCAACTTCCCTTATGACTTGGATCTGTACAACCTGCATCCCACTTCTCCACATCCCTCAAAATATGCTAATTTTCCTGTCTGGCACAACCCTGGTGCCCCACCAGGTGTGACAAGCGGGGAGGGCTGGGTCTCTGATTCTGGCTGGCGCCTCACCTGTCCTCTGCCATCTTACACGGCTCCTTTTCCTGCACCACTTGGCTGTGTCTGACAGCAGGGACACCCGTAACATCCCTGTTCCGAAACGCAGCTGCATCCAAAAAGCAGCTGTGTAACCCCAAGGAATACACAGCATTAAACAGAAAGGGCAATCTGTACTTATGTTGGCTTTCCAGCCAAACCACAGGCACATTTAGAAGCCTATCACTTTAAAGAACCACAGAAGCAGCCAGGCACACTGGCTCACGCCTGTAATCCCAGCACTTTGGGAGGCCAAAGCAGGCGGATCACTTGAGGTCAGGAGTTCGAGATCAGCCTGGCAAACATGGTGAAACCCCATCTCTACTAAAAATAGAAAAAATTAGCTGGGTGTGGTGGTGCACGCCTGTAGTCCCAGCTAATCGGGAGGCTGAGGCATGAGAATCACTTGAGCCTGCGAGGCGGAGGTTGCAGTGAGCCAAGATCACGCCACTATACTCCAGCCTGGGCAAGAGAGCGAGAATCTGTCTCAAAAAAAAAAAAAAAAGAAACAAAAGAAGCAAACACAAAACACATGGCTCCAATGAGTCATATTTCAAGTGGGAAATTCAATGTTTTGGGAACTATCTAGGTGGCCTTATTAGTGATAGTACCTATGGCAATCTAGCTCTTCCTTCCACAAAATAGCATGCTGTGATAAAACTTTATCAGAGATGGCACTTCTATGATAAGACATTACTTATCAATAAATCCAGCAGCATGGGCGACACCTGAGGTCAGGAGTTCGAGACCAGCCTGGCCAACATGGCAAAACCCTGTCTCTACTAAAAATACAAAAATTAGCTTGGTATGGTGGCACACATGCCTGTAATTCCAGCTACTTGGGAGGCTGAGGCAGGAGAGTCGCTTGAACCCAGAAGGTGGAGATTGCAGAGAGCTGAGATCATGCCACTGCACTCCATCCTGGGCGACAGAGTGAGACTTCATCGCAAAAAAAAAAAAAAAGTAATAATAATAAAAAATCCAGCAGAAACTCAAATTGATTTCCATTTCTCCATAAGCACTACCTGCTGTCTTTTCATGCTGCTTCAGGTGACTAGAAAAGGTGCCCGCCAACTGTGCCTTGTATCATCCCTGCCTCACAGCCCAACCTGTCACCCCTGACATCTCCAAATGGGTCTAGAGAGACCGTCCATGCAGAGGCAGGAAGAGCAGCACCCTCACCTCCACTCTTGAGGAGGTAGCGGTTGACATCCTGGATGGTGGTGTTGATGGTAGGCCCAGTGGGGACACTGCCAGGAGTGACGTCAGGGTCATTCTCAGGGTCAATATTCTGCAGTCCTTTCCATGGAACTCCCGGATGGAATTCTGTTTAAGAAACCAAAATGAGAAGCCACAGATCAGAACACCGGCACATTGATTCACGAAATTTTAAAAGATGTTTTGTCCTGTTTGTAGAAATTTTTATAATCTGCTAATTAAATTAGAGGTACACCTTATACTCTCTTTCATTAAAGCAATCAATCCTTTGGAACAAACTAGAACCAGGTATCACAGCTATCATATTAAGCTAGTTTTCACACAGGGTTGGAATAGTTTTACCGGATAGTGTGCAGTGTGCTTCCTCCCTGCCACCCCTTCCACTCCTCATGCTGAACTAAGGGTTTACAGAAAAATGCCTGATGCTAACCATACCCAAAATTGATCTGACAAATGGATTTCCAAGGAAAATGCCAAAGCTCTGGGCTTAACGCTTCCAGATCCTTAGCTCAGATTCTGGGTCCTCTCAGCCTAATCACTCTCTGCAGGCTTGGAGCACATTCTGACCTGCTGCTGTTGCACAGAAGTGTTGCATGGTCTTACCTGGGGGCCAGTTGATGCTAGAGCCATTTGAGATTTTATCACTGTCAGATTTGGCACGTGACCAGCTATGGGGAACAGCTACGGGAGGACTGGCTGGTGACTCACTGTTCTGGATTAAATCGTACCGGCCATAGGAGTCATCAATGGAGGACTTACCTGGAGGCCCAATGCTTAGACCTCCAGGGATAGCACCTATGGGGACAATAGGAAACAAAGAAGCGAGTGAATACTCTCCAGTTGAGAGACACCAGAAGATACCCTAAGCCTCCCTATGTACCTTCTGTTCTAGGTCCAATGCCTTGCCCTATTCAGTTACATGAATTGTAAGACTTGGTCTGTCTAGGATTCTGTAAGAATCAATGACTTTATTTATTTATTTATTTATTTTTTTGAGACAACTTCTCACTCTGTGGCCCAGGCTGGAGTGTAGTGATGTGATCAGGGCTCAACCTCCTGGGCTCAAGCGATCCTCCCACCTTGGCCTCCCAAGTAGCTGGAACTACAGGTGTGAGCCACCATGCCTGGCCAGTGACTGTTTCAGTTAGCTACAATTTCAGCCCTGAAAGATTGAAACCCTTGAAGAACAATTTCAGTTTGTCCAGTAAGAAGTCTTTACAAAATACATATCCATACCATGGGAAGCTGCCCTTAATAAATCTTTTTGGGGACAACTTATGAGTCTTTGTGATTAGCTATCAAATTTGCTGTTATCTCTTCCCTCCTTTTAGTCTGAAACCCTCACTACGGAAGAACACAGTGGATGTTAAAAATTCATACAGAACCAAACCAACCAGCTACAGGCAGCAGAGCCCTCCTGCTAAGAAAGGTGCCAGCAGTGTGTGATGATTTTCCGTAAGTTAACCATGAGACATAGTTTCCTTTTTCTTTTTAGAATGCTTCCTATCAAGAGAGAACTACGTAACCTACTGAATTTCCTTTGCTGTTTATTCTACCAGGAAGTTCAGAGTTAAATTTAATGCTTGAGAGTGAGATTACCTCCTATGGTTATCATTTTTGCTTCCACCTTACTCGTGTGTCCATCAGTAAAGAGTTCCCGATGGGGACACCAGTTTGGAGTAAGACAGACTGCTTGGATGGAGGGGAATAACCAACAGAAATGCACCCTAGTATTTACAGCTGCAGTTCCCATACATACTGTATATTTGATTTTCTATTTATGTTTTACCATTTTATTGAAAACATTTCAGCAGACTCAAGTTTTTGTTGATGAATATAGATACATAAAAAAAGTACACAGGCTATGACCTAGATTCTTTGCTGCTCTGGGGTTTTCAAATTATTTCTAAGTTTGTAGCTAAGATCTAATGGTTGGGTTTTAAGAAGTTTGATCAGTGACTAGCTGAGATCTTATATGCACTATAATGGAATGGGTTATTTTAAATCCAACTTTCAGTGCTCAATTCTTAGAAAAGTATAGAATGGCCATGCTATACAACAGGACGATCGATTAATAAGCCAGCAGTGATCCCACCACAGGCATCCTAGCTCAGACGTACCATGCTTGCTAGGGTTCTGCTCCAGGGGGGAAGCGGCACTGGGCAAGTTATCCATGGAGTTGGGGTGCGTCCACTGGGGGAGGCGTGACTGGGACTGGGATGGGTCCTTCACCGACAAGCCACCGGTCATGTCCATGCTGTTGACATTCATGTTTGGGTTCAGTCCAGCTAAAGAGAGAGATGCGGTTAGGATTCGCCTGCTCCTCTAAATGACTTCATTCTAAAGCTCTCCTATAGAAGCTATTTCAGTCTTCGCTTACAGCAAATTTTTTTTTTTTTTTGAGACGGAGTCTTGCTCTTGATGCCCAGGCTGGAGTGCAATGGCACAATCTTGGCTCATTGCAACCTCCGCCTCCCAGGTTCAAGCGATTCTCCTGCCTCAGCCTCCCAAGTAGCTGGGATACAGCAAAATATTTTAACTATAACTTTTAGTGCTGGTGAAAAAATACTACTTATCGTCATAACAACATGTATTTCTAGGAATATTATTCCTAAATTAAGGTGAAAATGTGAATAGTCTTTGATTAAGTAAGGCCCACAATTCTCTTCATTTTACTTGTTTCAGTGCTGAATAAACATGGTCCTGAGGCTTCTCAGAGTCCACAGGAAAATAGAAAAAGTCCAAACTATTAGGAAAATCTTTCTTTGTTTTGGGATATCTTACGGAAACTCATCAGGTCAAAAACACTTTTCCAGAACTCTAAAGTACCACCTATGAAACAGACTGATAGGATAATTCAGTTCTACCTTTAGTGAGTTTCCTTTACAAAAGTCTGCTCTGAAAGAGTCTGTGAATTAAGTATCAAACTACTTTTAAGGAACTGAACTATTTGACAGCGGGGGTGCTGCCATCTGCCCCCAGCTGGGATGGTGAGCTGAGGCTTCTGGGCTCATTCCTTATAGCTAAAAGCAGGTACCTGGTTATTTGTCCAGGACCTGCACTAAGCTAGGTTAATAAAGAAAGATGATGAGGAGGACAATGAAAAGAAGGTTGAAGTAAAGAGTTTCTGATGAGGACACTAGTTTGGAGCAGGACAGACTGCTTGTTTGGAAGGGAATAACCAGCACAAGCGCCCCCCTCCCCTTGTATTTCCAGCTGCAGTTCCCCTTACCACATACACATACCCCATAGGTCCTTACCGTAAGTACTACGCCACACGGTACGTAAGCACAGTGAGCCTCTACTACTTAGCCAGGTGCTGAACATTCTGGTTCTTACCTTTATTTCAGAGGCTGCAAATTCAAATGCCCATAGGAGCCAGGTGGGCCATGCACATGAAGAAGTGGGCTTCATGGGGACTGTGGCAAACCAGAGAGTGTCTGTCCTGTCTAAATAAACAGGTGCTACTGGGGCCAACCACCTATTGCTACCTGGAACATAGACCCACTATAGCCATTTTTAAGAGAAGCCAGAAGCCACTTTCCCCAATTTTTGAATGTTGGCATTAACACACACCTATGCACATGCACACACACACTTCGCAGACCTAACAAAACGCCTTTGCAAGCCCATCAGTGCCACAGGGCTGCCTACTTGCAATCTCTGCTGTGTGGGTTCTTTTCGTTTCAGCTTGTACAGATCTAGCCAGGTAAGGTGGCAACAATGTCAGGGCTTCAACCTGGCCTTCAGAATGCTCCAAATTTCACAATTTGGCGCCAACCCATCTCTCCCAACTTTCCCCTCTGGGAAAGTCAGCTAGACTGGCCTGGCCCTTGCAAAATGGGCCCCTGAAACAAGCCAGGCCTCTTTCTTCTGTGCTACGTGAGGCTTCCCCTTTATTTGGAAAGGCTTCCTCTTTATTTACTGTAATCCTATCCAATCATTTGAGGTTCAAGCTTAATCCTACTCTCTGATTTTTCTTTCACCACTCAAAGTGAAAGTGAACTTTTCCTTCTCTAGAGCCCTGTAAGAATCACATGACACTGGTATCAAGGTTATTTTTTCCCATTTATATGCCTGCTCTTCCTATCTAGATGGCGAACTCCAGGTGGCAAAAGACTGAGAATAACAACGACAGGCTGAACATGAGGGAAGGAAGGTAGCTAGGAGCCCCCACTACTGACCATGGGCTGCTGGTTTCTTTACATGAATTGATGAGTGTCTAACAGGCTCTTCAACATAGGTGCTGCTGCAGAGAAATGCTGAGAGCCAACAAGATAGGCAATTTTACAACCAAAGTTTCCTAGACTTTATTAGTTATTTGCTTTTAATACATTTATAACTTTACTGTGAATATTATAAAATATTATCCAAATTATTTTTCAACTAATTTCAAAGATTCACTGCATGAATTCTTTAACTTGTACTAAGAGAAAAAATCCTTAAGAGTAAAGATAAGTGGTCGGGCACGGTGGCTCACGCCTGTAATCCCAACACTTTGGGAGGCTTAGGTGAGCGGATCACTTGAGGTCAGGAGTTTGAGACCAGCCTGGCCAACATGGTGAAACCCAGTCTCTACTAAAAATACAAAAATTAGCCAGGCGTGGTGATGCATGCCTGTAATCCCATCAATTTGGGAGGCTGAGGCAGGAGAATTGCTTGAATCCAGAAGGTGGAGGTTGCAGTGAGCCGAGACTGCGCCATCGCACTCCAGCCTGGGCAACAGAGCAAGACTCTATCTCAAAAAAAAAAAAAAAAAAAAAAAAAAGTAACGATAAGTGTACTTTATCCTCCAAATATAGGTTAAGAAGACAGGTGAATAATAGAAAGCTGAAGCTAATGCATTTTAGGATAATAGGTGGGATGAAATTTGTTTCTAAAACAGAAGCACTTACATAAGTAGCTGACATTTTACAAAGTGTTTGCTATGTGCTAGGCACTATTTAAGAACTTTACATATTAGGCCAGGTGTGATGGCTCATGCCTGTAATCACAGCACTTTGGGAAGCTGAGACCAGCAGGATCACTTAAGGCCAGGAGTTTGAGGCTGCAATGAGCTATGATCACGCCACTGCACTCCAGCCAAAAAAAAAAAGAGAGAGAAAAAAAAAAGAAAAAAGAGAACTTTACATATTAGCTCATTTAATCTTTAAAACAAACCTAGGAGTTAAGTATTTCCACATTACAGATGAAGAAATTAAGGCATGGCTCAGTATGGTGTCTCAGGCCTGTAATCCTAACACTTAGGGAGGATCACTTGAGGCCAGGAGTTTTGAGACTTGCCTGGGCAACATAGAAAGACCCTGTCTCTACCAAAAAAAAAAGAAAGAAAAATAAAGAAATTGAAGCAAACAGCAGCTAGGCAAGTTGCCCAAGTTAGTAGTGAGCCTCTTGGTGGTGAGTTGGGACTCAAACCTAGGGAGTCTAATTCCTAAGTCAGGTCTTACCTACTTCGACACAAAGGGCTCTAATGGATGAGACAATAATTAAGGAACGAGATCATCTAGTCTAGTATTTATCAATCTCATATTAAAGATATACCACATTTATAATATGTCAAGTAAAAAGGATTCATATGATTACAATATACCGCTCTTTTCAGAGACATTGAATAGAATTAGATAAATGAATATTATCTGCTGGCAGCAAATTCACTACCACTCAACTGGCCTTTGCCCCTTTACAGATGTATTTTCCAAGTTACCGATAACCCTTTGTCCTGTATCTACAGACTCTAATAGCAATCAACAGACAAGCCTAAAGTGCTTTCACTAACTTCTGAATTCTTACGGCAAATTAGTCCATGCAGAATCAATTTACTAATTTATACCCTCTGGTGTCTTCAGGTATGTGAGCTGTGTCTCTCCTGACTGGCCTGACCTCGAGGCCTGGCACCATGTCTTCTACTGACCTGCGGGTTTCAAGTGCTGAGTGTGCTTCTACAAGTTAGATTTCAACATATATATGTTGATTTGGTCGATTATACAAATCACATTTCATACAAAATGAGTTGTATCAACAACCACTGCTTTTTAAGAAGTGCTTTTAATGTAAATCTGAATACTTTTACTGACCAAACCATTATAAAGTCTTCTCTGTGGTTTAGGCTGGAGGACAGTGGCTGGTAAAGTACAGTTCAGAGTAGACTAGGAACAGAACAAACTTTGGAGATTTGACAATGGAAATGAGATTTTGGGGGCTCTGACTGGTACTACCTTTAAAGGTTTTATACTGAGAGTATTATTGGCAGCGGCAAAACTCCTGCTCTATACAACGTGGTTAGTGTTGTTCCCTTATTACAAATCCTTGAGGCTGGGCATGGTGGCTCACACCTATAAACCCAGCACTTTAAGAGGCTGAGGTGGGAGGATTGCTTGAGCCCAGGAGTTCAAGACCAGCCTGAGCAACATGGTGAGACCCCCATCTCTCAAAAAAATAATTAAAAAATTTTTTTAAAATTAAAAAGCCTTGAGATACCTGCTCTCCGATTTTGTCTGGGGCTGCATTTCCAACAGGCTATGGTTTCAGCGCTGGCCAGTCCTCCTAACCACTGAAATGCTGCCCTGGCTACCACATACGGACTCCAGGTACCCTCTCTACCTGATGTGGCTGTTGAAGACCATGGGACACTCACCGAGAGGGTAAGGAGCAAAGGTGTTGGGTGAAGACTGCTGCTCTTTGGTCTGCAGGTCAGGTAGGCCGGGAGTCTGTGGGTGCGAGGGGAAGCTGTCCATGGCCGATTTGCCTGCAGAGGGGTGCAGAGACAGGTGCGGCGGGGGCGGTGGCGGTGGTGGCTGCTTCACGAGCAGGGCCTGGGCCAGCTGGCGCTGGTGCTGCTGGATCTGCTGCTGCAGATTAGTGATTGTGCGCGCAACCTGGCAGGCAGAGACATAGGTGCGTTAACTAGGTGGGAAGGGACACTCATGGCTTGTCTAGGGACCAAATGCATTCTTCATTGTCTTTATGCTGAGGCCACTACTGGCTAGGCCAACCTCCTCCCAAACCTAGCTGAACCCAGGAATTTTCAAAGGAAGGCTTGGCTAGAGAAAAATCAATGATCATCTAATAGTTCATCAATTAGCGTCTCTTCTATCAGGGAAAATTATAGCTCATGACAAAAATCAATCTGGGTAGCACCTACTTGCTGCTCCTGTTGTCTCATGGATCCGGACACATTACGCTGGGCCTGTAACATCTGCTGCTGGATTTGTAAACGTTGGTATGCCTGTTGACAGAACGAAGAGTTAAAATAGTATGATAATTAAGTGTAAGTTGAACTAATGGTTCAACTTTCTGACATTAGTTAAAAAATAAAAAAAGAGAACCTAGCCACTCTTCTTGGCCCATACTGTGGCTGACACATACTGTTTTTTTTTTTTTTTTTTTTTTTTTTTTTTTTAGATGGAGTCTCGCTCTGTCATCCAGGCTGGAGTGTAATGGCGTGATCTCAGCTCACTGCCACCTCTGCCTCCCGGGTTCAAGCAATTCTCCTGCCTCAGCCTCCCGAGTAGCTGGGATTGCAGTCGTGTGCCACCACGCCCAGCTAATTTTTGTATTTTTAGTAGAGACGGGGTTTCATTATGTTGGCCAGGCTGGTCTCAAACTACTGACTTCGTGATCTGCCTGCCTCAGCCTCCCAAAGTGCTGGGATTACAGGCATGAGCCACGGCGCCCAGCCATGGCTGACACATATTCTGGAGGCACAGAGCACTTTTAAAAGATTAATGTCTTATCCACTTTTTTAGTGCGCAGAACTAAAAAAAATCACAGAGTCAATACCTGTTTAGTGTTGGTGATGATGTTGGTCAGCAAATATTTTTCATTTAATGAAGAAATCAAAATTCTTCTGCTTGATTCATACAAACTGAAACTTAAAAAAAAAAAACAAAAAACCAACCTATTCTATAATGATGGAGACTGAAGTCCAGGACAGCCCAGACAATGTGAAACACTGGTAGTAACTGTCCCAAATCATTCAATAATAATGTGTGTTAAACAACGTGGTTATCTCCCTAACATCATGGGAATGAAAGCTAAGAGAGAACCTGAAATGCAGATTTGTGGGCACTTTTGTCACACAAACTTGTCATCTACAAAGTTGGTTAAAGTTATGATGATATTCTTCTGTACACTGACATAGAAGCTTTGGTCATTTGACTGTTTTGAAATGTTGGTTGAATATCATGATTTTTTTTCTTACAACATGAATTTTAGGGACATTTTTGGCAAGACTCATCAAAGTAGAATCCAAATAAAGGTGGAGATTATACTATTAGAAATGCCTCCTTCATCTGTAATCATGGAGGAATAAAATACCCCACTTAAGTGAATCCTTATAGGCCTAAAACTTAACCTTATGGAAGCACTGAAACTTTATTTTTCCAATTTTTCTGGAAAAAAATTTAAGAACAGAATACATTGTTTTAAAATTAGAACACCCTATTGGTAATTCAACATTTTCTTGATGTCTTTCACACTATAGAGGTCAATAAAAACTTACTGTATAACTAAAAGATTCTAGCACATCAGTAAGATAATCAGCTCTGTGTCAGGGCTGCAGCAATGCCTGCAGCGTCATCTAGTGGCAGAAAGCGATCTTCCTCTACAGTAACAGCTCTAAACCTGCATGCTTTTTCTATGAGTGCCTGTTTTCAGAGCTGTCTCCTTTCCTTTGGAGGTCAGTGGTCTCCGGCGGGCAGGACTGAAAGCAATAGGACTGCACATGTGCACTGCCTCCCCACAGCGATTCCTCACTACAGCACCACCTCCCTTCTGACAGATGGAAAAACAGTCTCTGGCCAGGCGCAGTGGCTCACGCCTGTAATCCCAGCACTTTGGGAGTCTGAGGCGGGAGGATCACCTGAGGTAAGGAGTTGGAGACCAGCAGCCTGACCAACATGGTGAAACCCTGTCTCTACTAAAAATACAAAAATTAGCTGGGCGTGGTGGCGGGCGCCTGTAATCCCAGCTACTCGGGAGGCTGAGACAGGAGAATTGCTTGAACCCACAAGGCAGAGGCTGCAGTGAGCCATGATCGTGCCACTGCACTCCAGCCTGGGCAACAGAGCAAGACTAGCAAGACGCCGTCTCAAAAAAAAAAAAAAAAGAAAAAGAAAAAGAAAAAACAGTCTCTGAGGGCCAAGCCTTGGTCCTGACCTCATGTCTAGAGCTCTGTGCTTTCCATTAAAGCGAGGACACATAGCATGTGTCTCTGGGACACGTCCTTCCCTCCTTCCTTCTATCCTCCCCTGCTGCTTACAGAAAAGCAGACCTCAAACTTGTTGGACATGTGTCTAAAAAACAGCAAAGGGGAAAGACTGAGGGCTGAGGTACTCTCTCATTAGCAAAGGTTTTATGCCAATGGTTCTGTCTTTTGGAGTTCCCATTCTTTTTTTTTTTTTTTTCTCCTTCATGATTCCTGGTCATGATTTTCTTTTTTTTTTTTCTTGAGACGGAGTCTTGCTCTGTCGCCCAGGCTGGAGTGCAAAGGTGCGAGGCTCACTGCAACCTCCGCCTTCCAGGTTCAAGCGATTCTCCTGCCTCAGCCTCCCGAATAGCTGGGATTACAGACATGCGCCATCATGCCCGGCTAATTTTTGTATTTTTAGTAGAGACGGGGTTTCACCATGTTGGCCAGACTAATCTCGAACTCCTGACCTCAGGTGATCCACCCGCCTGGGCCTCCCAAAATGCTGGGATTATAGGCATGAGCCACCGTGCCCGGCCGATTCCTGGTCATTTTCTAGGTGATGAAGTTGCTGGCTAAGATTGCTAAATAAATCAGATACCCACATTAAAGAATGAAATAATTAACTGGGTCTTTTAGTGTATATAATTTCAGTAAGCATCTAGGTATACAATGACATGGCAATTATAGTAAAATCAGTAAGACTGATTGAAAATTAAAAAAAAATCAAGATTATGTGAAGCTACAAAACTTTCAAGAATTATTAGGTCACATCAGCCATTCTTGACCGGGGTTTCATGAGAGAATTAAGTTCTAATGCTCTAAGGCATCTACTATATGTAATAAAGCAATTTTTCTCCTGTGCTTCTAGAATAGTATTTATGTATACCATCCTTAGAATAACTGAGAAAATAGTCACTCAAATGATTTTTTGTGTTCTGTGGTTCTCAGAAACTCTGGCTGAGAGCTCAACTGAAAAGACATGCCTAATTATAAAATCTGGTAGATTGGTAGATTTTCTGAACACAAAGAGGCCAAGCCATGTGCAGTGGTGCACACCCGTGGTGTCTCAGCTACTCAGGTGGCTGAGGTGGGAGGATCCCTTGAGTCCAGGAGTTCCAGACCAGCCTGGCAACATAGTAAGATGCTGCCTCTAAACAAAAACAAAAACAAAGAGGCCAAAACATTTACAAAACCTAGTAGGACACCTTTGAGTGAGAACTCCCTAACTCATGAAGAGTTTAAATACTTCATGAGAGTCTCAATGACATCCCTGACGTGAAGACAAACATTATCACAACTGCTGCTCTCAGCAGGTGCCGTGCATCTGCACTCGGCCTGCGTGCTCTAACTTGCATGGGTCTATCCACTCACCAGCTGCAGCTGATAGAGCTGGTTCAACATCGTCATATGTTGAGGATTAATTGGCGAGGTTAATAGTGCAGGGTTGAGACCAATGTTTTTTGCTGCAAACTGCAAAAGCTGTGCTTGAACCTGTTTAACATAAAATATACTATTAGCCGTTGTATCTCTGTTAAAATAGTTACTTGTACCTGTAGTTTTTCAAAATTCAAAAATGATTAAATGATAATTTGTAGGGAGACCCCCTGAAACTACTGCTATGGAATAAAAGATGAAATGCTCCTGATTATTGTAAATACAAAATTGCATGCAGGACTGTGTAAAGACAATGCAAGGTTGGGCTGCCAGAATGAGCCAACAGCGCGTGATGTGCTTCCCCCTGCAGAGAGCCTATAAATGGATGTGCAGTCAGGGAGGTTTCACATCACCAAGATTCCTATCCCAGAAAAGCAGATGTTCATAGCTCTGGGAATGGAATGCGACCCTTGGGGAGAGCCTATAAATGGATGCATGAGGGGCGCCTGTTCATATGGATAAGATAGGGTTACAAACGCCCTTATCTTGCCACAGCTCTTCTAGGTCTCTTTAGGGTTAAGGCATACTCCCTTCTGAGAATTTGTGGTCTAAACAGTTATCTAGTTTCATGTCCTGTTTCTATTGATTGTTTGCAACCAGCTTTTGCTGCAATTATTACTACTGATTAGTATCTTACTAAACACAGGTTATGGACAGACTGTGTTTCTGTTTTAAGGCTCTGTTAGAAACTGCTGATGCACACACTATATTGTAAATTCTTATCCCTGTATACTGTACTTCTGCATACCGATGTTATGTTAAAGAATTACTTCATCCCCATGTGATCATCTCACCTCATAATCAAACGACCCTAAATCCCTCACTAACCTACCCCTGCCCTCACTAAACTTAGTAATAAATGCCGGTATATCCAGTGCATTGGTGGCATCACAGGATCAGAAGGCGGTGACCCCCCGGACCCAGCTTTCACTATCTCGTGTGTGTCTTTTATTTCTCGACCTGCCAATCTGCCTGGGAACAAAGAAAGAGCCCTGTTGCACCGCAGGCTGCTGGCCAGATCCTGCAATAATAATTATATTTGTCTCATGGGTGAAATGTCAAAGGCCATTAAAAAATGTATGGACATTTTAACATTAGTAGTTAGCACGTAAAGAATAAGAAAGAAAGGAAAAAGAAAGGAGGGAAGGAAGAAGGAAAGTCTTCAGAGATCTCATCCTCCAAATATTTTAATTATAAATGAACTTTCCAAGGTTCTGTGTCCTTCCTATCAGTACTCACAGGTAACAGGGAGATACAGAAGAAACAGTGAGACGGCACACAGATGCCTTGCCATTTGGGACATGCTGGTTTGCTTTGTGTGGGGAAGACTAACTGCTTCTTCTGCTACTGCCTCTCAGACTGGGTGCAGCTGTGGCCTAGGTCTGGGCAGTGGGATGTGACTGGAAGTGGTGTGTACAATTTCAAGGCCACCGGCACAGTAGTGCTGCCTTTTCCCCTGTTCCTGGGAAGTGGCTATGGCAGAGTCACCCCCGATCCCTGCACTGCTTCTTTCTGCACTGTAACCTGAGAGAGATCAATGTCTACCTAGTTTAAGCTACTGTTTTTTGAGGCCTCTTTGTTATGGTGGCTTATCCTATATCCTAATGAATACATTTAACTATTATCTAATAACTTTTATTATTGCCTGATAATAGTTACATGTATTAGTTATATTGATAATTGTGCACTATCAACTCAGTGCACAAACCTGGGTTTGAACAATTACAGAGCGAGAATTACCCTCAATGCAGTGCCCAGTGCATCCTGCTCTTTTTCGTATGCTAGCATTGCCTTCCCATATGCTATGGTCTGAATGTCTGCGTCCCCCGAGAATTCCTATGTTGAAACCCAAACCCTAATTGTGGTGGTGTTAAGAGCGGAGGCCTTTGGGAGGTGATCAGGAGCCCCCATGAATTGGATCAGCACCCTAATGACAGAGGCCTGAGGAAGCCTGTTTGCCCCTTCCACCACATGAGGATGCATAAAAGTTGCCATCTATGAGAAACGGGCCCTCACCAGACACTGAATCTTCTGGCACCTTGATCTTGGACTTCTCAGCCTCCAGAACTGCAAGCAATACATTCATGCTGTTGTAAATGACCCAGTCTAAGGTATTTTGTTACAGCAGCCCAAATGGACTAAGACACCATATTCCAACAAACTAAACACATTTAAATTAAATTTTATGAATAATAGAAGATTGATGAATTAACACGTTCTCTTTTGGAACAGATTGAACATAAGATCCCTCAGAAATTTTAACTATCTTCTTGATATCAGAGGTCTCTTGGGGAAGAAAGCAGTTTTTTCCCTCTCTGCTAGAATGCTAGAATGTTGTAAGTACTTCAAGATGCTGCTGCTCTCTCAGGGCAGGGCTCCAGTCAACCTTCACACCAGAATTACGTATCAACTAGAGCCCTGAGTTACCCCACGCAGCAAAGATGTTATCAATACCATTGATTATCAAATATATTATAAGGGGTAAGAACTAACACTGTAATTAAAAACTTGGTCCAAAGCCTAAAATTGTAAAATGTGCTAAAAATAAACAATATTAACAAGAACAATTGATATATATTAGGCCTCAGAGCCATGCCAAACAGCAATATCCTTTTCCTTAATTCGATTTGACCTTTTTTCCTTTCTTTCTTTTTTTCAGAAGGAGTTTCCGCTCTTGTTGCCCAGGCTGGAGTGCAATGGTGTGATCTTGGCTCACCGCAATCTCCACCTCCCCGGGTCAAGCGATTCTCCTGCCTCAGCCTCCCAAGTAGCTGGGATCACAGGCATGCGCCACCACACCTGGCTAATTTTGTATTTTTAGTAGAGATGGGGTTTCGCCATATTGGCCAGGCTGGTCTCGAACTCCTGACCTCAGGTGATCCACCCACCTCGGCCTCCCAAAGTGCTGGGATTACAGGCGTGAGCCGCCGCGCCCGGCAACATTTTTTTCTTAACAATCTCTATGGTTCACTCCTGAAAAGGGATGAAAGAAAGAAAAAAAACCCAACTCTATTGGCAAAAATGATCTAATTCTGAATATTAAACATAACTGAAAATCTATAATATATACACTATTATATGAGATCACATTTAGTTTCTCATTAAAGCATGATTCAGTCCTTGGCTGCTTCTAAGGGTTTCTTTTACATCCTCAGCAATACTACAGCGTGTCACTTTCCTCTCCCACCAATCTAGGACAGTTCACTGGGTTCACCTGAATAATTTTCTCGACAAAGACTGGGACAAAAGCACATCAATGGGAGTGTGTTGGGCAGGTCCTTCCCCCTCAATATTGCTTCTGACCAGGAAGATGCCAAATGCTAGTTTCGGTGGCTGAGGCATTCCAAGGAGCAAGCTCTGAAAATGTCTCCTGGGTCAGGAGAATCCATTTACTACTTTATAGTCTAAAATTAATTTATAGGTTAAAAACCAGAAGGCCTTCTCTTAAACATGGATTAACTCCGCTCTCACTTTAAAATAGTGACTTCCAGATAACACAGGACCCCACGAAACACTGGCATCTATATCCTGTTGCTCAGTCCTGCTTGGATGTGGGTCTGACCTGAGGGGATAGAAACTGAGGCACTTGAGCACGGAGACTGGGCTGGGAAGAGTTAAGAGGCTGCACTGGTGGCTGTGGCGGCTGCTGCATGGTCCTGGCTTGTGCTGCTCCACTATTGCCAAACATACCCAGATTGCCACTCGGTATCTGCACAGGGACAGAATTAAACACGTTACCAAGGCAGGCATTAGAGTAACATTGTTTGGAGGTAGGGTGAAATGATCTATTTCAAGTGAATGCAAAATTGTTTCTACTTCCTACCACTGTCAACTTGTACCCAAGAGAATTTTTTTGAGACAGAGTCTTGTTCTGTCACCCAGACTGGAGTGCAGTAGCGCGGTCTTGGCTCACTGTAGCCTCTGCCTCCTGGGTCCAAGTGATTCTCCTGCCTCAGCCTCCCGAGTAGCTGGGATTACAGACCCCCGCCACTATGCCTGGCTTTTTTTTTTTTTAGATGGAGTTTTGCTCTGTCACCCAGGCTGGAATGCAGTAGTGCGATCTCAGCTCACTGCAACCTCTACCCCTGGGTTCAAGCAATTCTCTGTCTCAGTCTCCCGAGGAGCTGGGATTACCGTCGCCTGCCACCATACCCGGCTAAATTTTTTGTATTTTTAGTAGAGACGGGGTTTCACCATGTTGGCCAAGCTGGTCTTGAACTCCTGACCTTGTGATCCACCTGCCTCGGCCTCCCAA
This sequence comes from Homo sapiens, assembly GCF_000001405.40. Taxonomy (NCBI): domain Eukaryota; kingdom Metazoa; phylum Chordata; class Mammalia; order Primates; family Hominidae; genus Homo; species Homo sapiens. The sequence continues at coordinate 78,078,848 of NC_000017.11, read as the reverse complement.
AGTGGTGGGATTACAGGTGTGAGCCACCCCGAATTTTTGTGTTTTTAGTAGAGACGGGGTTTTGCCATGTTGTCCTGGCTGGTCTCAAACTCCTGACCTCAGGGGATCCACTCACCTCAGCCTCCCAAAGTGCTAGGATTACAGGCGTGAGCCACCTCGTTCGGCCCCAAGTGAATTTTTAATGAGTGTCGTTTATACAACAAGAAGGCTACCCCATTCAAAGAAACTACCAGCATACAATGTTTCACACACAACAGCAACATGAATATGGTTATTTGAAAAATATACATTTCCAAAAGGATGTGATAAAAATTAAAGGGTAATAATGTGTGGTGATTACTAATCTGAGAGGATAGCAACATTTCAAACAGGAAATATAGTTATTATTTCAACAAACCTTGAAATGGAATGAACTGACAAATTCAGGTAGTTAATTTTGTGTTAACTATGATAAAGATATTGTAGCTGTAGTTTTCACTCTGTGTAATGAGTTACCTGACAAATAGGTGAGGTAAGGTATTGCACAGCTTCACTTGGGAACAGCCGCCTGAGAGGCACTGGGAGAGAACCCCTTCTGCAAAGCTAACAGCTGTGAACCTAACCCCAGTGCACACCCTAGCTGGGCTGCTGACTTGAAGCTGGCAGAACAATGGAAAACTGCACCACCACCAAGGGGGCAATGTCAGATCGCCAGGATCACACAGTCGGGCGCTGGTGAGTGGAAGGGGCACTATTGGTAACAACACTGGGACAATGTGCACACAGAGGCTGTTTGGCCACCCACACCTCACAGTGTCTACTTAGAGACATGTCTCCAAGCGGTGTGTGTGTGTGTGTCAACCTCATCCCTAAGAAAGTCAGAGAGAAGGGATGTCCTAGGGATGGGAAAGGATGATATGTTTTTTGGTACAACATTTCATGTTAAGAGTCTATATGAGAAAAGTGAGATGAAGTGGCAAACAACACTCTCAGGTCCTTCCTGTAGTTAACTGATTTAGAAAGATGATTTCCACCTGTACCCACAGACTTTTGAAGCCTGGAAAAAAATGCCAGTGTGACTCCTGAGAACCACCTTGCAAGAGATGTCATCTTTATTTCTGGGAAAAAGGGGGAGAATGTGGTGCTTTCTCGCAGATCAACAGATGTAACGTCGTTTTGGTTGCCATGAGGAAAGAGGGTGGGCACTACCTGGACCTCTGGATGCATCCGGCAGCCGAAGACCACTGTGCAACACATCATCACTTTAGCCAGTCCCAAGTTAGCACCAAGGGTGCTGAGAGCTCAAACACGTTTTAGTTAAGTGTAAGAATAAATATAACTAAAGCATTTCCTACTTCAACTCTTGACTCCAGTAAGTCACCTGAAGGGAAATCCTGGTAGTATTTCAACTACTTTTTCAGTCACATTTAAAAATAGAGGTATTAACTATAAATAAGTAAGTTTATGTCTCAAACACATTTTTTAGAAGGCAGGTAAAACAAAGGCCATGTTTTGCTCTCTCCAAACAGCCTTACCTGTCTAGAAGAATTCAAGTTTTGCATGCCCAGCCCGGAGGCAATCCCACCCAGGGCCTGACTGGGGAGTGCACTGTGTGAAAGGGGGAGCTTCAGGCTTGGGGAAGGCAAGAACGGTGAAGGCGTGGGCTCTTCCACGAGGCCGCCATCCTGATTGGAGAAAGAAAGGGTGAGCTGTGTGCAGTGTCCATCAGCAGACAAAGCACCAAACAGTTTCCCAAGGAAACAGAGGAGGCGTGGATGGATAAATAATTAACAGATCAAAAAAGTGTGGATAAGGGAATGGAGAACATGTGCAAAAGGAAGAGGGGAAAAAGAAAAAGAAATAGGATTAAGATGCTGTTTTCAGTTTAAAAGTATTTTACAAACACATATATTAGCTGCTACTATTCTCCTAACTATTGGCCCTGCCTCAGGTAGGAGCACGGAGGAAGGATGGCAACAAGCACTTTACAACCATTTTCAAATAAACAGATTCTTTTTGAGAAGTTATTACCAAAGCTCTAGGTGTACATTAGGTTGAATTCCATGACATTTGTTTTTGACCTACAAACACAGCAGTTTCATAGGGTGTAATCTAAGAAGAGGGTGAGTTATAGAACTAATAAAAGACAGAACCTTATTAATTTTTTTTTAACATCTACTGAGGTCATGCTGTGTGCCAGGTCTTTTGCAAATTTATGTCATCTAACATCACAACCAGCCTGTGCATTATTCCATATTTTAAATGTCAGGGTCCCAATTTAGGGTTGCCAGATTAGCAAATAAACATATGCGATGCTGAGTTACATTGGAATTTCAGATAACAGTAATTTTATCAGTTTAAACAGTATGATTTCACATTGGAATTTCAGATAACAGTAATTTTATCAGTTTAAACAGTATGATTTCAAAAATTATTTATCTGTAATTCCAATTTCACTGGGCATCCTGAGTTTGAACTCAGTCCCCACTGGCGAGGGGCAGGATGAAGACGTGAGCCTCACCCTGGGCTACCCCACAGCTGCAGCTGAGGCAGATCACGTGCTGGAGGACTCTCAAAATAAGATCAAGTCCCATCTCTGATATTCTTTGCTTGTGAGCCTTTCCTTTTTTTTTTTTCTTTTTCTTTTTTTTTTTGAGACAGAGTATCGCTCTCTCGTCCAGGCTGGAGTGCAATGGCACGATCTCAGCTTACTGCAACCTCCGCCTCCCGGGTTCAAGCAATTCTCCTGCCTCAGCCTCCCGAGTAGCTGGGTTCACAGGCGTGTGCCACCATGCTCGCTAATTCTTGTATTTTTAGTAGAGACGGGGTTTCACCATGTTGGCCAGGCTGGTCTCGATCTCCTGACCTCAGGTGATCCACCCACCTCAGCCTCCCAAAGTGCTGGGATTACAGGAGTGAGCCACCGCACCCAGCCTCCTTCCATTGTTGATCTTTTTTTTTTAATGTGTCCTTCCTTACTTCAATTTTATTTTCAAGGCTCGACATTTGCATTGAATTTAGTGCAATGCTTTTCTCCGCTTTGCAGTCACACCAGTCTGGCATGGGGACATCATTACATGACAACACTGGGGGCTGAGCTGTGACCGGACTGGCTAAACATTCAGGGCGTTTTCCACAGATGCCAGCTGTGGTCACTCATGTGGCCAACTGACAAGGGCCAGCCAGAGATGGGTGCCCAAGCCCCACCACTTCCAATCCCTTTTCCTGAGGATAAACATCTAACACGTAATTTCCAAAGGGAAGATCTGTGTTTTTAAAATGAGATAGTAAAATGGAAATTTGATGACCCTTGCCCATTGGACAAATTGAAGCAGATAACCAGCCAAGTTCACACAATAAATATGAAAATCAGTTTTCAATCCCAGTCTTTTTCATTCTCAGTAACATCTTATGAAATACGACATTCCCTTCTTTGAGTTAAATGTTCATAATGTTAGAAAAAAATGGATAAAAGTCACTTAAGTATTATAGTCCAGCAAGTTTTTAATCTGGCTTGTATTAAGGACACAGTTGAAATGAAAAACTCCTCTTGTTAAAAAAGCAAAAACAACAAACCACCTATATTCATACCTTGTCAAGAAAGGTGGGGCGGTCCACGGAAGACTCTTTGGAGATTGGCGGGCGGCAGCCGAGGGGCTTGGCGGCCATTCCATTATGGTCGGTCACTCCCAGCCCACGCTTGTCCACGTCCACCTTCTTTTCCAGCAGAGCGCCTGGAGCACAACAAACAGAAGCAATGTTGTAAACAAAACAAGTGAGTGCTGAGCACAAGATAGGCACCAGCTAAGGCCTCAAGGAGGGATGGAGACCCTCCACCCCTTCAAACACAGGGAAGCCAGGGGCAGAGAGAGCCCTTGCTTTGCTAGGGCTGAGCCCAACAAGGGGCTGCCAAGGATTCACGGCAAGGGGATGGGGGTTGGCCCCAGGCACCCTTCCGTGGCTCCTGCAGTCTGTGATCTGGCCCTGCCGCCCTCTATCCTCTCCGCAGCAGCCACACCAGCCACTGCTGGCCCTCAGGGGCTCAGCTTGTCCTCTCCCCTGGGATGCACCCCCTCCCCTAGTTTTCTGCAAGACTTGCTTCCTCATTTCGGGTGGGCTCAGTGGTTGCTTTCTTGCAGGGGCCTTCCCGATTATTCTGTCTGCAAAAGATCCTCTCCTACTTCATGGCCATGCCTCTCCATTCACCGAGTCCTGTATCTGCAAGTATTCTTCCAGATGTGGGGGATACAATACTGTGCAAAACAGACACTGTTTCTGTTCTCACGGCTCTGTTGGCTTAATGACTAGTGTGTGTTTGGCCCACCCTAACTCTGTCCTACTCCACAGTTAGAATTCACCTCTTGCAGCACACGCTGCTCTGTCCCGCCCTGGCAGTTTGCACCACACGTTGTCGCACGTGCACGATTAGACAGTCTGCAGTCTATCCTCATTATTCATGAATTCTGTACTTGTAAAGCTGGCCTACTTGCTAAAATTTGTAACCCCCAAATCAGTAATTGGGGCACTGTTTGTGGTTATTTGTGGACATGTGCAGATTGGCAAAAAAATGTGAGTTGCCCAAGTTCCCAGTTCAGGTTGAGCCTCAGATATCAGGTTGTAAAGAAGTGTCCTTTTTGTGGTCCATTTATTGCCAGGCTTTTCGTATTTCTGTGCTTTCTGTAGTGATTCTGGTGTTTAAAATGGTCCCCCTGTGTGGTGCTGAGGTGCTGTCTCATGTTTCTAAGCTCAAGAAGGCAGTAAAGCGCCTTACAGAGGAAATATGTGTCAAGTAAGCTTCATGTAGGCACGAGTTAAAGCACTGTTGGCCCTGAGTTCAATGATCATGAATCAATGATATGGTACATCCTAAAAAATTCACTGACCTGTATGTGCGGCTGCTCAGAAAGTACTCAAGTAACATCTGGGCATGTGACAGAGCTATGGAAAAGAGGCTAAATTTGTGGATTCATGAGATGATGACTAGGAAGTGTGGTGGACGGCATTGTTTTGAGTATGAAAGCCAAATAAATTTATGGTCACATTATCCAGGGTCAGAAAAATGTTACACCCTTCTTGGCTAATATATCAATATTAAATAAGGTGTCTTGAAACAGAAAAACATATAAAACAAGGTTATATATTGATTGGTTGACAAAAATGTTGTGAGCAGAGGCTCATAGGAACCCAACCCTGTATGTCTCCTAGGAGCACTGGTTCGGTATTCGTTAATTCAGTGTTTGTGGTGACTTTATAGAACATAACTACCAAGAAAATAAGAATCGACTATATTTAAATGTAAATATTTAACATTATTATTAAAGCAGCTCTAGAACTAGGGTTGCTTGTTCCTTGACAGAAAATCTTCTCTCTCAACAACAGTTGGTGCTCAGCCAGCAAGGCAACGCTTCTGGTGGCCCCTAGGCAAGTCCGTTCTGGGGCAAGGCACGAGGAACGCACTCAGTGTCCACTGAAGTCTAGTGTGTGGTTCCAGTGTCTCTCAGAGTGTCATTATTACCTTCCCTCAAAACATAACGGGAAAATATGAGAAAAGCCAACATGCTTCAAATATGGCATTGGCGATTCACCTCCAAAGTCCGCTAATCCCAAGAGGCTCCCTCTGTGGTTCCAGCTTGTTGTGTGGTTGCCCCTTCACTGTGGCCTGGTCCTGTCTACCCAGGACATATTAACCATTAAACCATGACTACAATCAAATGCTTCTGGAAAGTAAAACTTCACAGCTGGGTACCTTTTTAAAAAGGATGTTGTATGACTTACTCATGGCCTGATCAAGATTCATATTGTTACTCTTCAAGGCCTCCTCAGCTGGCTCTCTCTGTGTAGGAAAACAGAGTTTTCATTAGTGCACATTAATTAACAAAAGGAAAGGTTACAAACAATTTAATCACTATCAACTTAAAGACATAGTTATTAGGTTTTGGAACTGGAAATACATTTCTTCACTGTTGAGGTTAGAGACAATGTCTTTTGAATTAAAAATACTTGTAATAAGAAAATGTACTGACTTGATTTTCAAAGTAAAGCCCTTGTATTTAACACTTTGGAAACAAAATGCAGAGTGGCAGTAAAACCTTGTAAGTACTCCTAAAATCATTTTCATTTTTTTAAAATGTAACTATTAGTATTATTTTTGTAGAGATATGTTCTCTCCATGTTGCCCTGGCTGGTCTCAAACTCCTGGGCTCAAGTGGTTCTCCTGCCTTGGGCTCCCAAAGTGTTGGGATTACAGGTGTGAGCCACTGTGTCTGGTCCTAAAATCATTCTGTACAACACTGAGTAGCAATGATTCCATAAAGGTGCAATCTATGCCAAGACAGCAGGGCCACAGACAAGGACACCTGCCATGAGGACAGGATGCTCTCCTAGGACAGGATTCCTGTCCCAGTGAGGCCCATCTCCATGTCTCTCTCTAGTCCCAGCAACTATGTCAGTCACTGTCGGAGTGCAGAGCTGCATTTTTCGCTTCATCAACTCTAGGCTCCACCATCAACAACTTTTCTCTAAGAAACAGAAAAACAAAACAAGTAGATTCATTTTGATAATTTATGACTGGAACACAGTAATCTCAGGGGATGACTGAAGCCGCTAGGGTGCCATGATAACTGAGACAGTATAAATCAGGACACGCTGAAGCCACCGTCAACCTCTTGCCCACTCACACAGGCAGAGCCTGGGCCACCAACACAATGCCCTGCCCAATACAGAGGGCCTGTGCCCAGTGTGAAGGATGGGGTTCCTCCGCTACATGGAGGCCATTCTGGACTCATTCTTTTAGAAGCATCTACGGTAACTGAAAGATAAACACTAATTTGAATAAGGATTTTGAAAGAAGTCCCATGAAGCGAATACATGGCGAATATGGGCGACATCCCTTGCCATCTGAACTGCCATCCAATCTCAGGAATTGAACAGACTGTGGTATTTTCAGGGGAACGCCCTACAATTATGAATTCTCCCTACGTATGACTGGAAACTTAGGAACTAAGTAGGTCTGGTTAGGATACTTTTTCTGGATATGAAACCTTAGTACTTTACATCAAGTTTTCTTTTGTGATCTCTGTCAATATACTCTATACACTAATGAAATTCACGTTTAATTATAAATTAAAAGTAAACATAAAACTGTATAAACCAATGAAAATTAAAAATCACACAGCATTTTCCGGCTGGGCGTAGTGACTCATGCCTGTAATCCCAGCACTTTGGGAGGCCGAGGCGGGCAGATCGCTTGAGCCCAGGTGTTCGAGACCAGCCTGGCCAACACAGTGAAGCCTCGTCTCTACCAAAAATACAAAAATTAGCCGAGCATGGTGGCTCACGCCTGTAGTCCCAGCTCTACTCGGGAGGCCGAGACAGGAGGACTGCTTGATCACACCACTGCACTGCAGCCTAGGTGCCAGAGCAAGACCCTGTCTCCAAAAAAAAAAAGCATTTTCTATTCTAGGAAAAGGCTCTCACACCCTTTTTGATAGAAATTGTGTGGGTCTTTGCTGTAGTTCAAAGCAATGATCTCTAACCCAAACTACCCAGGTAAAAGGGAGATTTAAGAGTTAGATGATGTCAATATCTCATTCCTCAAACAATCTTGGTGTCTTCTGACACACATAACAAACATGGAGAGGAAACAATGAGGGCATTTCATTTTGGGAAGCATGGTGGGTAGCAGTAAACTACGACGCCAGTTACCGGGAAGCCCATGTCTGTGAGTTGTTTGATCAGCCGGCTCATGATCCAGGCCTCATCCTGCTTGCCAGACGTCTTCATGCCCTTGAACAAAGTGTGGGAAAGGGGGAAGTCCATGAGCTACATTTTAATGCATTTCTACCAGAAATGGGAGACAGCCTAAATTCAGGGTCATTTAAAAGTCACAGGATCTTTTTGTATTAACATTGAATAATGCTGTATTCCAGAAACTCCCTAACAGTATTTCGTGGCTACTGCTACGGAAAGCATCAAGGTACATTTGCAGGTTGGTATATATGTGCAATTTATGAACTTAAAGCAAGATAATTATTTCTCTTTCCCAGATAATTAATTTAGTTTATCACAAATATAGACTACTTTTACTATCCAATAATCCTAAGCGCTCCCTTGAACACAGCCCTATGTGAAGTTTACTAAAAATTACACTTTTTGCCTTTTCTAAGCTTTATTCTGAAAAATGATAAAATGAGGGGGTTTATTCCAATGAGTAAAGAGGCAGCAAGAAGAAAGGATGAAACAACCTGTTAATTTTATTAACTATTTGTTACTTATAGCTCATAGGGTAGAGAAAAGGAATAAGGAGGAAAATGTCAGTGAAGGAGAGGATGAGGAAAAAGGTCAGCTACAGAAAGAGCAGTGGGGGTGGGGGAGGGCTCGGCACCACAGAAGAGCCAGGAGGCTTCTCAATAACTTCCCTCTGAGCCTATAAATGCAAAGGTTCTAATGATGCATTATTACAATATGAAAAAAATTCCCTTCCAAAAATATTCTTCATAGTGTTTTTCACAATTGAGCCTGCCACAGCTATATCATGGAGCATATGGAGCTCTATAAACAGGCTTTCTTTCCTCAAGGAACTAGCTTATTTTGGGGCTATTTCAATCATTACTATGCTGCCAGAGCCAGATTAGTCAAGATTTTAATTTACCAATTTGCTATTTTTGGTCCCATCATTAACTGGATTATTTGCCAGCCCAACTGTAAAAAGGATTCTTTTTGATGTCTGTAATCACTTCTACTCCTCATGAGCGGAGAGCTCTGATTTTAGTTTCTGGTTTCTGCTGATTATTAACTGAATGCTTTTATAAACTATATTTTTTTGAACATGAATACATTCACACGATTCAAAAGTATAAACAAGGTATAAAGAAAGTTTTCATCTCATGCCACCCCATTTGCTTAGTTCCTGTTCTCTCGAAGAGGCACTACTCATAGCAGTTTCTTATTTGCCCTTCCAGAGAATTTAGAACATTCTGTAGAAGCTGATACACTACGTGTGCATGCATGCATACACACACTCACATACACACACACACGTTTTCTTCCTCCTACCCCACAAAATAGGGTGTGTGCTGTACATGTTTTTCTGCACCTTGCTTTTAATTTAACAATGTACTTTAGTGATCTTTTCATATCAATACATAGATAGAATTTCCTTTTAGTTCTGTATAATGTAGAAGTGACATAATTAACTTGTTACTCCATCAATGTACACATAAATTATTGTTATCTTTTTACTACAAAAATGCTGCAATACAAAACTGTATAAATGCCACAAAGTGAGACTCTGTCTCTACAGAAAAAATAAAAAATAAAATTAGTTGGGCAGAGTGGCATGCACCTGTAGACCCAGCTACTCAGGAGGCTGAGGCAGGAGGACAATTCGAGCCCAGGAGTTCAAGGTTGTACTCCAGCCCCTAAGGTGACACAGCAAGACTCTGTCTCTAAAAAAATTTTTTTAAATAAAAAAATCAAAACGCTGGCTTTCTGTGGGTCTGAGAGATGAAAAATGGCAGGTGTCTCTGAGTGCTGTCTGGAACTGCACTGCCTTCCTGTGAGTCCGTGTCTAGGAGCCACTGGTGCTCCTTCTCTGTGGACCAGCTACTCTTCACATTCTGTGCTCCTTTTTCTACTGGGTTTCTGGCTGATTTTTTTTTTAAATCAGTTTCTAGGACTTTATGTATCAGGGGATTGGCCCTCTCTATGATATGAGTTATAAACATATTTTTCCAGTTTGCTATTTTTCTTTTGACTTTGATTATGGTATTTTCTGTCATGTACAGTTTTTACATTTATCTATTGACACAAAAAAATTTTATTTTATGGCTTTTAGATTTTGGTCATAGTTAGGCCTCTCTGAGTCCAAAATTGTTTTTAATGTTCTTTCATGTTTTCATATTTTTAATATTTAAGTTTGTGACCTACTTGAAATTCAGTCATGCTGAATGTGGACTGAATTGGGCAGTCATCTAGAAAAAAATGAGATACACGTCTCATGTAGCTCATGTATATATGAGATGTGTATCTCAGTGTTTTCTAGATGACCGCACATTTGTGTCTTTTTTTTTGAGAGGGAGTCTCGCTCTGTCGCCCAGGCTGGAGTGCAGTGAGGCGATCTTGGCTCACTGCAACTGCAACCTCCGCCTCCCAGGTTTAAGCAATTCTCTTGCCTCAGCCTCCCGAGTAGCTGGGATTACAGGCACCCACCACCACGCCCAGCTAGTTTTTGTATTTTTAGTAGAGATGGGGTTTCACCATGTTGGCCAGGCTGGACTTGAACTCCTGACCTCAAGTGATCCACCCACTTTGGCCTCCCAAAGTGCCGGGATTACAGGTGTGAGCCACTGTGCCCTGCCTGCCCATCTGTTTTAAGACTTCTTAACCATCTGTCTCAAACTTTTTGGTCTCAGGACCCTATAATACTCTCTTAGAGACTGAAGATCCCAAAGAACTTCTGTTGACATGAGTTGTGTCTATTGCTATTTACTGTATTAGAAATTAAAACTGAGAAAATTTAAAAATATAATTTTGCTTAAAAATAATAGTCACTACACATTAACCTAACATTTTAAAATAAAAAGTAATTAATTTTTCATGAGAAGGGTGGCACTGTTTTGCCTTTTGGCAAATCTCTATGTCTGGCTTAAGAGAAATGGCTGGATTTTCATGCCTGTTTCTGCACATTCTCTGCTACAATAAAGTTCTCTGGACACCTCTACCCTATACCGGAGAGAGACTTCAAATGAAAAAGACAGTCTTAGTACTGGCATGATAATAGTTGTGACCTTGCTTACTCCCCTGAAAGGGTCTCTGGGACCTCCAAGGGTCCTAAGACTACTTTGAGAACCTCAGGTCTATCTTTTTGTCTGATTAACTGGATACTGAATGTGTCTGAAGTACCTTTGGTTTTCAGGGTGTACCGTCGTTAAGAGTGTTGTACTTACCTTTTGAAGTCCTTTTTTGGGGGCGTTCCCCCAGGAGCTGCAGGAGGAGGTGCTTTCTTGGGAAGCAGCATTATTCCACACGTCCCCTTCTTCATCCTCCCACTGGCTGGTACTGAGGTTCATTTCATCCCCACCACTGCCCCAGCCTTCTTGCATAGATTTTGAAGCTAGAAACAGAGCAAACATGAACTTATCAAATTCATGTCCCTAACGCAGACAATGCTTCCACTGTAACATATAATTTAGGGGTCGTGGGACAAATGATGCATTGTAATCTACCTTTTTATGCCTTCATTTCTCCCAGATCTCAGAATTGAATTTCTCTTGCTACATATGTAAATAAACATGTATATGTATATAATTTTTCCTTCAAACATCAGCTATTTGTACTCTGTGCTGTTCTAAACTTCCTTAACCAACTACACATCATTCTGAAACATAAACATGCTAAGAACAAATCCTGGGGCCACCAGGGAAGGTGGCAATCTCTACATGGTATGAAAAGGCTACAGAAATGTAGATTCCTAAAACATTTCATTGTCCTGTGTGGTTTTTAAAATTTGTAGGTTTTTTTCTTTTTTTTGAAACAGGGTCTTGCTCTGTTGCCCGGATTATAGTAGTGCAATCACAGCTCACTGCAACCTCAAACTCCTGGGCTCAAGTGATCCTCCTGCCTCAGCCTCTCAAGTAGCTAGGACTACAGGCATGTGCCACCACATCCAGCTAATTTTTTTTTTCTTTTTAATAGAGATGGGGTCTCACTATGTTGCCCAGGCTGGTCTCAAACTCTTGGGCTCAAGTAGTCCTCCTGCCTCGGCATCCCAAAGTGTTGGGATTACAGTCATGAGCCATCACAAGTGGCAGGAAAATTTGTATATGGGATGCTTCATAAATCTGTATCTCATCCTTGCATAGGAACCACGCGAATCTTCTCTGTATTGTTCCAATTTTAGTACATGTGCTGCTGAAATGAGCATCTCTGTCTGATTCTTAATCACTGCTTGATCCAAACCTATGAGCATTAAGTCACACAGACCAGAGCTTCTCAAACCTGTCCACTCGTGACAGTCAGCTGGATCATGTGAAGTCTGGCAGGCCTGAGGTTGGGCCCGACAGGCTGCATTTCTAACAAGCCCGCAGGAGATGCTTACAGACTAGCAGGATGGAGGCCTTAGGCAGATGGAGCTACAAAGTGACTATCGAGTTTCCACTTCAGATATTGTTTTTTCCTCCTATCTTAAAATACAAAGTGATTTTCGGTATCAAAATTACCCCAAATTTTCACTTCTTGGAAGAATATGAAGAAGGGCAAAGACTAGGTAAGAGCACAGTTAGCTGGGTCTTCAATGAAGATACAAGGCTGATAAACATATGGAATAGGCACATAACTGTGCCTCCAAGGACAAATTCTCAAAATAGAATGCTCAAAATGGCGCATGAATCTAAATACTCACAAGTTCCCTTATCCTTTAGGTTTGTAAAAAAAAGTAATATAAATGGAATACTTTGAGCAGAGTGGTGGCTATATGGAACATACTATCGAGTATTAGCAAAACAAAAAACAAAAAAAACCAAAAAAAACCACAAAGTACAAAACCAATAAAGTTGCATTTTAAGATCTAGGACATCTAATAATGTCCAAAGAAAAGATGAAGCTTCTGCAGTTATGTGAACAACGAATTTTTTTTTTTTTTTTTGAGATGGAGTCTCTGTCTCCCAGGCTACAGTGCAGTGGCCTGATCTTGGCTCACTGCAACCTCTGCCTCCCGGGTTCAAGCGATTCTCCTGCCTCAGCCTCCTGAGTAGCTGGGATTAGAGGCGCTCATCACTATGTCCAGCTAATTTTTGTATTTTTAGTAGAGATGGGGTTTCACCTTGTTGGCCAGGCTGGTTTCGAACTCCTGACCTCAGGTGGTCCACCCACCTTGGCCTCCCAAAGTGCTGAGATTACAGGCGTGAGCTACCATGCCCAGCCACAATTAATTTTAATATCAGATTTAAATCAGTAATCTTATACTCATGTTAATATTACAAATATCACATTGCAAAACACCCATATAAGAATTCCACTTGGTATACATAATCTGGACATTTATAAGGATACTTATTACCTGCATATTTGCTACACTTTCAGAAAATGGGAGGAAAATGTACCTTTTTAAAATTTTTTCAAGTTGTTTAGGCATAAACAACTTTAAAACAAACATGGCAAATTCCACCCAGTGGAATTCTGTTGACAAGATGAAAGCAGGGCAATACGGCAAGATGCGTTAGGCTGCTGTGAGGTAATACATATTTTCAAAAACTAATCTCAAGGAGATGACATGTTTTATCTATCTTGCTCAGTGAAATAGCAGGTTTAAATTACTTAATGTGGCAGGTACAAGAATACTGCTGAAGTAGTGTGGGTATTACCAGGAGAATCAAACATAATATGCGGGGTTGCTTTGACTTTTGCATTTATTTGTATTATTATAAAAGGAGGGTATGGACATCTCTTAAAAGCTCCTTTGTGTTCATGTATCAGGCATGGCAAATATTTTATAATCTTGGCTTTTTTTTTTTCCTTTTTAAAGAGATGGGGTCTTGCTCTATTGCTCAGGCTCATGAGTGGTACAGTCATGGCTCAGGGCAGTCTTAACCTCCCGGGCTCAAGCAATTCTCCCACCATAGCCTCCCGAATAGCTGGGATTACAGGCATGTGCCACCATGCCTGGCTAATTTTTCAATTTTTTTTTGTAGTGACAAGGTCTCACTATGCTGCCTAGGCTGGTCTCAAACTCCTGCGCTCAAGCGATCCTCCTGCCCTGGACTCCCAAAGTGCTGGGATTATAGGTGTGAGGCACTGTGCTTGGCCAAGACTCTTGGTTTGTAGTTAAAGTGTAAATATAATGAGGAAAGTATCCTAAAACTCTAATCTTTAAAATTCAATACTTTGAGTCATTTCCAAATTGCCAGATCAGGGCAAGCAGGATGCTAGGCTTACCTGGTTTGCACAGGGCTGAGGCAGCAACAGGTGCGCCAGCTCTTCCAAATGCCACCGGCGGCTCTGCAGGGTGATCTCCCCACCCGCTGCCACTGCTGGGTGGCTTCCCCCATGCTGCTGTGCCATTATCCACCAGGGTAGAAGGGGAGGATGGTTCTCCCCAAGAGTTTTCAGTCTTTGAGTGAACATTAGGCATTTCTCCCCAGCCTGATGAAACTGAAAAAGGTTCCAAGGGGTAGAGAAAATAATGAAAGTGCATCAGAGAAAAGCAAAAATATAATTCAGTTTTCAATTTCAAAATAATTTCAAGATAATCTATCCTTAGAATAGCCTTTAGTAGAAAATTTAAAGGAGGCAAATGTATTACATGTAATCAGATTTGTTTAGCTTTGTATTTTAAAATTTTTATTCATTTATTTTTATTTAGAGATGGGGACTCGCTGTGTTGCCCAGGCTGCCCTCAACTCCTGGGCTCACTCAATCCTCCTAAGTAGCTGGGACTACTGGGGCGTGTCACTGCACATGGCTTGTTTGGCTTCTTAAAACTGGTCAGATGCGGTGGCTCATGCCTGTAATTCCAGCACTTTGGGAGTCAGGTGGATTACTTAAGGTCAGGAGTTCGAGACCAGTCTGGCCAACATGGTGAAACCCTGTCACTACTAAAAATACAAAAATTTAGCTGGGTATGGTGGCGTGCACTTGTAATCCGAGCTATTGGGGAGGCTGAGGCAGGAGAATCTCTTGAACCCGGGAACCAAGTGGTTAAGTTTTACGAAGTCCTAAGTTATACTTTGGTAACCCGGGAGGCAGAGGTTGCAGTGAGCCAAGATTGTGCCACTGCACTCTAGCCTGGGCGACAGAGCAAGAATCTGTCTCAAAACATGAAAAAATAAAAAATTGCCATTTTCTAACTCCTGCCCTCTACCTATTTTCAACTTTAAAAGTCCATTAAACATTAAAGCCTATTCAATTGTCAGCATTTGCAACATAGTAGGGTTTAAAAGAATAGTTTAAAACTATGGTTAAATAGCTTGTTTACATCTTGTATTATATGTAATGACATAAAAGAAATCATTCTAAGAAAAATTTGTGAGTTGCAAATATATACTGAAATATTATTCTTGTTTATCTTTTGACCATCATAGACACAGATCACCTTATCTGGGCAAAGAAATGAGAAGATGGCAGATTAAAAACATAAAGGTAAAGTCATAACTGGAAAATGCAGACAGTTTCTATGGTACCACCCACAAGCTGAGAGAGATCTGAGGTATCTGTCTTAGAAGGCAGAAGAGAGTTGAATTATGGATCAGAGTAGTTCCTACAGGTACTCTGGGAGGGTTTTTCAGGAACCCTTTCATTCCTTTGCCAAGTCCTGTTGCAACAGCATCCTCAGGGATTGGTCCCTTGTGGAAACAGGTTAGAGATGCATATAGAATCACAGGTGACCCTTGACAACACGGGTGTGAACTTCAGTGATCCATTTATACAAATTTTCTTCCACCTCCACCACCCCAGAGACAGCAAGACCAAGCCCTCCCCTTCCTCCTCAGCCTGCTCCTCAACATGAAGATGATGAGGATGAAGACCTTTATGATGATCCAATTCCACCTAATGAATAGTAAGTGTACTTTCTCCTTACAATTAAAATTATACATATATATATATTATTTATATATATATATATATTTTGGAGACAGAGTCTTGCTCTGTTGCCCAGGCTGGAGTGCAGTAGCACAATCTTGGCTCACTGCAACCACCGCCTCCCGGGTTAAGGGGTTCTCATGCCTCAGTCTCCTGAGTAGCTGGGACTACAGGCACGCAACAACATGCTCGGCTAATTTTTGAATTTTTAGTAAGGACAGGGTTTCACCATGTTGGCCAGGCTGGTCTCGAACTCCTGACCTCAAGTGATCCCCCCGCTTCAGCCTCCCAAAGTGCTGGGATTACAGATGTGAGTTACCGTACCCAGTCTTTACAATTTTCTTAATAATGTCTTCTGTTCTCTAGCTTATCTTATTGTATAAAACTCTGAAGGCATAAAAAGTATGTGTTAACTGACTGCTATCAATAAGGCTTCTGGTCAAGTAGTTAAGTTTTTGGGAAGTCCTAAGTTATACTTTTGGTAACCCTAATCCCAAACTGTTCAAGGGCCAACTGCATTATCTACAGGCACAGAAGAGGTTATGAAACCAGGCAATAAGAAGGATTTCCCCACGCCCTTCACACTTCAGTACAAAAAACATTTTATATTGCATAGGTCAATTTTATTTTTCCAAATAAACTCAAATTCTAATCTTTTGCTTCTGCCATAAGCTCACCTGACACTGTTGATATGTTGACAGCTTGTATCAGTTGTAATTTTCATATAGATACATTTTGCTCAGACAGAAATATAAATATTTTAAGTCATAACTGTAGCAAGCATGTGACTGTGTGCAAGAGAAAAACTTACAGTATAAAATGCAAATAGTTAACCATCAATTTTACATTGTTTGGCCTCAACATGGATATTACAATATCAATTACAAAATGTATTAATTTTCTGACTAAAAATAGCATGGAATCAGTTCCCTTGATACTCTTATTCTAAGAAAATGCAGTAAGAATGATTAATAACAAAAGGACACGCAACCTAAAAATCATTTTAAATTACAAGCTCTATGCTGAGGAATATATTATGCAAATAGTTACCAATAACAGGGGAGTTAGTCCTAACCAGTTATCGCCAGCAATTGCTAACTATAATATTACCTTTAATTACACAAAAGACAATAATATATATTGGGAGAAGTAGTTTTACAAATTGAAAGGACAAAATTAAATCAGAGACGTTAACATAGCTAATAAAAATTATCAAGGTTTTAGTAAGCTAAAATAACTCATGTGTTGCTAAAGACCAATTAGCTATAAAAATACTAATTTACTGTAGGTAATTAAATAATGAACTCACCTAGAATTTGTTTATCATCTCTAGACCTCCATCTCTTTGAGAAGGCAATAGGTATTACAAATTATTTAATTAAGTCAAAACTAAGGATAAATACTAAGATTGTGGTAAGCATAGTTCATTGATTTTTATAAAGAATTTAAAATTCCTCTTAAAGGCAGGAGAAATGTCTAGTAAGTATTTTCATGGAGAAGGCAAACGACTTGCAAGCATCATGTTTCAAAATCTTAGAAATGGAAGAACACTTGCTTACTCAAAAAAATTAAAAAACCAAATATTTCCATTTTGATATTTATTTAATAGAGATGGGGTCTTGTTACGTTGCCTGGGCTGAAGTGCAGTGGCTGTTCTTAAGTGTGATCATAGTGCGCTGCAGCCTCGAACTCCTAGATTCAAGCGATCCTCCTGCTTCTGAGTAGCTGAGATTACAGATGCCTGCCCCCACACCTGGCCCAGTATTTTCATTTTCAGTTGAATCTGGCAAGACTATAATTTACCTACAATGCCATCCTAACAGAAACACTAGGATGTACCATCTGACACTCTAAAGGTTCTAGAAGAGATGCTAAAAACTGAAATGCAATAGAAAATTTTGATGCAAAACAAGTATTTTCAGCACACAGAAAATGATTTTAAGTACATAGAATTAAAATAATCTCCACTGTTAAGTGTTTATCATCAGAGTGAATTTGGCATCTTTTTGTTAATAATTTATAGGGATTCTTTTAAAGTTAGAATTGATGAGGTAGAACAAATTTCTTACATTTAAAATACTGATATTAAACTTTTAAAAATGATCCTTCAAATACTACTGCTTTTTGCAGAATATTTCCGTACTATGGGGTCTTAGAATCGTTACCTCCCTTCAATTTCTTCAAATTAACAAACAGAGATGGGGATAATAAAACACAGCCAGGATATGTAGTTTTCATTCAATTTTAAAATATACATTCTTCATCTTTCCTTCAGAATGGAGAAAACAGAGTGCATCTGGAAGCTGGGTATAAAAATGAGCAGCAGACAGAGAAAAGGCCAAGAAATAGGACCAAGAAACAGAGAATCTTTCTCTCACTGAACATTGTTAAGCACATCACATCTTAAGCACTACAGATAATTAAGTCAGTGGATGAAATTCTTTCCTCTATGAAATAAGAAATTAATTATAGCTTGTTCCACAGATGCCACTTACATAGCTTTATAAGTGTGATGGGCAGTCCTTTTTGGGAGGAAAGTTTTAGTTAAAAGGTGGCCAATTGTAATTAATTAAGAGTATATGATAAAGGACTAGGCCAGGCATGGTGGCTCACTTGAGGTGGATCACTTGAGGCCAGGAGTTTGAGACCAGCCTAGCCAACATGGTGGCACACACCTGTAGTAGTACCCACTACTCAGGAGGCTGAGGCACCAGAATTGCTTGACCCTGGGAGGCAGAGGTTGCAGTGAGCTGAGATCGTGCCACTGCACTCCAGCCTG
The DNA here is from genome assembly GCF_000001405.40 of Homo sapiens. Taxonomy (NCBI): domain Eukaryota; kingdom Metazoa; phylum Chordata; class Mammalia; order Primates; family Hominidae; genus Homo; species Homo sapiens. Next base: position 78,060,514 of record NC_000017.11, on the reverse strand, counting down.
GGCGACAGAGTTAAGACTCTGTCTCAAAAAAAAAAAAAAAAAAAAAGATAAACGATTAAAAATGCAATCGATCAGGCATTTATTGAGTGCTTGCTATGTGCTTGGCTTTTTAAGGTACTGACCTAAATATTAATGAGATGAGATTTTTTACTCATACCAACGGCCTTTAAACTTAATGCAAATTTACTATGATGGCTGGTTGGGTACTTGCTTATGGAGGAACAGAGCAGAATTGATAGCTGTAAGATCAATAAAACTTTCTTATCTGAAATCAAGATGGGTCTTTGTACAATGAAACTTTATATAGAAGAGTTTGCTCATTATACAAGAGTACAGTCAGATGGCAAAGTATCCTACTTTTCTGAAAGCCTTTGTGGTGGGCATTTGACACTTCCATTCCAAAGTCAGGGGACTCTGTTTGAGGGTTACAGATTCGGGGTCCCTTCTAGAAACTGACCACGGGCCTTGAGCTGCACAGTAACTTCCCTTAGAACAGCTTCTTCTGCCTGCCTTATTGAGTCATCATGTGAAGTATTAGAAAAGGAAAACCATCTTATACAGTTTTGATTTCACGATACTAATACAGATTTTAATGGGCTAACTCTTTCCTACTGCTATCGGTGGCGGGGGGCACACTATATTTTCTTTTTCTTTTTTTTTTTTTTTTTGAGACAGGGTCTCCTGTTGTCCAGGATGGAGTGTGGTGGTGCAACCACAGCTCACTGCAGCCTTCACCTCCCTGGGCTCTGGTGATCCTCCTGCCTCAGCCTCTTGAGTAGCCGGGACTAGAGGCGTGTGCCACTATGCCCAGCTAATTTTTGTATTTTTTGTAGAGACGTGGGTCTCACTAGGTTGCCCAGGTTGTTCTCAAACTCCAGGGTTCAAGCAACCCACCTGGCTCAGCCTCCCAAAGTGCTGGGATTACAGGCGTGAGCCACTGTGTCCGGCCTCACACTGTATTTTCAACTGTCTTCATCATTTATCTATTTTGAATTGAAGGTACCTAAAGCTAAGGCCTTTGCATGTGGGGTTCACACGTCTCACGCCACGGACTTGCACTGAGAAGCATCTCTTCCTACTTCCGTAGCAGGCTCCCAACTCCCCAGTCCTTGCTGAAGTCCAGCCCCACTTACCAAACCCCTCAAACACAGGAAAGCAAAAACAACCCAGCCAAATCCAAACCCAAGAAAAATCCCACATCCACAAAAAGCACAGATCACTCAGATAATTTCTCTTTTAGTAACTACTGCATAGTGCTTAAAATAGAATTACTTCTGGCTGCAGAGGTCAATGGGATCTATTTCCGAAGTTATGTGAAAACAGCTGAGCTGTAACAGGATCTTGCTGATTCACTCCATCTGCAGGTGACTGTCTTTTGGTGTAGTTTTTATACTAAAGAATGATAAACTTCCTAGGACAGGAGTCTGGAAGGAAGGCCACTGCTCTCTGGCTTCTGCTGCTAATGAGACTTATAGAAACAATACACGTCTCATCTTTTTAGGTAGAAGCTTCCTAAATCTAATTTTTTCCAAGTTTTAGTTTAGTGAATTGGAGATATGCCTCTTCCATGATTAATGCACACAACCTCTGGTTTTATATTTTATAAGATGATAATTGTTTCAGAAAACTAAGTTTTAAAGCAAATATCACCAGATTAAGTACCCACATGCAAAGTAAAGTGTGCCTCTGGCTAGAGCCTTTGCCGACTTGTAGGAGCCCACAGTGGTCACCACCAGCACAGCTGGAATCCCTGCTATGGCTGAGATACATCTCTGAAGAGCTGCAAATAGGCAGCAAAATGAACACACAACAAATTCTAGACTAAGATCAGTATTAGCAGTATACTGCCTGCCAGTTTTCTGATTGGCATATGTAATGATATTTTACTTCTAGCCATTGTTGGAAGACACAGTAAGATGTCACTACCCCACTGCTGCTGGTTTAGCTTGGATCAACTGTATAATGGCCTTCATATTTGACTCTAAAATTATCTACATTTCAGTGAAATCTGAGTTCAGAGATGAAATCCCTGGAAGTTCTTCTTCAATCTCATTGTTAGATTCAGAGCCAACTATGAGGCTCCATTACTCACTAAATGGTTTTGTTAATTAATATTCAATGTTCTCTTGTGTGTCTGCAAGTTGGTTTTTAAGTGTCCCAGAATATTATGTCTGAGTATGCGAGGTAATCATGTTGCTGAGTATTTTTAGGATCTGCTTTCATTCCCTTAGAACACACATAAATGCTATGTTTGCACTTTCTCCCTTTCTGCCACATCCCACTAACTGGTAAAACAGCAGACTGATTTTATGACGACTTAATAGCTTTGTATGCACAGCAGAGCGCAAGGTAGCAGGTCCTGCAATTCTGGCTCGCACCAGAGACTGAGTAATTGAGGCAATGTTCGAGGAGTGTCAAGTGCGGCCTCTGGAGCCCTTCTCAGGCAGCCTACAATTTCTGATAAAAAGGCAGGCACAGGGATATTTCTCTGGACTAATACTGTTGTTTTATCTCCAGAATGAACCTGAACCAGGTCCAGACAATCCAGTTTAGGAAGCTATACTGCATTTCCTAAAATACTACCAGTTTTCCTCAGGCTCACAGAAAACTAATTAATATCAACAAGCATAGGACAAAAATGATTGTACTGTAGCATTCGTTCCTTTAAAACAACACACACACACACACAAAAATGTAATTCAGAAATCATATTTTATAAGACAGGAGAGATCAATACCCTTAAGTGGTAATGATCCACAACTTAAAACCCAAACTCTGACATAAGTGAAAATTCTATAAATTCAGCATAGGTCAACCTATGCTGAATAAAACCTAAAAACACCAACTTTAAAAATAGCAGAAACTTCATGAAGTAGTCACAAGTGGAAGGCTTTTGTCTGGGAATCCCAGTAGCTATGGAAAGCTGCGCAGGCATTCAAGCCAGTGGGCAGCACGGCCCAGCAGGTGCTGAGACTGCTGCTGCCCTTGCTGACCCTGACTGCCCAGATGGCACAGTCCCCAGAGAGGAGGGCAAGGGGCTGCCACCGGGGGTAATGCCACTCCTGCATGCTGTCACCTCTATGAAGGGAACTGGTGTGGAACTGTTACTTCTACAGGCTCAAATAATAGCTTGGTCTAACAAGTTTGGAGAGTGAAAGGCTATGATTACTTGTAATTCTTAAGGGTGATGAACTTTGCTCTCACTGCAAAAGAAGGCTTGGTTCATGTCTGAGAGTTAAACATCACAGGTAATACAGGGCAGGAATAATACTCAGTGTAGCCACTTTATGCCAGTGGTAGAAAAAGAGATTAATGTTATAAATGAAAAAAATGAACAAATAACCCCATATGTTGTACAATATACTAAACTTAACATACTTTCAGCATGTGAGCACACTTCCACATGGAAAAAAATTTGTGTAACTTTTTATTTGTCTCTTTTAATTGGTAAAACTAGATTTGCAACTGCTCCTATAGTATTGCTACACCTACAAAGAGCACACGCATGCACAGGCTGCAAAAGTTGCAGGGGAGAACAGAGTACAGAAACACTCTGTTAAGGTGTAGCAGTTACAGCACATTTTTCTTCTTTATATTTGGTGATAATATGTGCAATTTGTTTAAAAAAATCTATAAATATTTTTCATATAAAAGAGAATTATTTTGGCCCTTTTAACTGAACAAGAATGCCTTTCTCAGCATGAAGCTCCCATGTTTTGGCTACTAAAAACAAGTTAAAAGTAGTTTCTGGGCCAGGCGTGGTGGCTCACGCCTGTAATTCCAGCACTTTGCGGGGTCGAGGCTGGCTGATCACAAGGTCAGGAGACCGAGACCATCCTGGCTAACATGATGAAACCCCGTCTCTACTAAAAATACAAAAAAAATTAGCCGAGCGTGGTGGCGGGCACCTGTAGTCCTAGCTACTCGGGAGGCTGAGGCACGAGAATGGCGTGAACCTGGGAGGCGGAGCTTGCAGTGAGCTGAGATTGTGCCACTGCACTCTAGCCTGGGCAACAGAGCAAGACTCTGTCTCAAAAAAAAAAAAAAGTAGTTTCTGGGCCGGCCATGGTGGTTCATGCCTGTAATCCCAGCACTTTGGGAGGCTGAGGTGGGTGGATCACTTGAGGTCAGGAGTTCCAGACCAGCCTGGCCAACATGGTGAAACCCCATCTCTACTAAAAATACAAAAATTAGCCAGGCATGGTGGTGATCGCCTGTAATCCCAGCTACTTGGGAGGCTGAGGCAGGAGAATCGCTTGAACCCGGGAGGTGGAAGTTGCAGTAAGACGAGATTGTGTCACTGCACTCTAGCCCAGGCAACAGAGTAAGACTCTGCCTCAAGAAAAAAAAAAAAAAGTAGTTTCTGGCCAGGCATGGTGGCTCACACCTATGATCCCAACACTTTGGGAGGCCAAAGTGAGAGGATGGCTTGAGGCCAGGAGTTTGAGACCAGCCTGGGCAACATAGCAAGACTCTGTCTCTAAAAGAAAAAGTTTCTAAGGATCACGTATCAAAGGGGAGAGATCCCCCAACAAATGCAATGTGGTTCTAACCTCTGTAGGGTGTCATGGATGTAATATTTTAGAAATGTCAGCAGGTCATGGTATATATTACACATCTGAGACTTCACCATCTCCCTCCCACATATGTACCCTTGGAAAGCTACTTAATCTCCTAGGTCTCATTTGTAAAATGAGGCCCAAGGAGCTGTAAAAATCCAATGAGGTGATCCATAAAAATGCTCCATACATGACTGCCAACCATGGCCAGACCACATTTATTGCACGACTCCAGTGCCAGGCATAGGGCCCTCTGTAGCCTGAACTCTTCCAGGAGTTGGCATTCAAATTGGGACTATCCACTAAGGGTGGATGGGACACACAAGCCAATTTAAAATAGTCATGGGCTGCATAATGACGGTTTGGTCAACTGACTGCGTACAGGACAATGGTCCCCTAAGATTATATATAATGGAGCTGAAAAATTCCCATCACCTAGTGACGCCATACCCATCATAATGTAGCGGAATGCATTCCCCACGTGTTTGTGGTGATGCTCGTGTAAACAAACCTACTGTGCGGCCAGTCACAGCAAGGTCTAGCACACACAACTGATGATGCTGATACAAGACTATGTTACCAGTTTATGTCTTTACTGTACTTCCTGTTATTGGATCTCCAATGGGACAACGTGTGGAGGTGGACAACAGTGATACTGAAGATCCCGGCCCTGTGTAGGCCTAGGCTAACGTGTGCGTTTGTGTCTTAGTTATCAAAAAAGTTTAAAAGGTACAAAAAAAAAGCTCATAGAATAAGAATATAAAAAATACTTTTGTGAAGCTGTACAATGTGTGTTTTAAGCTAAGTGTTACTGAAGAAAGTATCTTTTAATCTTTTAATAAATGTAGTGTGGCCTAAGCGTACAGTGTTCACCAAGTCTACAGCAGTCTACAGTGGTGCGCAGTACTCTGCAGTGGTGTACAGTGCTGAACTCTACTTTGCAGTGGTGTACAGTAGTCCGCAGTGGTGTATGGTAGCGTACAGTAGTCCGCAGTGGTGTATGGTAGCGTACAGTAGTCCGCAGTGGTGTATGGTAGCATACAGTAGTCCGCAGTGGTGTATGGTAGCGTACAGTAGTCTGCAGTGGTGTATGGTAGTGTACAGTAGTCTGCAGTGGTGTATGGTAGCGTACAGTAGTCTGCAGTGGTGTATAGTAGTGTACAGTAGTCTGCAGTAATGTATAGTAGTGTACAGTAGTCCACAGTAGTCTCCAGTAGTGTACAGTAGTCTGTAGTAGTCTGCAGTGGTGTATAGTAGTCTACAGTAGTCTGCAGTAGTCTCCAGTAGCGTACAGTAGTCTGCAGTGGTGTGCAGTAGTCTGCAGTGGTGTATACTAGTCTACAGTAGTCTGCAGTGGTGTATAGTAGTCTACAGTAGTCTGCAGTGGTGCGCAGTAGTCCACAGTGATGTACAGTGCTCTGCAGTGGTATACAGTGGTGAACTCTACTTTGCAGTGGTGTACAGTAGTCTGCAGTGGCGTGCAGTAGTCTGCAGTAGTATACAGTAGTCTGCAGTGGTTTACAGTAGTCTGCAGTGGTGTATAGTAGTGCACAGTACTCTGCAGTAGTCTCCAGTAGTGTACAGTAGTCTGCAGTGGTGTGCGTAGTCTGCAGTAGTGTGCAGTAGTCTGCAGTGGTGTGCGTAGTCTGCAGTAGTGTGCAGTAGTGTCCCAAGCCTTCACATTCACTCACCACTAACTCACTGACTCACCCACAGCCACTTCCAGTCCTGCAAGCTCCACTCATGGTAAGTGCCCTATACAGGTGCACCATTTTAAATATTTTATACCATATTTTAATGTCCCCTTTTCATGTTTAGATATATAAATACTTACCATCGTCCTACAACTGCCTACAGTATTCAGTACAGTAATATGCTGTGCAGGTTTGTAGCCTAGGAGCAACAGGCTGTACCGTATAGCCTAGGTGAGCAGGAGGCTATGCCATCTAGGTTTATGTAACTATACTTTATAATGTTAACACAATGCTGAAATTGTCTGATGACACATTTCTTAGAATGTATCACCATTGTTAAGCTATGCATGACTGTATTAATTCTGTTCCTGGAGCTTTTTTGTTTGTTTGTTTAAAGAAATGGGGTCTCGTTATGTTGCCCAGGCAGGCTTTGAACTCCTGGGCTCAAGCCATCCTTCCACCTCAGCCTCCCAAGTAGCTGGGATTACAGGTGGGGGCTCTCAGATCACTTTCTGCATACCTTTACTATAATGCTAATTAAACTCTATTAAATTTGATATTACTAGCCTGTCCCACTAGACTATTCCTTACTTAGGAATAATCTTATTTTTCTTTCTTTCTTTTTTTTTTTTTGAGACAGAGTTTCGCTCTGTCGCCCAGGCTGGAGTGCAATGGCCCCATCTCAGCTCACTGCAACCTCCGCCTCCTGGGTTCAAATGATTCTCCTGCCTTCACCTCCTGAGTAGCTGGGATTAGAGACATGCGCCACCATGCCCGGCTAATTTTGTATTTTTAGTAGAGATGGGGTTTCACCTTGTTGGTCAGGCTGGTCTCGAACTCCTGACCTCAGATGATCTGCCCGCCTTGGCCTCCCAAAGTACTGGGATTACAGGCATGAGCCACCACGCCCGACCTAATCTTATTTTTCAAATCCCTTCATTTTCCTTCTTCCTGCTTCTCCTTATCCCCCCAAGTACTTTATAAAATGTAAGGGCCTAGAAATATTAGTCATATATTAGTAAACAATTGGAATCACAAATTCAAGTACTCCAAGGAACCAGTCAGTTAACGTAAACAGGCCCAGCGTAAGAACAGCAGCGCAAGCTTGATGATGCTCAGTGGCTACTGATCAAAAGCCTCAGTGTTGGGAACCGTCAGGGGTCGGGGGGCAACGTGACATGGTATGGAGAAAATGCACAGGCCCTTATGAAGGCAAGTGGCTCTGACTGACTGCTGCCATGTGAATCCAATGTCAGACTTTTCAGGTTTCCAAAGGAAGCCAGAAATCTGGAATTTAATATAAAACATTTGCATTAAAAAAATGCCAATTCACAGAAAAAATGTGGGCCAAAAAGGCACATTTGTGGGACTAGGTGCAGCCCACGGACCACTGATTTTTGACCTCTGGTTTAGTGACACTGATGCGTTAGCTGGAGGCTAAAACTGTCTTGAGGATCCATAAAGGATTCCTGATGTGGCAGCCTCAGAGAGGTACACAAGTGAACCACCAAGAAGTCTACGAGGAGGCTGGAGGGCCCAGCTGGTGGGCCAGGGGAGGTCCTGTAGGGCAGTCATAATTGAATTAATGCAGCAGGCAGGACATTCTCCTGTTGAACGCTTATGACAAAAACCAAAAAGGTGCCCAAATGCCCAGGCTGCCCTACACAAGATGGTGATTCCCCAACTCCAGTGGCCCCCGCATGCAGACCTTCTGGGCTTACTGTTTCCTCCCTGCACCATCACTGCCCAACACTACGTATATACTTTAATTCGTGTGTTGTTTGCCACCCTCACTAGATCTAGACCCCTCCATGGCAGGGTTTTGACTGTTTTGCTTCCTGCAGTTTCCCCAGCTACTAGAGTACAGCCTAGTACATGGCAGGTCCCAATAAATTCACTGTGTATGGTGATCTCTGGGCCCTGACATTGCCCAGCAACCCTCCAGGGGCCCCAGTCAAGTCAGTTCTCTGTTCCTGTCCTCTACATGGGCTAATGCATGCTCCCTCTCTACTCGTGCTGCTGCTCCTAGCCAGCCCTCCTCCACTCTGGGCTAGTATTCACACTCCCAGAGAGAAAAGAACCCCAGAAGGTGGCCTTGGCCCTCTGGCCATGACAGCCTGGCCCACCTGTGCAGCGCTCTTTCCTGCTCCTTGCTTCACGAGATGGATGAAGTGCCCTTGTCCTGCTGGACACAGGGATCTCTTCCCTCTTCATTCATTCTCATCTCCACTTGTTCCTTTCTAACAGCTCTGAAACATGCTCACGACTTTGCCACCTTAAAATCTCTCTACTCTGGACCTTGCCCCTCTGGCTGAGAACTGGTCTTCCGTATCTGGGACCTTTTATTGTCCTCACTGGACACTTGGAGCTCTGTGCCTCCTGCTGTGCTCATGGGCATGTCAGTGAACTGACACAGTCATCTGCCAACTTGCCCAAGTTCTGAACCATGTCTATCCTATCTTCTTTGCTCCTGTATCCAAATGGTTACGAAATCTTGGAATCATGCACTGTCATTGCTTTCAAATCCATCATCTCCACCCCAGGCCACCACCGCCACCACCAAAACATTCGCTTGATGTTCTACTGAGTGTGCTTAATATATTTTTTTCTTGAATAGAAAACCACCAGAGGATCCTACTTTGCTCTCACTGGATAATCTTTAGATACAATATTGCACGGTGATAGGGAACTTAAATTATTTTAATGCTATTTGCTATAAAAAACACTACTCGGAGTATTCATGAATATATAATGAGAATAAGCTTTTTTTTTTTTTTTTTTACTTGTAAAGAAACATGAAATACCTTTCCTACCTGGACCAAGCAACGGTGATCGATTCAGCTGAGTACCGGCCTGGTGCGGGGGCGGCGTCTCGACCCTGTGTGTGGTGTTGCTCGTGGTAGTGGTGGTGGTGGTGGTGGTATTGGTCGTGGTACTGCTCTGGATGACCGGGTTGTTTCTATCCCACATGTTTACAGTTTTATTGTTATAGTTGCTTGGGTCCCCCCAAGCTGAGGTACCATCATCAATTTCCATTTTGCGGCGAATGGACGGTGGAGAGGGTTCTTCCCAGCCAGTTGCTTCACTGCTGTCCTTCTGTTTGACCGGTACCGGCCCCCCGATCCACCCTGTTCCTGTCTGTTTCACAGAAGCAGCTCCTCCCCAGTTACTCACATTGTTGTCTTGGGGTTTGCTAGCCCAGTTCTGTTGGGGGCCAGGTTTTAAAGTCTCCCCCCAGTTTGTACCTGGATTGGCCTTTGTATTTGTGCTGTTGCCCCAGCCACTGTTCCCAGATCTCGTGGTGTCATTCCAACCAGACCCTGACCTATTACTGTCAGCATCCCATCCAGATCCATTTTTTTTCCCATCCCCCAAGTGTCCAAGGACAGACGATGAATCTGCCCAATCTCCCCCTCCTGCACTCCAGGCTGGATTTGATCTTTGTCCATCTCCCCAGTGTTGGGATTTGGGCTTTGGAGGCTCACCCCAGGTGGGTGACTTGTCCTCCTGATTTGCGGCCCCACTCCAAGCATGGCCACTCTTGGCAGCAGCAGCAGTACTAACAGCAGTAGAGCTTATCGAGTCCCCCCAAACCCCCGGGCCACTTGGCGCTTTGTTGTTGCTGTCTCCCCAACCTGTGTTTGCTGGCACAGCGGCAGGTGGCGCGTTGACCCACCCAGATACTGAAGAGGTATTTGTACTGTTCATGATGGACCCATCGTTCTTCCCCCCTGAGTTTGAAGCCTGAGTAGCTGCACAACCCCAGGCCTCTGTCCCATTGTCATTTTTCCTTTCAGACCTAGGGGATTCTTCAAATTCCCAGGCAGTGTTTTGCTTTACAGGAGTCTGTCCCCAACCAGTATTAGACAGAACTCTTGGGTCAAGATCATTCCTTGGCAACTGGATGTGCCCTTGGTCTATAATCCCTTTATCTCGCCTTCGGCCTTCTCCCGTTCCTTCCCTCCCAGTGCTTCCTTCATTGTGGTTGCCAGAACCATCACTACTTCCTTCACTTGCTGTAGTTCCAGAAGATGCCGCTTTGGCCCAGGAGTTCATGTGTTCACCACCAGGCTGTACGGTAGGGTTCTGGCTGGTGACACTAGGACTCTCCCACCCTGTTGATCCTTTCCCATTGATGTCACTGTTGGAATGCTGGTTTGGGGGCTTTCCCCATTCCCCATTCACACCGTTAGAGGTGCTTCGGCTGGGGTGGCCCCAAGCTCCTGAATGGATATTACCAACGCCATTGTTGCCACTGCCCCTTCCCCAGGCGAGTATTCCAGGACCAGCAGGAGGTCCTGAATCCCAAGCATTTCCTCCACTTCCTTCCTTTTGCACAGCACTGCTGGATCCATTTTGTTTAGCACTTAATGCTGAGTTCACAGTGTCTCCATTCCCCTGACTGAACCCAGAATTGCTATTTCCTGTGGCAGGGTTACCTGGGGACAGTCCCCACACAGAATTGCTTATTCCTTCAGCACTGCCCCCACTGACTTGAGAAACTGATGATCCATTAGCACCAGGAAGGCCTTGCAGGTGGGGCGGGATGATGGCCCCCATACCAACAGCCATGCCCCAGTTTGGCAGTCCATTTGTCTGCATTGCATTGATAGGGTTGGGTGAAGAGTTCATGGGGTTAGTGTTATTTGGTCCATCAGTGTTAAGGTTCTGAGGTTGTGCGCTGAAAGACACATTCTGAGAAGTGGACGTTTGTGGTTCTGTGCTCTCTTGTGGCAGCAAGTTTCCCCAAGCACCTAAAGTGCCTGTTGGGTTCCCGTTCTGGTTGCCCATATTTTGACCTATGGCACTGACTGGACTGCAAATACTGGAAGGGTTGCCTGTCGCCACGGTTCCTTCATGTCCAAGTACAGGCCAGGCAGCTGGGTTGGCATTAGGATTAAGGTTAAGATTAATGCCAGCATTGGAGTTGGAAGCACCCCAGCAATTCTGACTTCTCCCATCTCCAATCATAGTGTCCATTTTTCCATCCCCACCACTGACAGAGCAGTGAGCCAGGCCAGAGCTGGAGCCTGTGGCTACACCCCACACTCTGGCCGCACTTCCATTACTGTTCGCTCCCCCTGCTCCAAGGGCACTCTGATTAGAAGGGCTTTGGACGAGTGCGCCATTGGTGCCATTATTGCCATTTGTCTTCTTGGTATGTCCAGTGAAGTTGCCCTGGGCACTCCCTGTAGCCATGCTACTGTTCTCTGAGCCACAGTTGGAGGCAGAGTCAGTGTCTGTAGTACATTCTGAGGCAGATTCAGTCTCTGTTCCTGTGATGGAAGGCCACGCCTCCTTGTCAGTCCTATCTATTATCACTTTATCCCAGCTGCAGTTGGCTTCGCTTCTGTAAGTAGGCTGCTGTCCCCAGTGGGAATTTTCATAATGATCTGCCAATCCACTATGACTGAGATCTGAAAAAGATGAAACAAAATTCAAAATTAGATTTTCTACTCATTTGTCAATGAATCAACTGTTAACTAGTCTTTGGGGAAGCTCTTTATTTCAAGTCTTCAAATCTGAATGACAAACACTAAAAAAATGACTTAAAGAAAAAAGCTATTTGTCTTCTTAATAGATCCCATTTTAAAGAGCGTTAATGTTTTTAAAATTATATCAATTCTTACCACTACACTGTACTATTATTCCCCCTGGAGAATACTCACAATGCACGTTAGCACATCAGCATCTCTGAAAGCATCTGTAGTAAAGGCAGCTTTGAAAGATAAGTGACTTTGCAACTCCTATAAATACAGAGACTGAGAAACACTGGCAATGACAGTAAGTTCACGTAGAGTTTTGAATAAAACTTGTAGTTCTCTTTAAGACCTCTAATTAGGTTACAGTATTATATAGAGGCGAAACATGGCTTTCAGTAGAAAAAAATTGTAAATTGCATTGCAGAATCATAACAGAACCAATATTTGGGGTGGGGGAAGTGGTGACGGAAGGAAAGAGAGAAAAGACATATGAGACAATGCTATCTTATGTTATCAAAAATACTAAGGATTAGAAATGTTTAATTAGCTGTATACTACTTTATCTGATCTTATCTGCAATTTGGTTTATCACTGTCTCCTGCACATTCATAATAAAAAAAAAAAATCTGTAGCTCAAGGACATCACTAAAAGAAGAAAAAGAAGGAAGAAGAATCTCAGCCCCACAAGTGCTATCTTTTTGGATCTCTAAAGATTCTCTCAATCCTTGTTTTCTATTTCTTTAGAGCCTTTTCTTTGGAGATCCCTAGAATAACTTTATATGCCATCTTCTTATAGTATTTAACTCTTCGGGTCCTTTTAAAGAATCCCCTGTTTGGATCTACATTTTATTTCCTATGACTTTAACAATTATTTGAGTATTTCCAACATTGCAGTCAAACTTATATTTCGATCAACTTTTTGGCAGACTTTATTCCAAGTATGTATCACTAAAAAATAAAGTAAAAGAAATGTTAAAAAAATAATTTAACCCAAACATACAACAAACTCACATATGTGATTTAGAAATCCTTGGTGAGTTTCTCTAAATACTACAATATACAAATAAACTGCAATAAAATATTTTCTTCTCTTTTAGATCCTTTTAATTATGTTCTCTTCAAATTTATTTTAACAAGAAAAATCGTATGGACAATTAAAACATGAATTTCCCACATAAATTCTCTTTTAAAGTTTGATGGAGCTAAAGGAAAAAAAGGAAGTGTGCAAAAAAAATTAGCATTAGAAAGACCATACTAAAGCTAATATCAACCTAAAAGAGATTTTTATTGCCTGATTTAAGAGTAATGTAATGATTTTAGAATTATGCTCTAGGTGATTTCAAAGTAGGTACGTAATTCCAGGTGAAAACTACAAAGGAAAAATGAAGACAGGCAACAGAAAACTTTAAATGTTGAAACTGCTATAAAATGACTAGGTTCTTTTCACTGCCAATTATTAGGGGTTGGCTCTATAACCCTGGTTTATGACAATTTGGTTTTGCACATACTCTAAAAACTATCTAATATAATAACTAACTAAAGAGATAAATAAGCCATTCCTCATTTAACACAGAAAATAAGACCAAGTTAACACACAGAGATTATGGCTTGTTGCCAGCAAATATTACCACATTTCATTTTACCATCAGTTTGGGTTCCCTCATGGACAGGTTGTGCCATAAGGCAGGCTGCCTCTTGACTAAGACAGCACTCACTGCAACCCACACCGAGAAAGCAGGGGGTTAACAACCTGGCTGACCAATGCATTCTTTTCCATATGTGAGGTGCCATTCGAATACACAGTATTATTGGTTCCATTCCACAACAGTCACACTGTAAAATGATCTGCCCTTTGTTAATGGTCTACTTTGAGGACTTGAGGATTGCTCAGCCCCCAATTTGACAGGTTCATACTCAATTATATGACACGTTTGAAAGAAGGATAGCATTATAAGCTGGTGGCTAATAAATGCTGTTGGACAACTGTCTAGCCACATGAAATGAAAGTAGATCCCTTATATCGTATACATGCCAGATAAAGTAAAGAGCGAATTAGGAAAAGCAAAACTTCTTAAAGCTTATTAAGGAAGCAAAGGAGACCATCTCTATGACCTTGGACATTGTATCATCTTGTAGAAGACATGAAATACGTAAGACATAAACAGGTGATAAATTTGACTATGCTAATATTAAAAACATCTATATAACAAAAGATATCATATAATGAAAGCTAAAAAAACAAGCCACAGGCAGGGAGAAGATACAACAGATAATGTATGGTTATCAGCTTAAAGAATTCCCGGCCAGGCGCAGTGGCTCTCGCCTGTAATCCCAGCACTTTGGGAGGCCGAGGCAGGTGGATCACCTGAGGTCAGGAGTTCGAGACCAGCCTGGCCAACATGGTGAAACCTCGTCTCTACTTACACAAAAATTAGCCGGGTGTGGTGGTGCACGCCTGTGGTTCCAGCTACTTGGGAGTTGAGGCAGGAGTATCACTCGAACCCAAGAGGTGGAGGTTGCAGTGAGCCGAGACTGTGCCACTGCACTCCAGCCTGGGCAACACAGTGAGACTCCATCTCAAAAAAAAAAAAAAGAATCCTAAAAATCGGTAAGAAAGAGGCCAACAACCCAACCAGAAATGGGAAAAGGATAGGAACAGGCAATTTAGAAAAGAGAAAACTCATAAGCCATTAACATATGAAACAATAATCAACCTCATTAATAATCAAGAAATGCACTTTAATGTCACACTGTAGATGAAAGTGACACAACACTACAATTTTTGAATTGTGGTTCCCTCTGGGGGTGGGATGGGGACCAGAATGGGGTTAGAGGATGATACCTATAACATTTTTAAAATAGAGAGCCCTGAAGCAAATATGGCATGATATTATGTTAAATCTCTATTGTGAACACAGTTATATTATTTTCTATATACTTTCTTCTATTGAAAAAATATTTTCAAAATTTTTAATTTTTATGTTTAAATGTGATACAAATCAGGCGGCAGAGCAGTCTGATTAAAAACCCATCTGATCCCTGAATTAAGTGTCTAATTTCTGAAGGTGAGTTCCTTGAGGGCGTGGCAAATATCTTTTTAGTTTTCCATTCAAAATGCTTGCCACATATAGGCAAACAATATATGCTTCCTGGGCAAACAAAACCATACATGCATAGTGCTACAATCTGAGTTCTAGCTGAAGTCACCAATCAGCTGCACTTGTACAGCCCAGACTGCTTTGAACAAGCACGTCCATCTTCTGAGGGAACCACTTCCACTACAATGACGCCGCCTACTCAGACCTTCCCGGGCTTTGAGGTGTAGATCTCAACTATGCCACAGCAAAATAACCACCAATGGGGCAATACTGGCAGGAAGCAAAGTCACTTCTACAAAGGCCAATATCCATCCCCAATAGCTGAAGTGCCCTAAGGATGGCCATATAGGATGCCATAAGGATGAAGTCATGCCTGTTGAGTTTACATATTGGGTATTTCTAGAACCTTTTCCATTAAAACAAGAAATAAAACTTCCCTCTGACTGCCCCTGTTCCAAGCACCCTCATGTCTTGACTGGATTACTGTAAATAACTTTCCAACAGGTCTCTTCCCATGCCCCCTACTGCCCCACCCACAATAATGTGCTCAACACTGCATACAGTGCTCTTTTCCAAATGAATGCCCAGTGGGTCACCAATGGTTGGGTCTCTTTTGAGGCCATTCATATCATTCTTTCTCCTGCTCTGTGCTCCAGACAGTTCCTTGAGGTGCCATCTGTGTCCTGCCCTCCCAAAGACAGGGCTGTTAAAGGTGCCATCCCCTGCCTGGGCTCAATGTCTATTCTTTTTTCCCATCTCAAATCCATGGACATTTAATTTGGGACGTTTTTGTTCCCTAGTTAGGACTCCCTCATACATTCATTGTAACAGTCTTCCTTTCAAGTCACTTAGACCAACCAGGGTGGCAAACAATTTCTGTAAAGGGCCTAATAGCCAAAATGCTTTAGGCTTTGTGGGCCATATAGTCTCTGTCACAACTACTCAATTCTGCTGCTGTGGCACAAAAGCAGAATGAGTGTGGCTGTGTGCCAACAAAACTTTATTTCCAAAAATAGGTGATGGGCCAGATGTGGCTCATGGGCCCAGAGCTTGCCAACTCAATTGAAACAATAACTATTATTGAGTGCCTCCTATATGCAGCTACTGTGCTGGGGACACAGCCATAAACAAGATGAACGACTTCTTTCTCTCATGGAGCACACATTCTAGTGTGAGTCATCGTGTGACTGGCTGGTTCTCCCTCTAGGCTGTAAACACCATGAAGGCAAGGCGTACCTATTCTGGCTCTATTTTTACTGCCAGTGTTCAGCAGAGTATCTGACAGAGAAGAAGCAGTAAATAAACATACATTGAATGAATGAATAATTCTTATCAATACTTGAAAGCAGTTTGCTAGTAATATAAATGATGCTTAAATTTTCAGTCTTGAAGGTAAAGTTAAGATTAAGCTTAGGTTGCCATGTTGACTAGCAACCAACTTAACTGAAGTTACTTGCAAAAATACTGGGTTATCTATTCAGAGAAGTTAGTACAAGAGGAACTGATAGCTCAAAATCTTTTTTAGTTAGAAAAAATTACAACTGAGACTATGAATCTATGTTGAAAACATAGATAGGGTTTGATAATAAGTTATACTACCTCAATCCTAGGTATATACCCAAAAGAAAGGAGATCAGTATATTGAAGAGAGAGCTTCGATGTTTGCTGCAGCACTACTCACAACAACCAAGATTTGGAAGCAACCTATGTGTCCATAAACAGATGAATAAAGAAAATATGGCAGATATACACAATGGAATACTGTTCAGCCATAAAAAGAATAAGATCCTGTCATTTGCAACAACATGGATGGAACTGGAGGTCACTATGTTAATTAAAATAAGCCAGGCACATGAAGACAAGCTTTGCATGTTCTCACTTATTTGTGGGAGTTAAAAACGAACATAATTGAACTTATGAAGATAGAGGCTAGGAAGGGTAGTGCGAGAGTGAGGGGTGGGGAGAAGTGGAGAAGGGTTAATGGGTACAAAAAATAATCAGAAAGAATAAATAAGACCTAGTAATTACTAGCATAACAGGCTTACTATAGCTAAAAATAATTTCACTGTCCATTTAAAAAATACATAAAAGAGTATAATAGGATTATTTGTAACACAATGGATAAATACTTGAGATGACTGATACCCCATTTATCCTGATGTGATTATTACACATTGCATGCCTGTATCAAAATATCTCATGTAACCCATAAATATATATACCTTCTATGTACCCACAGAAATAAAAAAAATTATAAAAAATATGTTTTACTATAGAAGTCAATTTGGAACAATGCTATTTTACTTAAGAAGGAACCAATCAACCAACCAACCATCTCTTTTCTCCCACCTCTATAGCCTCCTTGCACTTCTTGGGATAGGCTGCAGCCTCGGGGCCACACTGTGGCCTGGTACATCTTCTGTCACAGGAGAGGAGCAGGGAGTGTGCCCAGCCCAGCCCAGCCCACTGAAGTTTCAGGCTGCAGCTGCTGACATTCCACCTTTGGCTACCATTATGAGACATACTGCTATTCTTTTTTCCTTTTTTTCCATACTTCAGCTGCTCTCTTGTTCCTTACTTCTTGGTTCTTCCACCTCATCAAATGATCTGGCTCTTCACAAATTAATTTTACTGAAAATTCAATGCAGGTTCACGGAGAAAGAGAAAAGCACCTACTACTTATAAGCTCTTTTTTGAAGGGTAGGCTTAGGAATCTCTCTGAAAATTATACATACAAAACCCCCAAACCGGGGACTGTATTGCATACTGAGCTAATTAAAATATGCTTTTAGTTCTATCAAATCCCTGAATGTCTCCTCTTCCTCATCATCACCACCACCACCATCACCACTGTTACGACCATCACCAACACCGTCATCACCAACACCACCACCACCACCATCAGCACCACCACCATGATCACCACCAGCATCATGATGACCACTACCATCATTGTTATCTCCACCATCATCACCAACTCCATCATCACCATCACCAATAGCACCATCATCATCACCACCATCACCACATATTCTTTTAATCAGAATACCAGGATTTACTCCAAAAATGAAAATGCAGTCTAAAAGGTTAAATTTCGTTAAAAAAAAAAAAAAAATCTGTGAAATGACCGAATTTTAAGAGCAGCCATTTTGAAATGAATGAAAACTCTGAAATGAACCAAGACATCACATACTTTATACCATTTCGGAGTTTGAAGTATTTCCATACACGTCGGCTTAGCTGACCCTTACAAACAATGTCAGTTTTACAGATGAAGAAACAGGCTCAGAGAGGCTAAGTGGCCAGGGTTTGTAACTAATAAACAGTAAGGAATGAACTGAAATCTGAGTTTTCAGAATATAATCTAGTGCTCTTCCCACCACAACATTCTATTATCAAATAATTTTTCCCCTAAAAAAAGCCTTAAAAAGAAAAAAGAAATGAAGCTCATGTATAACGTTAAATTCTCTTTTCTTCTGCTGTTAAGTGGTTTACAGTCTATAAATAGGTGTCTATAAAAATCTAAGCAACGTAACTGTCTTAAGTGATTAAATTAAAAAGGATTACATAATAGCATGGTTGAAAGAGAAAAGCTTTCCTTTGTCTTTAAATTCCAAAATGTTAGCATATAAAGATAAAATTTTCCTGGAAAATATTTAATGAAGAGCTTCCAAAAGCCATAGTAAGCAAAATTTTAATTAGGTATCAGATTTAATCAGATATGAAAGTGTGGACAAGATTTACTCAGAGGTGTGCAGAATGCTGTACTGGTACTAACACTGACAAATAGTAAATGTGTTCATTCTTTATCATCACAGTCCTTTTAACTGAAATAATATGTATTATAAAAACTAGTTCGCAATGCTTTCAACAGTTGATAGTATACGTTTACTAAGGCTTACTGATACCACAAATCCTTCGCTGCTTGGTTTTCAGGGGCAGGATAAATGCTACAACAGCCTTCAGCTTTTGAAAACCAAAGATGCCTCCCCCTCTACTGCATTTACTGGGTGTAAAGATCTCAGGGAGAAAGTACTTTGAATTCAAAATTCCATTGCTGGACAGACTCCCAAACATTTCATCTGTCAACTACTATAAATACAAGGAATTATGAAACGCAGAACACAGTACAAGATTTATTGGAAACACAAATAGTGTCCAAAAGAATAAGTTTGTTGCCTTGTGTTTTTCTTCAAAACGGCAGTAAAATGAGATTGCTTCCTCAAGGTTAAGAGTCTATTAAATAAAGAAGGAAACTGGGGGCAAAGGAGGCTTGCTTCCTAATTTGGGAAGGCCTGCCCGTGCCAGCCCAGCAGAGAGAAACCACAGTAGGGAAAGCCATGGGTAAGTCTCTGCTCCGTGCGGCAGATCTTTAGCAAGCAGCTCTTTTCCAAGACGCCATTTTATCCAATCTGAATTGCAGCCAAGAGCTTAGGGACGCCGGGCTACCACTCACACGCTGGAATGTTATGTCACAAACGGACTGGCGAGAAGCAGCCACTATTTGTTCCGTGTTTGTTCCGTTTCTCCTGCTCTACGAGGGGCTGACGGGTGAGGAAATACCTGCAGACGGTGCCGCCCAACCCTCCTAGGAGACGCCACCTCGCGTGCACAGCTGCCTCTACGCCTGCATCGAGGCTCGCCTGGCCTCTCGCTACAACATGTCGGCTGGGTACAGCGAGAGCCGCCTCCTGTAGAGCTGCCAGGGAGCTGCCAGGAAGCTCCCGGGGCCAGTCTGCGTCCGGGCCACCCGCGGGCGCCCGCGGCCGCAAGCCGGGCAGGGCTGGGCAATGCCCTTTCTACTCCAGGAGGCACCCGACTCATCCCCTTCAACTAGGGGCGGAGGCATGGACGGATGGGATTTTACAGCTTTGATTATCTAATTGCAGCTGACACTAAACCGATCTTCCTTCCTCTTTAAATTCTTTCGATTGTCACAAACATTTTCACTTCAGGACCCAGTTACAATTAGCATCACAGCCACTTTTCTTCTGTGTTTTTGAAAGTCAGCCAAAAGAATAACGGCATTTTGCCTATTGGCTGCAGGCGAATAAACTGCGGCTCTCTCATCCTGCCTTTGTTTTCCGCTCCTTCTTTCTCCCTTTTTCTAAACAACTCCTAAACATTTGGCATGCCAACACTAGCTGTAATATTCTAAATGAGCCCCATATGTAAACTGGCAAGTGTCCAGCTTCTTAATTACTTTCCTGCCTCTATCTAAAAAAGATCTAAGTAGCAAACACTGCCGTATATTAATCAAAGCCTCTGTTTATAAATGTACAAAGCAGCCACCAAAACAATACATTGTTCTGCCTTTGGCACAAGAACTTATTATTATTATTATTTTTTAAAGATAAAAGCTCTCAAGTGTTTCAAGCTGGAGCTATCCTGCAGACTTGCAAAACATAATCTGCACTGAACCTGACATGATCAGGTGGCATTCTTTGGAATCTCTGGAAATCACTGTACGTACTAATACTCATCTTCCCAGTTAAGATCTGTTGCTATTTGGCTAAATATACTCCCATCCAAATCAATACATGAATTTACAAATCTAGTTTCCCCTGTATTATTTTATGAGAAGGCCAATGTTTCATTTGCTGATAACAGTCTTTACCTAAAGAGAACCTGGAACCAGGGCTGGGAGGCACCCTGGCCTACCTGTCTTGCAGAAGCCCTTCCACCATTGGCAATAACTGACTATCTCTCCTTGGCTACTGCCAGTGAAGGGGGAAGGAATAAAAGTTCTTCCAGAAATCTGAAAACCCTGCCTACCACCCTACATTTCCGCCACTCTTGTTCCACCTCTGTCCTCTGGGGCTGCCTGGGGGCAGCGGGCTCTCAGGACAGCCCTTTGACAGCTGAAATGCCCACAGGCCCTCCTCCTCTCGGGCTTGTTGTAGGCTCCCCTCTGTTGTTCTCCCAGTCCTTAGTGGGCATTTCTAGGCCTTTATTGCCCTGTCTGCTCTGGATGCCCTTGTGTGCAAGCCTGTGTTTCCCACGAGGGATGGCAGCCACAGGATGCTGCCTGACAACAGCCACAGCATTAACCACTGGCAGGAGGGTCAGCTGGACGCTGGAAAGCTCCATTTAGAATTGTCAGCCCATTACAAAATTGGTTTCACTTGACTGAATTTCACTTCAACATCAGCATTATCGAATATTAAAAGCATCTAGGACTTATTTTTGCATGCAAGTATTAGAAGTCTTGGTTACCTTCTAAAATGGGATACTTGTTGACATCAATAACGCTACAAAACCAATGAAGCTTCTGCCCAATGCCCAGGCCAACGTGGGTGACGGCAAGAAGGTGACACCAAGAACAGAGGGGATGGCTGACCTGGTAAGAGGTAGGGAGTGGGGGGGGGGGGCAAGATTTGAAATTGCTGTTCTGTGGGGACCTGCAGCCTAGCAAAAGTTCAACTGGTTCTCAAACACAGGCTGCTCTTTATCATCACAGGATAAAGTGAGATTGCTGGTCACTGGAAGACTAATGCTATCTACACCTGTGCCTGTTCTGTAACGAATACAGTCAACTCTGTTTTTGTCCCTACTGCCTCTCGACACGTTCCAACTTGCCTGTTATTAATTCATGCCACTGGGCAGAGGACAAATGCAGAGCATTCAGTCGTCAGTAAAGAGCTGTGCTCTAGGTGTCTGCAGGATGTACTACGTCATATTACCCAACATTTTGATAAATCCTGCCACATGCCTCCTTACATTCCGACCAACAGCACACCAGCGTCGCCTTTTCCCACACTCTCGCTGGTCGCCTGCGGTGATTACAGGGTCTTGAGAAGATTAAATGAGTTAATATGTGTAAAGCAATTGGATCTTGCAAATGATAAGCACTCAATCCATAGTACTGTGTTATTACAATAGAGGAATATTAACAAGATTTAAAGTTTTGACAATTTGGTAAGTGAAAAGTGATCTATCAATGCTGTTTCCATTTATCTTTTCCCTGATTACAAGGAAATACTTTTTTTTTTTTTTTTTTTTGACACGGAGTCTCGCTCTGTCGCCCAGGCTGGAGTGCAGTGGCACCATCTCAGCTCACTGCAAGCTCCGCCTCCCGGGTTCACGGCATTCTCCTGCCTCAGCCTCCCGAGTAGCTGGGACTACAGGCGCCCGCCACCACGCCCGGCTAATTTTTTGTATTTTTTTTTTTAGTAGAGATGGGGTTTCACCGTGTTAGCCAGGATGGTCTCAATCTCCTGAACTCGTGATCCACCTGCCTCGGCCTCCCAAAGTGCTGGGATTACATGCGTGAGCCACCGCACCCAGCCACAAGGGAATACTTTCAACATACTTAGGACCCATTTGTGGTAGTTCTATGATCTTCCCGTTCACATTCTTTGCCCATTCTTCTATGGGACTGTTTTTCTTTTGATTTGTCGGAACACTTGGTATTTTTGAGATATTTATCTTTTGCTATTTACACTGTAAACATGTCCTCTCAGATTTTATTCATATTCATGTACAAAACTTTTAAATTTTTATACACTCAAACTTGTCAGTCTTTCTTTTCATGGCTTATGATTAAAATTTTATCCCAAGATTTAGAAAATACTCTCTTACGTCATCTTTCTGTAGTTCTTATATTTGTCTTGCATATGGCTTTCTAGCACTCGATATTGATCTGAACCACTATTTTCTCAGTGATCTGCAACTCTCCGTGTATACATCTGTTTTTCCCCCTGCTCTCTTTATATCATAGTTCCTGGATCTGTGTTTACTCCTGCCCTAGAAACACGCTGTTAAAATTACTAGAGGATCACAGCTCAAAGTGATAGCTCATTATGCTTTTTCAGTCTCTTGGCTCTTCTATTCACGTACATTCGCTCTTCTAGATGAAGTTTGGAATTAGTCTATCAAGTTCCAAAAGCAACTTGGAGGAAGAGCTTTAAATCTGAATTTAATTTGGCTCTATTACCAAAAGAAGCTTTTATGCTGGTTTATTACTATTACTTAGTAATACCAACAGCCAACTTCTGTAGCCTTACATCTTCCCACTGCCCCCCGCCACAATGAGCCTGCAGCGCTTACTGAGAGGCTTTACAACTGCGGGTCTGCGCTTTTCATGCATGCAGGTCACTCCATCTGCGACGCCCTTTCACCTTCTTTGCCCAGCACAGCTAACTTGAAACTCAGCTCATATCACCTCCACCAGAAAGGCTTCCTTGCAGTCCCCTATCCGTAGTCTGGGTTAGTTGTCCTTCCCATGTGGCACTCTATGCTTATCTCTGTTACAATACCTTGAAGTGGCTGACTTACTTATTGGTTATTCCAAAACACTTCACTCATGAATTGTCCATCCCCAGTGCAGGGTATGTGATGTTTGGTAGGCATTCAACAAATGTTCTGCTCAATGAACAAATGAAGACACACATGACAAAACCACCGTTCTGAAAGGCTAGCATCTTCTTCCCTTCTCAGAGCTGTGCAAGCCGAGTGTGGCACTGCTGCCTGAACATTCTCATATAGGAAGAAAAGGAAAAAGAGTGAAAAAGTGTGAAGCCAGTACACTAGTTTGTCTAAGAAATGGCAAAATGTGTGGTTGCAATTTTCTATAGAAGCAAGCTTGCAGATTAATGTAAATCAAAAGGTGAATTATGACAAAATGTTTTAAGAGTCAGATTAATCTACTATTTACATCTCGTTAGGAAGCATATTCTATATAAAGAAAAAGAATAATGAAATAAATAACTGTCAGACTAAGTCTCTTTCCATTCTTTCTTTCTTTCTTTTTTTTTTTTAATGGAATCTTGCTCTGTCACCCAGGCTGGAGTGCAGTGGTGTGATCTCAGCTCACTGCAACCTCTGCCTCCTGGATTCAAGTGATTCTCTTGCCTCAGCCTCCCGAGTAGCTGGGGTTACAGGCGCCTACCATCACACCCAGCTAATTTTTGTATTTTTAGTAGAGATGGGGTTTCGCTATGTTGGCCAGGCTGGTCTTAAACTCCTGACCTCAGGTGATCCACCTGCCTCGGCCTCTCAAACTGCTGGGATTACAGGTGTGAGCCAACGCGCCCGGCCTATGTAAGTCTCTTCTCTAATTTCGCCCGTTGCCTTGTACTGTAACAGTATATAAATATACATTTTATCTATTCTTACACAGCTAAAAACGCTACAAATTCCACTTTTAACTCTTTAAAAACTTTCCCATTTCTGCTCCTCTATTGTTTAATTTTATCTGTAAATCCTCTCTGTTTACTGGAATGGACACGTAAGTTTTCCATTAGCACAGTACAGGACTATAACACTTACTTCCATGGGAAAGCAGCAGGCAACTGGTCAAATACTCAGTTATGGGGAAACAAGGATGCCCACAAATCTCCACCGTGCAGCTTTTTAAAACTATGACAAAGGTGACTCAAACTCCGTCAATTCCTTCCACGAATACTTCACTTTCTTTAGTTTTCGCTAAGCACACTAAAACCTGGGGGGAGGGCACAAAGAGTTTACGTACTAAGACACCTGGGAAAAACACAGAAATTCGTGTGCGAAGCTGAAAGAACTCCAAGCTTCACTTTGCTCTTCATCAGAAATGGTGTACTGCTAAATTCCTAAGGACGCCTCCCTCAGCGGCCCCCTGCTTGGTTAATTCAGTCTTAGTTCTACGGACCCAGCATTTGTACTTCTTTTTAACTGAACCTTACAAGTTAGAGAAATGTAATCATGAATAAAACTCTGTTTTTTTGTTTTAATGTAGAAGTGACCGTAGGAGTCACTTCCACATTAAAGTGACAGATTAAAGTACAATGAAAATCTATGTATTACTTTTAAGAAAGTTGATAAGAGCTTTTATTTCAAACTGTATCTAAAAATACTTTCACTGCGACCAGAAATCTGGTTACTCCTCGGGAATACACCAATAGAATTTCACCTGGATGTGAATTCATTAAACAACTATAATATGAAAAAGAGAACTCTAGGAAGGACAAGTGAAACTTCAAAATATACACAAATCACAGAGTGATGAGAAAGCTTTACTGCACTGTTTTAGAATTTAGTCAGTCAAAAATTTTGACTATTTTTTTGAAACAGGTCTTGCTGTGTTGTCCATGCTGGTCTTGAATTCCTGGGCTCAAGCGATCCTTCTCCCTCAGCCTGTCAGGTAGCTGGGATTTGTGAACACTCTGCTTCACAATGGTGTTTCAAAGATGGGTACATATTTGTTGTATATTTCAAAGTCTCACCAGTCTCACACTAACAACTATCACCTGCATTACTCAACACCTACTATAAGCAAGACCTTGTGCTGCATATGAAATAAATAGCTCATCTTCAAAATTAGGAATCTCTTCATTTCAAAGATGAGTCAAAAGTACAGGGAGTGAAGGTGATTTGGTCAAGGTCACACAGGAGGTGGTGGGTCTGGAAAGTGGATTGGGCCTGTCTCTTGACCACTTTGCCATACTGCCTCCATGCTTGCTGATGCTCACCTACAATCCCTGTGCCAACACCGTAACAACATGGGACAGTGTTCCTGAAAGTCCTTCCACTGACAAAATCAAACAAAGTCATTGGAATGGTGTCTGAGTCAGAAATTTAAGGGAAAGGACCTTAGAGATCATGAGAGGTTCAAACCTCTCATTTTAGATGAGAAATGGAAGGACTAGTTGGTGGCATAACAAGTTCTAGTTTCCAAGTCCTCACCTATGGTTCAGAGATTTTCCCATTCTGCTTAGTCATAGAAAGCTCAGAGACGTTATTTATTTTTTCCTGTTGCCCAGGCTGGAATGCAGTGACTCGATCTTGGCTCACTGCATCCTCCACCTCCCAGACTCAAGCGATTGTCCCACCTCAGCCTCTTGAGTAGCTGGGACCACAGGCACATGCCACCATGTCTGGCTAATTTTTGTACTTTTTGCAGAAAGGGGGTTTTGCTGTGTCACCCAGGCTGGCCTCGAACTCCTGAGCTCAAGCAATTCACCCGCCCAGGGCTTCAAAGTGCTGGGATTACAGGCATCAGCCACCACGCCCGACCTCAAACATTTTCTTCATAGGATATTTCCAACTTAGTTTAAAGGCAAGACTCTTATGACCTAATCAGCAAAAAATATAGGATATACAGTATACAGTAAGTGCAAAGGTGTTATGTTACAAAGTGGGCATATTACACCTGTGAGAACAGAATGGAGACAGAGCTGCTTGGGGAAGCCTCACGGGTGCGGGGGGACAATGAACTGGAAGTAAAGTGGGGGTTGGGGGGGCAGCAATTAAGCATGTGTGCATGGGAGGGACTTGACAGTGAGCATGGCACACTTGTGAGACAGTAAGAAAGCAATCCCAATCATAATAGAAAGTAGGCCATGGAGGCTGGGGGGTGGTGGCTCACGCCTGGAATCACAGCACTTTGGGAGGCTGAGGCAGGCGGATCACCTGAGGTCAGGAGTTTGAGACCATCCTGACCAACATGGTGAAATGCCTTCTCTACTAAAAATACAAAATTAGTCAGGCATGGTGGTGGTCGCCTGTAATCCCAGCTACTCAGGAGGCTGAGGCAGGCAGGAGAATCACTTGAACCTGGGAGGCAGAGGTTGTGGTGAGCCAAAACTGTGCCATCGCATTTCAGCCTGGGCAACAAGAGAGAAACTCAGTCTCAAAAGAAAAGAAAAAAGTAGGCCATGGAGAGTAGGCGGGGAAAATGTTGGGGAGACTCGGCTATGAAGGGCCTTCACAGCCAGAGAGAAAAACGGAGAGTTTGTGCATTAGTAACTAGGTGACCACGGCAGGTTTGTGAGGGGACCCCTCGTCAGTGAAGGGTGGTGAGTTAGAAAGATGCATCTGGCTGTGATACCAGAGACTACTGAGGAAGAGATGAAATTGGTATAAAATGAAGATTTTTGTTTGGGAGTCAAGAATGAATTTCTTATTTTATGCTCACTACATAGATTGATCAATTTTTTGAGATGTTTTCAATCCATAAAATGATTTATGTTCTTCAATATGTGTGTGTGTTTATATGTATATTTATATATATACTCACACACCTTTTTTTTTTTGAAACGGAGTTTCACTCTTGTCACCCAGGCTGGAGTGCAATGGCGTGATCTCGGCTCGCCGCAACCTCCACGTCCCAGGTTCAAGCGATTCTCCTGCCTCAGCCTCCCGAGTAGCTGGGATTACAGGCATGTGCCAACATGCCCAGCTAATTTTGTATTTTTAGTACAGACTGGGTTTCTCCATGTTGGTCAGGCTGGTCTCGAACTCTCGACCTCAGGTGATCCGCCCACCTTGGCTTCCCAAAGTGCTGGGATTACAGGCGTGAGCCACTGTGCCCAGCCTACAATATATATTTTAGAAGGACTATGAACTAGGAGTATTTTCTTAGATAATGTTATATTTACAGAGATAAATATTTAATGAGGGAATATTATATCATAGCAAGATTTTATTGACTTAATTGCTTATTTTCTACTTATCTAAGAAGATACCAGTAACATTCTGCACCAGCAGCATTTGATGAGAAAACTGATGCAATACTGTCAACCAATCACATCACAACCAGATACAACCAGAACAGGCAGGGCTGTTACATTTCTTATTCAGTTTTTCAAAATAAGACCCTTAAATTAAAACACCAAGCTATTTAGGTCTAACTATAGAATCCTTGTCTCTGTTAAGATTTTCCCAAGGACCATATTGGGAAAGTAGCATGTTTGATTGTAAACTGCTGGCAACTAAATAGATGAGACTATATTCTTGGTCAGTGAATATATTTTATCTTTTCTGCCTTGCTTTTTGGTGACAATCATTGACCTACATCCCCTCTACCAAGTGGTTAGCAGACGAAAGCCAAGACTATTTGAAGAGACTTGGTAAAGTTGTCTAAAAATATTAGTTCTGACTATACTACAAAGTCACAGTTTTGAAAAACATTGCTATAAATACTTCTACGTCATGCTAGAATTATTACCCATATTAAAAAGCAGCACATGAAAGAAAACAAGAATATGACTTGTGCCATGTTTCTTTTAAATTCCAATCTAAGAAGCCTCCTTGCACATCTAATTACAGACCTTAATTTCACAACTATGAGCAGATAAGTTTCCATTCCAGAAACAGCACCAATTATTAGTTGTTACTTGAAACCGAAAAATTGAAGAATCTAACAGAGAACATGGCAGTTGACCACAAATACTTTGTTCTCTTCCAAAAATTCCTTAAAACTACAGTACATGAATTTTTCAAAAGTACAAATCCATCAAGTCAAGGAGATTGGAAAAGAAGCTGACAGGAAATGAGAGACATCTGCATTTTGGCAGCTGGAAAGCAAATAAACAAGTGGTGATTTTTCTTAGGAGCCAAAAGAAAGCTAACAACTAGTTACAGGCAAGGAAGCAACAAGAAGCAGGGCTTAGGATGAGGAGGTATCAGATAGGCTTGGCTCAATGTGTATGACTAAGTTACAGTTAGAAACGCCTAGTGGAAGGATCTGTACCTCCCTGCAAAAAATGCTTGTGTGCACTCATAAGACAGACTAGGAAATTGAGAGAAAAGGGTTTTACTGAAAAGTTTTCACTTCTGGGTTCTAAAGTAACTGCCTTGATGGGTTCGTATGGACCAATGTACAGACCTTTAGTTTCTGATGAAAAATAAGCTCAGCTGAAGTAGCTCATGCCATCTGCAAACTCATGACCAATAATGTAAATAAATAGAGGGAAAACACAATTAAATTTTAAAACCCACTTAAAATGAAATGAATTTGTCTGTCTCTGTGTATGTTGTGAGTATGGACCAAAATATGTCTATTTCTATTGCTCAGCAGCAAAGTTGAAAATAGCAAAGTTTTCAGATCAAAACAATGTCTCATCCTATGTGGTTTTTACCTGGTTGGAGCTTACTGGGATGATGCTGTGTTCCGGCTCCAGGTAGGGGAGGTGGGCTTACCCCTGCAGGCCCAGCACCCTGGGTTGGGCTCACACTGGTTAGAGTCCCCGTAGGCAATGGCTGGCCTCTCTTTAATAGCTGCTTCTGTTCTTGCTGGCGGAAGCGTGGAGGCACCTCACGAGGCAGGTAACGGGATGCAGCTGGCTGCTGGCCACTGGCAGATGCACGTTTGCCATTGTTGCTGCTTGAGATAGTGCTGGTGGAAGTACTGGTACTGGTACCGGCAGGTTGGGGCTGGCTTGAACAGGTCTTAGTAGGTTCTGGCACTAAAATGAATGAAAGGCAAAAGAACCCAAAACTTTAGCTAGACCCCTTTAAAACCCAACCCAAACCAAGGAAACCATAACCAAAAACTGAGAAAAAATGACAATGTAGTGCTTTGGAAACAGAACTGGACTAAAGTCTAGAGTTCCAAGTTTGAGACCTAGTTTTGCTACACACAAACTAATCTTGAGAGTCTGAGCCAGCTATTCCTGGGCCTTGGATTCCTCATCTGTAAAATCAAGGTGATACATTAAGACTGGAGCAGCAGTTCTCACCCTTGGTTTGCATCACAATCACCTAGAGGGCTTATCAGAGCCCAGACACCTGGTGCCAACCTCCAGACTTTCTGATTCAGTGTCAAAAAGCAAGGAGAAACTGGGAATATGCATTTCTTTCTTTCTTTTTTTTTTTAAGTGTGAGACAGTGTCTCACTCTGTCACCCAGGCTGGAGGGCAGTATGGCACCATCTTAGCTCACTGCAACCTCCACCTCCCGGATTCAAGTGATCTTCCTGCCTCAGCCTCCAGAGTAGCTGGGATTACAGGCGCAGGCCACCAAGCCCAGATACTTTTTATATTTTTAGTAGAGATGGGGTTTCACCATGTTGGCCAGGCTGGTCTCGAACTCCTGACCTCAAGTGATCCGCTCGCCTCAGCCTCCTAAAGTGCTGGGATTACGGGTGTGAGCCACCATGCCCGGCCGGAATTTGCATTTCTAACAATTACTGGGACAATGTTGATGCTGCTGGTTCCAGCACCTCTCTATGAGAACCACTGCTCTTGTTCAATATTTATAAAACGAAGGAATCTTTAGGTGTCCATGAATTTATATGTATTTTTGTTTTAATTCTGATGATAATGTATAAAACATATATTGGTGCATTCTGGGTTATCTGAATAATTAAAGCTAAATAATGACGTTTGAGTCAACAACTGACTCATATATGACAGTGGTTCCGTAAGATTATAATGGAATTGAAAAATTCCTATCGTCTGGTGACACAGCCGTTGCAATGTCACAACACATTACTCACGTGTTTGTGGTGATGCTGGTGGTAACAAACCTACCATCCTGCCAGTCACATAAAAAGTCTAGGGAGGCCACGGTGGGCGGATCACCTGAGGTCAAGAGTTCGAGACCAGCCTGGCCAAAATGGTGAAACCCTGTCTCTACTACACACACACACACACACGCACACACACAAGCCAGGTGTGGTGGCAGGTACGGGTAATCCCAGCTATTCAGGAGGCTGAGGCAGGAGAATTGCTTGAACCCGGGAGGTGGAGGTTGCAGTGAGCCGAGACTGTGCCACTGCACTCCAGGCTGGGTGACAGAGCGAGACTCCGTCTCCAAAAACAAAAAAAAAAGTCTAGCACATACATTATGTACAGTAGTAATTATGTACAGTAGTACATAATGGTTCATAATAACTATATTACTGGTTTATGTATTTACTATGCTTTTTATCATTATTTTAGAGTGTATTGCTTCTACATAAAAAAAAGCCAAAAACAACAGTTAACTGTAAAACAGCCTAAGGCAGGTCCTTCAGGAGATATCCAGAAGTCATTGTTATCACAGGAGATGAAACCTCCATGCATGTTATCTTCCAGTGGGACAAGATGTGGAGGTGGAAGATAGTGATACTGATGATCCTGACCTCGTGTAGGCCTTGGCTTATGTGTGTGTGTGTGTGTGTGTGTGTGTGTCTAGGTTTTTAATAAGTTTAAAAGTTAAAAAAAAAATTAAACACAGAAAAGAGCTTACAGAATAAGGATATAAAGAAAGAAAAATATTTTTTGTACAGCTGTGCAATGTGTCTTTTAAGCTAAGTGTTATTATGAAAGAGTGAAAACTCTTAAAAAAATTAAAAAGCTTTATTACTGAAAAAAAATTTTTTTAAGTAAGTTTAGTGTGGCCTAAGTGTATAGTCATGTCCTAGGCCTTCACATTCACTCACCACTCACTGACTCCTCAGAGCAACTTCCAGTCCTGCAAGCTCCATTCATAGTTAAGTGCCCTATACAGGTGTACCTTTTAAAAATTCTTTATAGCGTATTTTTCTTGTCCCTTTCCTATGTTTAGATAACATAAATACTTACCATTGTGTTGCAACTGCCTACAGTATTCAGTATAGTAACATGCTGTAGAGGCTTGCAGCCTAGGAGCAAAAGGTTCTATCACATGGCATAGGTGAGTAGCAACCTGTACCATCTGGGTTTGCACAATGACAAAACAGCCTAACGGTGCATTTTTCAGAACGTATCTCTCTGTCAAGCAAGGTATGATCGTACTACTGAATTTTAGTGTCAGCAACTGTGGTTTGGCGTCTGTAGCACTGCCACACTCTGCCAGATTTACTGGGAAAGAATGCAGTTGGGCCTACTGTGCGAATAATGAATTTGCATTAAGTGAAGGTCTAAAATCATATTAGAGTAAGTTGCATAAACAAAGATCTCATAGTAATTTAAATTTTAAAAAAGGAGCAGAAGAGTTGGGTGATAACCTAATAATAGGGTTTACTAATTAGCATGCCGAATGCAAACAGTGATTCGAGTAGTAATTCTGCACGCCGACATGTAAAGTGCAAGAGTCGGCGCCTCAATAGTCAGTCCCACCTCATCTTGTACACAAAACATCATTATCCAGGACATTACATCTATTTTGTTATTTGAAAACATTTTTGGTTTTCTACTCAATTTGTAAACATCACTGGTTTGATAGCTGAGAAACAGCTATGTACAAAATGAGTTTATGCCTAGTTCTGTACATACCTTTTATGTAGAAGAAACATTAAAAAATATTTTAAGTCAACATTGGGGGGTGGTTCATGATACGGTACTGTTTCCCTTTACATTGTCAGCTCCAGTCTACCTGCAGTTTTTGTCTCTCAACATGGACTTGGCCATCTACCATGTGAACGCTACATTGTCCACACTACCAGTATCCTCCAGGTCTTTGCCTCACTGTCTATCTGTCACTAGTGCCTGGCAAGTCCTTAGTCCTGGATGAACCCACTGTCTACTCTCCCTACTTCCTGACTCAGGTTGCTAAGTATCTCTCAAGAAAATCATGTGACATGCAGTTTGGTACTGCTACGAATGCATGGTCCTGGCCTCAGAACGCCCTCACTGCTTCCTGTCAATCCTGCAACTTCCTGGGTCTGCCTTGTTCCAGTGGTGTCAACAATTCATTTAGAGATCTTCCACTCCTGAGCTCCTAATCCCTCTACCTCCTTGTTCCCACTTCTCCCCATCCCCAGAAAATGAACTTGACTACTCTGCAGAAGAAATAAAAGCCATCAAGTAAAAACTCCAAGTTTCAGCGGGGGGCGATGGCTCACGCCTGTAATCCCAGCACTTTGGGAGGCCGAGGCGGGCAGATCACAAGGTCAGATCGAGACCATCCTGACTAACACGGTGAAACCCTGTCTCTACTAAAAATACAAAAAAAAATTAGCCGGGCATGGTGGCGGGCGCCTGCAGTCCCAGCTACTCGGGAGGCTGAGGCAGGAGAATGGCGTGAACCCGGGAGGTGGAGCTTGCAATGAGCGGAGATCGCACCACTGCACTCCAGCCTGGGCGAGACTCCATCTCAAAAAAAAAAAAAAAAAACCTCCAAGTTTCTGTCACTACAGATATATGAGTGTCACCCTGTTCTTTGTCCCACATCTGTTATTCCTATCTAAGGCTAATACTGTATTCCATCAACTCAAAGACGCACATCCCTTCACAGGTTACCATCACTTACATTGGGATGTGTCTTATGATGCCATGTCAGTGCACAGGCAGCATATTTTCCTTTCTTAATGGTATGTGCAATACCGATATGTCTCACAATCAATGGGGTCAGAGAGGCAATGCAAGGGGGCACCCTCCAAACCTCTGGATCCTATCTTAGGGACTTTGCGTGTCCTGGGTCTTCAACTCACAACTCTCTCCAAAGTAGATATGAAGGCCCAAAACATAAGATTGGGTCTTGGATCAATTCCTTGCTTTACAAGTATTTCTCTGTTTTTTTTCTAGCCAGAGTTTCCATATGATGGAACTGAATATAAAAAAGAAGAGGGTTGCGGTGTTTGTGTGCAGAGTGAAAGACATTGCATTTCCAACCTCTAACGGGCCCAGGGACTGTCTGGCTACTGTAATTAGCTCCTTCTCATCATCACTTGAACATGTTCAAATATTTAATCTCTTCACAAATGGCAACAATCACCTCTCCTGGACTCCACATTCTCCTCCAGCTCCTCCCACTCTCTCCTCTCCTCCTGCCAAACCTTCATGGAAACTGACTAGCCAAGGCCATAATTTCTTTCTTGCTGCTAAAATCCAAGGCCCTGTTATCTTTTGACCCCTCAGTCTTTGGACCAAAAGACCCCTCAGGTTGTCTTTATCAGCGACGGCCACTCCTGCCTTCTTCTCTATGCCACTATTTCCCATCCCCCTTGGCAGGTTTCCTGTTCTTTTATGGCTTTGTTGTCCACTCTTTTATACTTGATACACTTCAAAATCAACATGTCCCATATACTCATCAGCTTTCTCGCCTCGCCCTTCTGAGTATTTCAATCTCTCCTACATCTAATCAATCACCAAACCTTGTCATTTCTATTAATAGCTCCTACATGCCCTCCACCCTCAAATATCCCTCAATTTCACCCATCTATTTTCATTCCAACGGTCACCATTGGAACCTGGGCACCCTCATCTCTTAGCTGGAGTACTGTAAGAGACTCTCTCTAATCCATCATCTATACTGCAGCCAGTGTGATCCTTCTGAAATGCAGATCTCCTCCCTGGTTTAAAACTCTGAGGTCTTGTAACGCTCTCAGAATAAAATCCAAACTCTCTGCAAGGTCCACGTGGTCCTGAGCAGTAAGACTCCCAGTTCCCCAGACTTAGCTTTGAGGTTCAGCAAGTGCTAAACTCCCCTGTGAGCTGCTTGCTTCTTCATCTAACCACCACATTTCATCAATTCTAGGGCACATTTCCAAATATTTCAACATTTCTGAAACTGGGATGCATATTATAACTGACAATGAATATATCAGTTTAACTGGCAATTTTTTTCTTAGTGGTACATAAAATAGTGCATAATGCAATTGATAATGTCAGAGTCAAAAAACATGGTAATTCCCAGCTATTCTTTAAATATCAGACTAAATGTCACCTCCTCACCTAAGCCAGTCTAGGTGCTTCTGACTGAACATCCACAGTACCCGGTATTTGGCACAGCACTCAGCATTGTGTATGTTATTTTTTAAAATGACTGTCTTCTTCTCTAGGCTGTAAATTATGGCAGCATAGTGTTTGACAACAGTGAGTGCTAAATAAATGTTGAAGGAGTGATTGTTTTTCTCAAACATATAAAGTTTAAAAAATGCAGAGACAGCAACATCATGTAAAAAAATTAGTTGATGAAATAAAAAAATACTAAGGCTAGAGACCTCAAAAACTTGGATTCACTTCCACTAATAATATATATGATCTGGATTAAGTAATTTTCATATCCCTAGACCTCAGTTTTCTCATCTGGAAATGAAAGGTTTAGACTAGCTGACACTCTAAGGCTCCTTCTAATTCTGAAAGCCTATGGTTGAAGTGAAGCCCAGAGAACATGACATGCAGTTTTAATTCTGTGATGGCTAGCATTCCAGAGTCCACGGATTTCCTCTTCCCTATGTCCAGCCTGTCTCTGCTCCTATTTCCCTGGCCTTGATATAGACATGAAATACTTTTTTGTGATTACTTAAGATTTTAAAGTTCTTTACCTTTATACAGAATGAACATCCATTATATCTTTTAAAGAAAGGTGCAGAACCTATTTGTTACAAGTTGAAGTTGATTCTTAAATATAAATATATATATATTTTCCTGATAATGACCTTCAGCTAATTATAATAACAGAAAAGCTAATAGGTATTTACCCAAATGAGTTGAAAACTTTACGTTCATACAAAAACCTGCACACAAATGTTTATAGCAGCTTTATTCATAATTGTCAAAAACTGGAAGCAACCAAGATGTTTTTCAGTACGTGAATGGATAAACTGGTGCATTCAGACAATGGAACATTACGTGATTTAAAAAAATTAGTTATCAAGTCATGAAAACATAGAGGAACTATAAATGCATACTGTTAAGTGAAAGAAGCCAATCAGGAAAGTACAGTATGTAGAAAATCCACAGTATGTAGATACTGTCTGATTCCAACTACGTGACATTTTGGAGAAGGCAAAACTACAGGGATGGTGAAAAGATCAGCGGTTGCCAGGGGAGTGGGGGATGACTATGCGGAGCACAGGGGATTTTTAGGGCAGGGAAACTGCTATGACAGATACACAATACTGTGCATGTCAAAACCCATAGATATATAACACAAAGAGTGAACCCTAATGTAAACTGTGGCATTTAGTTAATAATAATGTATTGGCCGGGCGCGGTGACTCATGCCTGTAATCCCAGCACTTCGGGAGGCTGCGGTGGGTGGATCACCTGTCAGGAGTTTGAGATCACACTGGCTAACATGGTGAAACCCCGTCTCTATTAAAAATACAAAAATTAGCTGGGCGTCATGGCGCACACCTGTAATCCCAGCTACTCGGGAGGCTGAGGCAGGAGAGTTGCTTGAACCTGGAGGCAGAGGCTGCAGTGAGCTGAGATCGCACCATTGCACTCCAGCCTGGGCAACAGAGCAAGACTCTGTCCTAAAAAAAAAAAAGTATCAATACTAGAACATCAGTTGTATCAAATGTTCCACACAAATATGGGAAACTAGTGGTGGTGAGGAGAGGGAATACATGGGAACTTTATACTTTCAGCTCGATTGTTTTGTAAACTTAAAACTGCTCTAAATAGGCCAGGCGCGGTGGCTCACGCCTGTAATCCCAGCACTTTGGGAGGCCAAAGTGGGCAGATCACAAGGTCAGGAGATTGAGACCATCCTGGCTAACATGGTGAAACCCCGTCTCTACTAAAATACAAAAAATTAGCCGGGCGTGGTGGCAGGTACCTGTAGTCCCAGCTACTTGGGGGACTGAGGCAGGAGAATGGCGTGAACCTGGGAGGCGAAGCTTGCAGTGAGCCAAGATCGGGCCACTGCACTCCAGCCTGGGAGACAGAGAGAGACTCCATCTCCAAAAAAACAAACAAACAAACAAAAAAACCAAAAAAAACTGCTCTAAATAATACAGCCTATTAATAAAAAATGGAAATACAACCCACAACAGAGAAGAAAACTTGCTGTCTCTTTCACAATAGCAAACTTTCCAAATAAAACTGAGAGCACAATACATAGACACTTGTCTGGTAAACTTAGAACCACTCAATGTGTTTTAAAATTACAATTAGCATACTAACAATTATTTTTTCACACACTTTAATGTATCTGCCTCAAAAGGTTTTTTTGTTTTTGCTTTTTTTTGAGACGGTGTTTTTTTTGCTCTTGATGCTCAGGCTGGAGTGCAATGGCACAATCTCTGCCTCCTGGGTTCAAGTGATTCTCCTGCCTCAGCCTCCCAAGTAGCTGGGATTACAGGTGCCCGCCACCATGCCTGGCTAATTTTTGTATTTTTAGTAGAGATGGGGTTTCACCATGTCGGCCAGGCTGGTCTTGAACTTCTGACCATAGGTGATCCACCCACCCTGGCCTTTCAAAGTGCTGGGATTACAGGCATGAGCCACAGTGCCCGGCCAGGCTTTTTTGTTTGTTTTTTGAGACAGGGTCTCACTTCCGTTGCCCAAGCTGAAGTGTAGTGGCATGATCACAGCTCACTGTAGCCTTGGCTTTCCGGGCTCAGGTGATCCTCCCACCTCAGCCTCCCAAGTGGCTAGGACGACAGATGTGTATCACCATGCCCAGCTAATTTTTTGTATCTTTAGTAGAGATGGGTTTTTGACATGTTTCCCAGGCTGGTCTTGAACCCCTGGACTCAAGCAGTCTATCCACCTCAGCCTCTCAAGTGCTGGGATTACAGGCATGAGCCACTGTGCCCAGCTCAAAAGTTTTATTCTAGACTCAACAAGTGCTTCTTGGGAAGCTAGGAATATTGGTTCTTTTACTACAAAATTCAAAAGCAGTAGCAGCAGAAGAGGAGGAGGAGGAGGAGCAGGAGAAGGAAGGAATAAAAAAAGAGAACTATTAGCAAGCTACAGAAATTTTTGTGATGAAAAACCCAGTTTCTCTTTTGTAAATAACTGACACTGGATGGCTAGCTACTATAAAAGTCAAAGTACAGTCATCCTTCAGTATCCAAGAGGGACTGGTTCCAGAAACCCCCTTGGATGCCAAAATCCACAGATGCTCAAGTCCCTGTTATAAAACAGGTTATTATTTGCGTATAACCTACGCATATCCTCCCGCATACGTTATGTTGTTAATTTTTAATTTTTTTTTTAGAGACGGAGTCTCACTGTGTTGCCCAGGGTGGGCTGGACTTGAATTCCTGAGCTTAAGTGTTCCTCCCACCTCAGCCTCCCAAATAGCTGGGACAATAGGTGCATACCACCATGCCCAGCTCTCCTATATATTTAAATAATCTCTAGATTACTTATAATACCTAATGTAATTTACATGCTATATAAATAGCTGTTATACTGTATTGTTTATGGAATAATAAGAAAAAAAGGTCTGCACATGTACAGTACATGCACTGCATCAGTACAGATGCAACTGTCCATTTATATTTCAAATATTTTTGATTGACAGTTAGTTAAATCCATGGATGCAGAAGCCACAGATAAGGAGTGCCAACTACACTTGTACTTCTACTTGTCATTTTGCCTTTTAAAAGACTCGAAATGAAGAAAATGCACCAGAACTCAAAACCTGATGGAAACAATTAGGCAAGGACTCAGAAGCAAAGAATTTGAGCTGACAGGAACCTTAGAAATCATCCAGTCCCACCCTCATCTGCACAGACTCAGGCAACCGAGATGATATGGCTGAGATGACTGACCCAGCTACCACTGGGACTAGAACTCACATCTCTGACCATGCTTTTCCACCATGCTGCTGTTAATCTTTCTTAAATGACTGAAGGACAAATTCAGGGTTGTTTTTCTTCAAAACCTTCAGAGGAAAAGGAGTTCATGCTACAGAAAGGAAGAAGTAAGCAAATCATAGATGAATGTTATCAGTCCATTTTTCAATATAAACCACCAAATTCTAAGACATTTGGATATGGAATATGGTTTCCTGTGTGCTACCTGCCTGATGCATTATGTGTAGTCAATCTTATATCTAAGACAGACTCATTTTTAAAGAGTCAAAGTATTCCTAACCAGTCTTCCCTTTCCACCTTGAATAACTGTTATGTGAGTAGGGCAGGACTGGCAGGTGAAGTAAGAATGCCCCTTACATTTTTAAAGGATGGGGGAAAAACTCAAAGACAAATATATGACAGAGACCATATATGGCCAGCAAAGTCTAAAATTCTGGGAATGACCTTGGTGAGAGTCTCACTGCCTCTGGGCATCTTTTTGGCCCAAAGGCTAGACCTACAGGAAAAGAGCCAGATACTAATAGAGTTCCAACTACTTGTAATATTAGACTATCAGACATAGAAACCTTCCAGAGGAAAAATCCTGGTAATATATCCCAAAGTCTTATGTAGGTATTGTTTTATTTTAATTAAAAAATTATAAATAAATAGACCAGGCATGGTGGCTCACACCTTTAATCCCAGCACTTTGGGAGGCCGAGGCAGGCAGATCACCTGAAGTCAGGAGTTCAAGACCAGCTTGGCCAACATGGTGAAACCCCATCTCTACTAAAAATACCAAAATTAGCTGGGCATGGTGGCATACCCCTGTAATTCCAGCTACTTGGGAGGCTGAGGCAGAATAATGACTTGAGCCAGGGAGGCAGAGGTTGCAGTGAGCCGAGACTGCGCCATCGCACTCCAGCCTGGGTGACAGAGTGAGACTCTATCTCAAGAAAATAAAAATAAAAAAATAAATAACCTATTCCATGTCTCCTCTCCATAATCTTTTTTATGATTACTGAATGAAAAGTTAAAATGATGCTATTTATCAAGAAGAAACAGGAACATATTAAGTATGGAGAAATGAAATCACTCTCTTAGAAACGCAGGTGCTTTTACTTTATAACAGCCTTGAGCTATGAGCACAACAGGACCAGTGAACGAGCACAAGCACATCAGGCTTGTCTGAATGCGTGGCCCACGCCCCTCCTGTGCCCCTCAGAGACGCCTTTGTGCTCTGCTGGCCCTCTCACTGCTAATGGACTTCAAGTCTTTGTACTCATTCTCCAGCCCTGGACTCTCTGGAGAGGTTGTCCATGCTCACCATTCTGACCATCATTTCTGTGCTACTGATGCCTGAGTACTGTCCCAGTGTTGCCCTCGAGCTCCAAGTCCAGCCTCCTTCTTCAGCTACCTACTGGACAGTGCTGCCTGAAGGAAGCTTTCTTTCCTACTAAACACATCCAAAAGTCAAACAAGAATTTCCTGGTCTGAGTCCAGGACTGTGTTGGTTGCCGTAGGAAGGCACTGGAGCACTTAGGTTTCTCACTTAAGTGAATCAA
This sequence comes from Homo sapiens, assembly GCF_000001405.40. Classification (NCBI taxonomy): domain Eukaryota; kingdom Metazoa; phylum Chordata; class Mammalia; order Primates; family Hominidae; genus Homo; species Homo sapiens. The sequence continues at coordinate 78,020,975 of NC_000017.11, read as the reverse complement.
CAATGAACTGGGGAAATAAAGAAGACACACAGAGTATTTAAAGCTTGTGCAATTGACTGGAAATCTCAGACAAGTGTAGAGGGGAAGGATGACCATGTGCTGCCCAGTACAGCAGCCACTGGCCAAGTGTGGCTATTGAGCCTTGAGGTCTAAATTGAGATGTACTTAGTATTAAAACATATACTGGATTCTAAAGACTTAGCACCAAAAAAAAGAGAAATACCTCATTAACAATTTTTCTGTTGCTTTCACATTGAAATGGCGATATTTTGGATATATCAAGTTAAACATTATTAAAAGTAATTCCGCCTGTTACTTTTTAGATGATGCAACTAGCCTATTTAAAATGATTCATGTGGCTCACATTTGTGGCTTCCATTATTTCTTTTGAATGGTGCTGGTCTAGAAATGGCATTGTATTATTGGAAAGGATAAAGTTTAAGCTAGTTTCTCAGAAACCGCTAAATAATTACCTGTTTTCATAAAGACTGAAAGTGAAACAGAGATTGAGAAACTACAAGTTGTGACAGATCACAAGCTTTTTCAGGTGGGAGAATTTCCCTTACAACTATTTACTCTACACTAAAGTACTAGCACATTATTTTACAAACAGAAAAAAATGCCACAAAGCATGTATTCAATTAATAAAAAGACCAAGGGTCCCGGAGTATAATGCAAGCATGGCACACTCAGTTTACCCACGTACTTGTTCTCACAGTGATATTTCCAGCTTGCAATGCTAATGCTATGGCTGGTAGTCTACAGGTCATCCTGGACCCTAAGAAAAGGGAAGAGAAGCCTCACTCAGCAAAGCAACAGACAGAGGAATGCGGAATTCTGACCCAGTTGAGCTGTACACCTCTGGGTCTCTTTTATATTATGCAGTGATAAACCTTCTGACTTAAGCCAGTAATTTTTGGATCTTTGAATCAAGCAGCCACTTAATAATCTGAAGGGATAAGTGGAAGATCTCAAAATCTGGATCTATTCTTGTAACACAGATAAATTAAATGGGCATTTTCTTTTTTTGTCTAGCCATAAACTCTTTTCAGATCCTCACTTATGGGTCTATTACTGTCTAAAAAACCAGGGCATCAAAGCAATCTTGACATTCCCCTTCTTCAAAAAGACCTGACTCTAGGGCCATACCTCACAGATAAGGACTCACATGGGAACCTACCCTTTTGCATATCAGCATTTTCATGCAGCAGGAGAATACAGGAAGGCAATGGGAACTTTAGTTTCTTTATGATTTTTCAACAAATCATTTGTTTTATTTAAGAAATATTAAGATAGCAACCATTTAATAACTACATATATAATTTTAAAAAACTTTCAGCAAGATGGAAATTTTGGTTACTCTTTGCCTAGTAAGCTTTTGCCTTTTGTTTTTTAAATGAGGGTGACATCTGCTGGTGAAAAGGTAGATGGTAACTCTTTATATAAGAAAGCAACAGTCTTTTAAAACAATTTTCTTTCCAAGGATTTTCTGCTTTCAGCTAAAATTTTCAGGTAGTGTTGTCATAACAGGGCCAAATAGAGAGATTCCCACATTTTGCTTTTTCTAAAATGACAGGCTACAGTATGGACACAAAGTTCAGGCTGCTGTCCCTTCAGACTTTGGAGAACTTGATTTTGAAAGAGCTCCTTTTCAGACTTTTCTACTACATTGTCATCTCTAAGATACCAAGACAGAAGGAACTTGCCTTGCTGACCCAGCCTCGTTAGCCTCCAGTCTACCCTTGCTAGGGTCTGAGCCTTTTCAAGTCCTGGCTGCAACCCCATTCTCTCTGCTTCTTTCCTAGCCATTTTAGTTGGCTTGAGTCTCATCATGCTCAGTCACTTCAATATCGTCATCTGTAACAGCCGAGGCCCCCGACCTTCCTTCCTTTCACTATGCTTGCTATCCATACTTCTGTATCATCCCAACCTTCAGTCATTTCCAGACCGCCTGACACTGCCACATGTAGTCTCAGAAACAGCAATGAGCTCTGTTACCTACTAACACTAGCATAAGCACCTGCTGCCACCAAGAATTCCTCTTACTAACCTAACATGGACTGCCAAAACCCCCCTCTTGTAACTGCTTAAAACTTTTCCTGCACTCTGGAATCCTGATGCCATCCAGCTTCTCTCAATCTATGGCCTGGATTTCTAGTTTATAGAGACAGTACTCACTCATTCAATAAATACAGAGGTTTTCTACAGCTCAGCCTCCTCTAGGCTGGGGCTGTATCAAGGAACAAAAGAGAGATCCCTGGCCCTGTGGAGCTCACATCTTAGTAGAGAAAAAGGATCAATAATAAACTTGATGTGTAAGTAAGATACATGGTTCACCAGGTGTAAAGTGCTGCAAAAAAAGGAAAGCACGGTAAATAAGGGCTCAAACTCGTTGTTTTCCCATGCAATCTGCCTACCATTTGCTCCACCCCCCCAAACATGTCAATATCCCCACCTATCCTCTCCTTATTTAGAAAATATTTAATGGGTTCCTATTCTGTGCCAGGCACTGTGAATACTGAGTATTATATAAAAAAACATGGTTCCGGCTGGGCATGGTGGCTCACGCCTATAATCCCAGCACTTTGGGAGGCCGAGGCGGGGCGGATCACGAGGTCAGGAGTTCGAGACCAGCCTGGCCAATATGGTGAAACCCCATCTCCACTCAAAAAAATACAAAAGTTAGACGGGCGTGGTGATGCACACCTGTAGTCCCAGCTACTCTGGAGGCTAAGGCAGAAGAATCACTTGAGCCCGGGAGGTGGAGGTTGCAGTGAGCCGAGACTGCGCCACTGCACTCCAGCCTGGCGACAGAGCAAGACTCCATCTCAAAAAAACCAAAAAAACAAAACAAAAACCAAAAACCAAAAACCATATATATACACACATATGGTTCCTGTCTTTATAGTTTATCATATAGTAGAAGAGACATTATCTTTAAAATGATTTCACAAATAGAAAATTACACATTGTTGTAAGCATGATAAAAGGAACAGTGGGACAAGATAACCTAATTTAGGGATTCAGAAAGCTCCTTTGAGAAAGTGACAATTAAGCAGAGCCTGAAAAAGTATGTCAGGGTTAGCGAGGTAGAGTATGTCTGTGTGTATGTGTGCGCACCTCGTACCTACAAACTCACTCCCACCAGCCTAGACAGTGCATGGGAAGGCCCTGAAATGGAAAAGAGCTTCTCGCCTTCGGGGGCTGAAGCCTAGCAGGGTTGTTTCACAGGAGGCTGGAGAGGTAGGCAGAGACCCTGGAAGGATTTTGGATTGTATCACTTGACCTATAGCTGGGAGAGCACTGGGTGGTTCCATGGATGGATACTCCTCAGTGTTCCTGCCTGGCTGCCACACTAGGAGAAGCCTGGAGCCTCCAGTTTCAGAGAGAAACTCTAGAGACAGGTTGCTACAATTGTTAACCCATGGTGAGCTGAACAGCTGTGCAGTCATGGGTTACCTAAGCTCAACAAGCACTTCAAGCTGTTGAGGTCTCTGAGACCCTGTGCAGACTCTAGAGCCATGTGGTTGGGAGAGGAGGCAGCGGTGCCCTCCTTGTTCAGCTCCGCCACCTGAGCAGGAATGCAACATGGGAAAAGAAGTTCCCTATGATCCACCTTACATTCCTCACCCTGGTCTGAACAGAGCAGGAGAGCAGGAGTGGGAGCACGCTGAGGTGCTTCTATCTTATTCAATCACCCAAGTCATAACTACCAACACAGTCTTTTCTTTAAAAATTTATTTAGAAATATTTAAGACATTTTTAAAAAGGCATAAAGACCAAATAATCAACAAATCTCCATGGAGCCAATCTCCAGCTTAAGAAATAAAATGTCCCCATTCCACCAAAGCCCCACCTATCTTTCCCTCCCTGACTGTATACTCCACCTTCCCCCAGCAAAGATCATCACCATTCAGAACTGGGGGTTTATCAGTTCCATACACTTCTCCTGAGAGGGAGTGCAGTAGCTACAAGTATGGCCTTGGGGTTGAAACTTCAGCTCTGCCACTTCTTTGCTGGGGATCCTGGATAAATTACTTAGCTTCTCCATCCTTCAGTCATGCCATCCATAACATGTGGGCAAGGGCGGGGGGATAAAAGGGAGCTAAGAATCCCTTACTGAGAGAGTTCCTTGAGGATTGATTGCTAATCTACGTAAAGAATGGTTTAGAACAGTGACTGGCACTTAGTACACAGTAAGCGTTTATAGTATAATAATCCTCCTCCTCTCAGAAGCAATGGAAGCCACAGAAGTTAAATAATCATGTTAAAGGAGGAACCACAGAGAATGACCTAAAGAAGGGAAGGCAGGCAGAGACTGCAGCAATTTAGAAGAGGTAATGACAGCTGTACTCAGGAATGGAGGATTAGATCTTACTCTGGTTCTAAACCACCCCCCTTAATTTGGTTCCCATATCTCCAACAGTTTGGAAAGTGTTAGGCGCTAGATGAATGTTAATGAACAGCCATCCCATTATTTTAAATGTTTACAAAGCAAGTAGTTAAAATGGTCTCTCCCACCCACCACCACAGGCACACCTGGTGCAGGACTGACAAGCCTGGCACACAGCTTATGCAGCCTCCGTGCAAGGAGAGCTGAGGCTAGGGATCTGGTTCCCCCAGTTACATGTGAGTGCATGTGACCTGGCAGGTACTGGCTGTGGGTGCCTGTAAGCACAGTACTGGAGATGGTGGCAGTTTCTGTGCAGGGGCCACATTCCCAATCGCTCCTTTTGTGGCTGAGAGAGACAGTGTTAGTGCCGCTTCCTGACCCCTGGTCTGCGGCAGTGGCACTGTGCTCTAGAAGTCAAGAGAGCCAATAGGGCCTCTCAATTATTCCTGGAGGTAGCAGCTCTTCAGGGAACTCTTTGGGGAGTCATTTCTGAAGGCCCAGCCTAGAGTTTACCCCCTTCAGCCCTTTCAGTGATTTTATACGCACCCAGTCCTCCATATTTTAAACCCATTTCTGCTTATAACAGCTAGAGTAGTTTCTATATTCTTCAGCCGAAATCTGGTTAAGAGCATATAGACTTTTTTAGCAAGGAGTTTTATTTATTTATTATTGAGATGGAGTCTTGCTCTGTTGCCCAGGCTGGAGTGCAATGGCATGATCTCGGCTTACTGCAACCTCCGCTTCCTGGGTTCCAGCAATTCTCCTGCCTTGGCCTCCCGAGTAGCTGGGATCACAGGCGCCCACCACCACGCCCAGCTAATTTTTGTACTTTTAGTAGAGATGCGGTTCTGCCATCTTGGCCAGGCTGGTCTGGAACTCCTGACCTCAGGTGATCCGCCCACCTCGGCCTCCCAAAGTGGCTGGGATTACAGGCTGAGCCACTGTGCCTGGCCCAAGTAGTACATTTAAATCTTCCATCTACCTAGACAACATCACAGTATGTGGTATGAGCTAGGTATACCACTGTTTCCCAGTAATGGCATTTACTGTTAAAAGGATCCTCAATTAGAATCCCGTGGGCTGCCACCATTAGCCTAAAGTATAATAACAAGTAGGTGTGAAATGGATGAGAGCAGTATATTTTAAAACTAACTTTTTATAGGTAAAAATGCTAACTGGGAGGGACATTTTTAACCCACACATTTTAACACATCTTCTTTCTGAAATTTGGATGCCCCTTACAATTGATGTATAAATACAACAAGGTTTCCTCATTCATGCTCCACCTCTGTCAACAGGACGTTATTGAATAGATGATATGTCCTATGACTGATGTCATCTCAGAACTTAAGAAACAAGCTTTTGTAAGATAAAGCATAGAACTTCTCTTATGCATGGACACCCCACACAATGAAAAAAATTGTCAAAAATCAAGCAGTAATTCTAGTCATTTCAGAATAAATATTCAAAGATTCAGAGTTTCTTAACATTTTAAATTTACTCAAATATAAGATTGTTTGCAAATGTGACTATGTAAGAGAACTATTCTCTTGTGCCAACATAATCAGTGATTCCAAGGAATATTTTTGTTATTACAATTTCTTCTGCAGCCTATACAGCAGCAAACATTGTGGCGAGAAGTTGCCTTAGAACAATGAGATGCGAGCAGAAGACAGCTCTGAGTACGGAGGGTCCATCTGCTGTGCTCATCAGCAGTCCTGGAGGGATACAAAGTGGTGCCTTCTGTTTGTTCAGTGGATGCTTCTGGCTGATCTATCACCGTGGCAACATTTGGAGCCCAACTCAAAACAAGCACAGACTCATTAACTACAAACTACATTAACTTAGTGTCTGTTGCTAATGAGAAATGCCGTTCAGAGGTATTTTCTACTCTAGCATATTACAGTTACCTCTCTAAAAGGTACCAAATGCCACTCTCAATACATCACATACTAGATAACATGAATGTTAAAAGAAAGCAAAATTATTTTAATAATGACTACAAACAGTAAGAATCATTTCATTAAAAGGTTACTTTGTTTTGGCCCTTGGATATTCCTGCTGTAAGAAAATGTACTATGTATCATATATGCAAGCACATCTAAGTTCTTTTTAAACAACAGGCTTATTTAGAAGATCAATTTAGAAAATGCCGCTAAGAGCATATGTTAAAGCTGAGTAATCAAGACAGCATTAATGCCTACTGGCTCTCCTGTAATCTTCTCATATGTAACATTGATCATAACTCTCTCCAAGTGAGGCAACACACTGGACAAAACATTAAAGGCAAAGAAAGTCCACTGGGTGTAGAGCTTGTCAGTTCCCTTAACTCCTTCTTGACCACATCTCTTTTCATGCTAAATCATCCTGAACTAAATGAGCTCTCAGAACAAATGGCAAATCCTAAATCTCATGAAACACAGAAGATTTAAGTGGAATTATGTCTCAAATGTGTTCTCCCAGGACTGATAAATTGGGAAATAGCAGTAATCTTAGGTATTTTCTCTCCAAAAGTGCAGAATCCTACAACCCGCCAGAAGAGGGAGCCAAAGTTAAACTACTCCAACATTTAGTAAGACAAGGCTGGTGCAGGAGGAGAGAAATTGGCCTTATTTCAAACTGATTTGGAAAAGCCTTCTTATTCTCTTAGGCAAAAGAGCACAACTCCTCTTTGATGCCTCGCATAGTGAACCAATCCCCATCTCTCACTTTGGCCTCACCTCATACCCTGCTATTTCATAGCTTCCTGTTTGTTTAGTTCATGGAAAATGTCATACTCCATACGGCCACAGGCTCTTTACAGATGCTGTTCCCTCTCTATGTAGGAGTGTTCCCTGGCCTAGTTGGGTCCTGCTCACCCTTCAGATTCAATGATACCTTCCACAACTCCTGCCAAGTTTGGGCTCCTTTGTTGATGCTGTCACACAGTCACCATCCCAGTTAGTAAGGATACATGTATCACTGTGGTTGAGATTTATGTCCATTCCTCATAAGACTCAGCTCCATGAGAGTGGGAAGTGTATCTCTATTTTAACATTTTCTTCCCATAGCAATCAGCACAGTACCAAGCAAATAGCAGGTGCTCAATAAATATCTGCTGGATCAAATGATTAGTTAGCTCAGTTAGTTTCTAAGTTCTGCCTACTCTATCAATCATCACTACCCTTCCCTGTCTACCCCCGCCACTTAGCTAGTAAGCTGGAGTCTGACCTATGCACTGATCCAACTGTACCTGCTGCCTCCAGCCCTCTCTCCTCCTCTGTTTAATTCGTCTTCAATTCTGCAGGTTCAGTGATCTTTCTAAAGCACAAATCTCATGATGTCACTCTCCTACTTAAAACTCTCCAATGGCTCCCTCTCTGGTCCAGAAGATCTAAAGTCCTTAGGAAGGTGTTCAAGGACTCTATGAGCTAGCTTCCCACCTTCCACCTCTCTCAAAAGAGCTGAAAAACAGTTTCAACTCTTTTTTGGGTAGAATAGCTTGGTAAGGGTGCTCAGTTTTAATGACCTGATGGACGGGTTTAAGATGACTGGGATAAGGCAACCCCTCCTTGTCCTTGCTTTCATAGCAAACTTAGGGCACAACTGGGAGTGGCCCAGCTCTTGTATGCACTTACCTCATTCATATCAGTATTTTCCTTTCCCAATTCTCTCACTTACTTTTAAAAACAAGTTATCTTTTCTTATAGAGATGCAAATATTTGATGAAAAGATGACCAAACCTAAATCCTTTCAGGTAGAAAGTGTGAGATAGATAAATCACAACCAACTTCACTGACCATCTGCTGGGTCCTCACTGCACTGGCCACCACCTCACTCAGCAGCTCCTCTGCTGCCAACATTGTAAAATTTCTTTTTTGTACTTTCCTTAGAGCCTGACTTCTCATACCTGGAAGCACTGGCTCCCTATCCGCCACTGGCCATGAAATGCTTATACTGACCTACTGACACCTGGCTGAGATAAAGCAGTTACAATGCCCAGAACATTTTATTGCATTCATTTGCATATACATATATTTGCTTATCTGCCTGGCTCTTCCCACTAAAATATCTCTTTGAGAACAGGGAACTTTTTTAAAAAAGCCTTTATTTTAGGTTAGGAGGTACATATGAAGGTTTGTTACACAGGTAAACTCATGTCATGGGGGGCTTGATGTACAGATTATTTCATCACCCAGGTATGAAACCCAGTGCCCAACACTGATCTTTTCTGCTCCTCTCCCTCCTTCCACCCTCCACCCTCAAGGAGAACCCAGTGTCTGTAGTTTCCTTCTTTGAGAACAGGGAACTGATCTCTGCCATCTAACAGGTATTTATTAACTGTTTAAGTTAATTAATGAATTAACTAGCCATCTCTAGGTAGCAAAATGTGACTAATATTTAGCTCATTTATTAATGTAATCTTTGGTTATGCTAAAAGCTAGATAAAATGTGATTCTATTTGAAAGTGCATATTTTCTGATATTACTATTTACAAGTAACTACACACATAGAAGGGCAATGACTGAGGCATGTAGACAACCTGTAGCGATGAGTCTTTCTGCCCAACTCTAGAGGCCAATTTAGTATCAGAAACCAATCTGGAAAAAGAAAATAAATAACAATGAAAAATGGGCAAAAGACTTTAAAAGACGCTTCACCAAGATGACAAATAAGCACATTAAAATAAAGTGCCACATTAGTCATTAGGTTAATGCCAATTAAAAGTGTAATGAGATACCACTACATACCTATTAGAATGGCTAAAATTATGAAGATGACCATACCACACATTGGTGAAGATGCAGAACTGTGAAACAGTATAAACACGTTGGGAAAGAGCTGTGTGCAATTTCTTGAAAAATGAAACATACACCTATCATATGCCATAGCCATTTTACTATTATACATTTACTCAAGATAAATGAAAGTATATAGCCATATAAGACTTGTACATAAATGTTAAAAGAAGCTTTACTCAATAGCTCAAAACTGGAAAAACGCAGATGTCCATGAACAGGAGAATGAAGAGGATAAATAGCTGTGATACACCTACACAATGGAACACTGCTCAGCAATAAAAAGGAATGAACTACTGATACACACTACAGCATGGATGAATTTCAAAAGCAATACACTGAGTGAAAGGAGCCAAAGTGCACAGTGTAGGAGTCCCTCAATACAATGTTCTAGAAATAAAAACTCTTTTATAGTGGCAGAAAGCAGATCAGTGTTTGCCTAGAGACAGATGGGGGTAGGGTGGGGACAGAGGAGATGGATCAGAAAAGGTCACAAGGACACCTTCAGGGATGATGGGTGTCATCTTGATCATGGTGATGGTTTAACAGGTGAATATATGCCAACACTTATCTATTTCTTCTCTTTAAATATAATGTCCACAATAACTCAATAAAGTTGTTTTTAAAAAAACACAGAAAAGAAACTGGTCTGGGTAAACAAATTATTTTTTAGACAGCAGACTGTCAGCATCCTTTAGAGTTATAAACTGTAACTTTGTCTAAACTTAGAAACTGCCTTTATGTTTAAAGTTTTAGTGAAAAGTTATATGAAACAGAGATGTGAACTTTCACTTTATCTGAGACTCAGGAGAAGTGCCCTCGGGAGGCGCCCCCGGAGCACAGCGCCCCGCTTCCTTGCCGCTAGGCTCACTTCCTTTGTTTCACAATTTGTTCAAGAACTTATACGTTCATGTACCTACTCAGAGGTTCTGGCAATACATTTTTACCCTTTTGAATAACCTATATATTTTTAAAATGTCTCATCTTAATATTTTTTTTGTTTCCATGGAAAAAAATTAATGTTTATTATATTTCCCCCTGGAATTTAACAGTAAAATAAACACTTTAAATATAAAGCAACATAGCTAAAGAAAGACATATCTAATATTTCAAACCTAAAAGATGCCATCCCCTAAAGATACCTCATACAATCAATTTCTTAGGAATTTCCTTCAGCCTTATTTGAAAACATCCTAAGTGTCTAAGTTCCTTCCTAAAATTAATAATTATACTGACAACAAATACAGAATACTCATGTCTCCAGCCCCATTATGTGGTTGTAGAAAAAACATATGAAAAACATATATTTCTATGTGTGACTATAAAATTGGGAAGATATGCTATAAACCTCAATTCTTACTACTTTTCATTCTGATTGATATTAAACTTTATATGTTTAGAATGAGCCTAAGCACACTGCCAATACTTTGTGACTCTAAAACCTCCATCACTCAACTGAAGACTACTGGAAGACTATGGCTTCAACTGACTTACATTATTAACAAAAGCACCTAGAGGTTTTGTTTACCAATTACAAACTGAACGCATGGTAAAGTTTAATACCTCACTGCAAAACTAAAATTATACTCTTTATAAACAAGATTAGGATACTAATTAAATGTACGAATTTGGGCTGAGCTGGTGGCTCAAGCCTGTAATCCCAGCACTTTGGGAGGCCAAAGTGGGTGGACTGCTTGAGTGTGAGACCAACCTGGGCAACAGGGCGAAACCCTGCCTGTATAAAAAAATACAAAAATTAGCCAGGCACTGTGGCATGCACCTGTAGTCAGCTACTTGGGAGGCTGAGGTTGGGGTATCACTTGAGCCTCGGAGGTGGTGGCTGCAGTGAGCTGTGTTCGTGCCACTACACTCCAGCCTGGGCAACAGAGTTAGACCCTCTCTCTCAAAAAAAGTATAAATTCAGATGTATATGACTTAAAAATCATAATTCAGGCCAGGGGCAGTGGCTCACGCCTGTAATCCCAGCACTTTGGGAGGCCGAAGTGGGCAGATCACGAGGTCAGGAGATTAAGACTATCCTGGCAAACATGGTGAAACCCTGTCTCTATGAAAAATACAAAAATTAGCTGGGCATGGTGGTGCGCACCTGTAGTCCCAGCTACTCTGGAGGCTGAGGCAGCAGAATTGCTTGAACCTGGGAGGCAGAGGTTCCAGTGAGCCGAGATTGCACCACTGCATTCCAGCCTGGGCAACAAGAGCAAAACTCCATCTCAAAAAAACAAAAACATAATTCATTAATGATATGGACCATGAACCATAATGGGTCATGAAGGTATTCACTTTCATACATGGTAAGATTAACTTTGAGCTTTTTGTATGAAAACATCTACTTTATGAAGTTAAACAAATCTGGCTAAAAGCACTGAATTAAATTTTCACATTTATGAAAATTATCATAGTTAATCATTAAAAAAACCCTCACTCAATCCATGAAAACACCCAGAAAACAATACTGAAAACTTAGGCTCCCAAGGTCATCATATCACAAATAAAGCTATTATTACCTGTGCCTCAATTAAGGGCAGTGCCAAAAATAAAGAAAACTGATTACTCATTATGGTCATAAAACCCATGCCAGTCTGAAGTGACACTTGGACCCCAGTTACTCCACAGAGAGCTACAATGCACAAGTTAATGGCAACAGGATTATATCTGATTCCCTTTTCCCCCAGTATAAGAGCATCTAGGGTCTCACTAAGGTAACAGGTAATTGTGTTCGGCTGTCTCTTTCTTTGGTCACCAACGCAAAGACGATATTCAGCAGAATTTACAAAGGGCTAGTTTATGAATAGGCTCCCACAGAGGTTTTCAAATTGCTTGGTGCAGCTCCTTGAAGGGATAGGGATCCAGGAGTGCTAACTGCGGGGGAGCAGTGGAGAGTCCATATAAATATATATTTATGTATATGAATTCATAGAGAGATGCATTCAAGGATGGCTAACTGTTAATGGGTAAATATCTCAGGACAGAGGAATTTCGAGTGAACTTTAATTTCTCTTTAGATAATCTCAAATTATTTTCAATCAGAATATATAACTTTTGTTTTTCATCACAGGAGGGAAAAATAAGAAAAAGTTGACTACAACAACAACCCAACACTCTGAGACAACTAAGGAAAAGGCCTCCAGGTTTAGAAACATGCCCAGACTCCTTAGGAGTGCAGGATGTCAACCCCACTGGAGGGTTTGCAGACTTAGAGGCATAGAGGAAAATCAAGGGGGAGTCAAGAGGAAGAAACTGATGAAAGCCAAAGTGAATCAACTATTTGAGTGAAAACCCCCGGGGCTGAATAAAAGTGTATCTCCTGGCTGCAGAGAAAACGTGGTTCCCATGATCACATCAGGGTAGGATGGGGGTATGAATGTTGGCAGCATAGTGTTTCACACAAACGTACTCACTTGGCCTGAATCTTAAAAAGAAAATGACCCAAAGATATCACAGGTCAGAATTTGAAAAGATAGCCAGGAACAAAATTTCTGTTCAGTGGTAATTTTACAAAGCAGACTTCCTAGAAATCTAATTTTCAAATTTGTTGGGGGAGGGTAGGAAAGCATGCTACATATTATATTAAGTTATTCAAAAAACATATATTTCCAGTTAGCTTCAGTTCGGCATTAGTCTTTTAAATAAGAATTCATAGTTCAAGTTTGATGGTTATAGCCAGATGCAAACATTTTTTTAAGTATAATTAATGCTATAATGGAGACTCATCTATTAAGAACGGATTAGACTAGTTAATATTCTCCAGGAGAAGGTAGAGGAGTATCATAGATGAGCATGTCATATATTCTAAAAAGTTCCTTGAAAATGTTTAAAACAAATCCAAATTTAAAGCATTTCTATTATTGAGAAAATTAAGTCAAATATAATGCTAAATAATTGGGGCATGGCTTTACGAATGCTACTAGTTGAGTGGTGTGTAATATTGCAGAGTAAGGGAATTTCTAATTGATTTGGTCTAGTTTGAGCTAATTATCAAAACCAAAATTATTCAAACTTCTACAATGTTGATTGATTCAGTATATTATGCAATCTAATTTATAACTGCAGCTTCTCTCTTAAGAGTATCCAACTCTCGGACTCTCTCAAATTGCTAAACACTTTCCTATATTCAAACAACTCAGGGCCTTGAGACTTCTGGGTGCTGCCTTGTGGCAAATGTGGCCCCTGCCCTCATAGACACACAATCTGGAGCAGGGGAGGGAAGTCAAAATGCTAGAATGTTAGGAAAGCATCAATTTTATGTGTGAACACTAATACTAGTACTATAACATGTATCATAGGTACAGTCAGGCCAACCTGTGTCACCCGACAAAAGTGTCCAGTCAGAAAGTTGGAACCAATATTTCTCAGGCAATGAATTTTGGTTTGAACCAGTAATAATGAAGAGTCTGAGAAAAACGTAAACCTTGATGCTGCTAATATTCATCAATGAATTACCTAGCAGTACTGTTAGATTATTTATAATTCAAAAAGCATTTTTTGTTTGGAAAGACATTAATTATTACTACAACCCATTCTAAGGCTAGTTAGTAGTTACTGATAAACTGTACCCAAAGGAACAGTATTTTAGAGGATATAGAAGGAGAAGAGAAAAATCCAGTAGAGTTTGGAGTTAGCAATGAAAATTCTCAACAGAGGCCAGGTGCGGTGGCTCACGCCTGTAATCCCAGCACTTTGGCAGGCCGAGGTGGGGGGGAATCATTTGAGGTCAGGAGTTCGAGACCAACCTGGCCAACATGGTGAAACCCTGTCTCTACTAAAAATACAAAAAATTAGCTGGGTGTGGCCATGCGTGCCTGTAACCCCAGCTTATGGGGTGGGGGTGGGGTGATGCTGAGGCAGGAGAACCACTTGAACCTGAGGGGTGGAGGTTGCAGTGAGCCGAGATCATGCCACTGTACTCCACCCAGCCTGGGCGATAGAGCAAGACTCCATCTCAAAAAAAAAAAAAATAAATAAATAAATAAATAAAAGAAAATTCTCATCAGAACAGTAATAGAAAATGATAGCTCTGCGTAAAGTGGTGGGACAATGTAATTCACAATCACTGTTCAGTAATAAGCAATTTGTTACTACTTGAGTAGAAAACAGTGACAATGATGAAGAATATAGCTGGTACTAAACCAGACAGAAAAATTCAAGAAGAAGGAAGAAGAAGAAAGAAGAAGAAGGAAGAAGGAGGAAGAAGGAAGAAGGAAGAAGAAGGAAGAAGGAAGAAGGAAGAAGAAGAAGAAGAAGAAGAAGAAGAAGAAGAAGAAGAAGAAGAAGAAGAAGAAGAAGAAGAAGAAAGAAGAAGAAGAAGAAGAAATGGATGATCCAGAACAGTTAACTCTGTATTTTGAAATGACAATAGTAAGAAACCATTGTTTTTCATTCAAGATCATAAATTCATACACAACTATGTACCATAAACCTTTTGGACCCTTCTGGAAAAGTGTTATGTAAATTCACAGTGCTTCTGAGAGTATAACAGAGAAAAATGTCCTTTTTGCTATGCTGCTTTTTAATATTCATTGAGCATTAACTCCCTCTCTTCATGTGACTCTAGTCTAGAGGTTCAGAGACCTGGACTCCCTCAAGTCTTGCCTTTACCATTAACTGGTTCTTAACCAAGAACCAGCCTCTTAATTCACACTAGGAGATTATCTGTAAACGAATTCCTTTCCTGTTCAGCTATGAAGTTCAAATGAGATAATACACATAACCTTAACTTTGAAAATTATAAAATGTCTCACAAAAGCATAGTATTAGCTGTGAGAGTGCATGTGTCTACATGTACAGTTGTGTACATGTGATGGTCCAGTGGAAAAAAACTTCAGAATAACAGTTATAGTAAACCTTTACTGAGCACCAATTATATGCTAGATACTGAGTCATTTTCCTGCATGATCTCAATTAGTCTTTTTTTTTTACATTTTATTTTGAATTGACAAATAATCGTATTAAGTCTTTGTAACAGCTTTATGAGGTAGGAACCATTCACTACCTTTCTCATTTTAAATATGAGATACTGAAGCCTAAAGAAGTGAAGTAACTTGTCCCAAATTAAACAGAGCTAGTTTATGTGACTCCTGAGTGGGTGCTCTTAACCACTGGGAAATAACTAAACATACAGGTATAAAAGGAAGAGGCTTGGAGTATGGCTTTCAGTTTGTTCATTCTGAATCTCCAGCACATCATAGGAGTTCCTGAGTAACAGTGAGAAATGCGTGTGTTTCCACCAACACCTTTTATGATAACCAGCAAATTCTGGACTTGGAGGATAAAAAGAGAAATCTTTTACATATCAATAAGCAAAGAGGGAATCCAGAAAGAATATATCTTTTTTATTATAAAGGATAGTTGGCAATGAGAAATTGGAACCTTAAAAAAATGCAGATATCCTTTGGTTGTTCTTATTCAAACTGAATCAACTTTATCAGTTCGATCCTGTTTGGTGGAAATCAAAAGAAAATTTAAAAGCATTGTTTGGAAAGCTAATATAACATTCTTCAGACATTTTTAGATTAACCAAATACCAATGAGATGCAGATGTAAAACCAGTGATAAATGAGGAATTTCACAATGAATAATAAAAAATAGTTTCAAAGGCAGGCTTAGATTCTCGTTTTTTAACCATCAATTTAAAAAAAAAAGTCATCCTGGTCATAAAAATTTTGGTACCGCCATAAATGTACCCCCCTAAATATAAATAAACTTACCTTTGGTTTTTTGATCAGCAGCCTGAAAAAAAAAAAAGAGAGAGAAAGAAAGAAAGAAACTCTTTAGGAATAATGTGTAGAATGTACACATCTATGAAAGTTTATAAGCAAACTTTTAGTATTGAAAATTTTAAAAATGAGTTTTTGCCCAGTTAATTTATTACAATTTATTAGTGGGAAAAATGTGTACATGCCATTGATTATATACCAATGTTAATCTAAAGGCAAAAAATTCTATCTGGAGCTCATTTAAACTCTATAATTTTAACAGGCTCTAATAGGTATACTGTTTAAACTACAAGATACATTAAACTAGGTAAGAACAAAGACAAATGGCATAACTTGGTATTTTAAATGCCATAAAATTCAAGCTTGACTATGAAGTTTACAGTAGGGCTTTTATTTTTAATCTTTACTAATAGGATTCGTAAAAGAACATTTGCCAAAGCTGCAAAAAAAAAATATTTCTAGCTTTTCTAATAAGATCAGTTGAATGGCCCTTCTTCATTTATTAGACATGGTTGTTCAGGACAGTTCATTTTAAGTAGAACAACATGGACACACTTCACCACCAGCAACTAAAACACAGCTTCCTTAAAACACAGCTCTAACACTTCCAGTTCCAAGTTAGACATTTACGGCTGTCACCTGTATTTATTTCACCAGTAGGATATCTATTATTCGCTAATTATAGACTTGGCATATTGATTTAAAAAGTAACAGAATGAAACCTTGTCATATAATGGCTATGATGATGCAAATGAGACACACAATGATACAAAGACAATGAAGCAGGAACTTCAGCCAAACCTTTTTCTGAGCACCTTCCTTCTTTTTCTTTTCTTCCTGCTTTTTCTTTTTCTTTTCTTCCATCAAACGTTCCTCTTCTTGTGTTTCTTGCTCTTTCTCCCTATTAAATACAAAGAAAACTAGTATAAGTTTGATGATCATGTTAAGTCAAACAATGAAAAAGCACTAGCTGCTCCAAATCTTAAGTCAGAATTTCGCATATGGTATACAGGAGGACCCTCTGAGAAGGTGCTAGAAAGGGACACTTCCCTAACAGCACTGCAGGTTGCCCTGACTTCTTCAGTAGCCGGCTGTCTCATTCATTCAGTCCACATTGTTGAACACCAACCCATCATCAGGCATTGCTGGGGATAAGGGTATGATATGGAGTAAGATACAGCTCCTACAGTCCAGCCCCTAGTCTGGTCTCGAATACCTGGGCTCAAGCGATCTCCTGCCCTGGCCTCCCAAAGTGCTGGGATTACCAGTGTGACGCACCAAGCCTGGCCATGCTTTATTTTTTCCACTTGATCTCTAGGGTTCTGAAATTTCAGGGTGATGTATCTTTTCTCCCCCATTATTTGTGCTTGGCATTTGGCTGATGCTTTCAGCTCATACCTTTCAGTTCTCTATTTTCTTGAAAACACCTTCCTTCTGTTTCTAAATAACAACATATTGAATCTCTTGGATTGATCACCTGTAACTTGTTGTTTCTCTTATGTTTTCTACTCTTTTATTGGTGCTTCTATTTTGAGGGTGCTTGATTCAACTTGATCTTCTAATCCTTCTACTGAGTTTTTTATTGTGATGTTTAAAATTGTTAACCTTCTTGTGCTCTTGAATGCTCCTTTTCCACAACACCCTGTTCTTGTTTTAGGTATGCAAAATCATCTCTATTCTTTTCTCTGAAAATCTTCTAAGTTTTCTGCATATCTTTTTTCCTTCTCTGGATGCCTCTTCCCTTAGATACTCTCTGATCTGAAAGCCTTTCCTCAACTCTGTAGTAACCCTTGGTTGTCTGTTCAGGCACTGAAATACCAATTAGGGGCTTTGTATGTATGGGATGGATTTCCTTCGCAGTGGGTTTTGCTTTAGGGATATTAGGTAGGGAACTGGCTGTTTTACCAGTCCAACCTCAAATGCCAAAACATGTAGTTTCCCCCACCTGATCACCAGGGTGCTTTATCTATAGTATTAGCTACTAGACCCTAACCACCCAGAATTGCACCACTGCTGAAATTTTAGATGCCACTATCCCGCATTCTGACCATAACTTCCTATTCTTATCACTATTTACATGGCACCTGTTCTTGATCCTCACTGAATCTTCCCATTTCCTGACTCTTCCTTTTTCTTCTAAGCTATTTTAATCACTTCTTTTCCTAGAGAGTCTACACCTCAAGTCCATCTCATATGTTCACTAATTCAATCACTGAAGAACTATACAACTAACATGTGCTATTTATTGTAGTAAGCACCAGGGACAAAAACAAGGATGGAGGGAGGTGGGGACTGATTCATTTAATAAGTATTTTCTGAAGAAAAGCTTTGTTTATTTTTGTAAACAGAGATGGCGTGCTATGTTGTCCAGGCTAGTCTCGAACTCCTGGCCTCAAGTGATCCTCCCACCTCAGCCTCCCAAAGTGCTGGGATTACAGGTGTGGGCCACCACACCCAGCCTGAACAATAGCTTTATAAGTGCTCTGGGATTATAGCAGGAAGCAAGATAAGAATACATATACTTTCAAAGATATTTACAAAAATCAGTAAAACAAATTATCGCTATTACAACAGCAACAAGTATAAAATGCAGTGAGAATTTGACAAGATGAACATCTGCATCTGCCTGGGCGCTGGCCTCCTGCAAAGGCTATTTTTCTGTTACAGTCGGGAGCCACATGTCCTGGCTTTAAATGAGATTATGAGCTTCCTCTGTCCTCTGGACTATAAGTGCCTTGGTAGGAGGACTCTTTCTCTGCGGCCCTGAGAAGAATCTGTTACTCTTCAGGGCATTTCTGGTACCAATTTCTGGTATATAATCTCAGCTGAAATTTACAGTGGAGAAAATCTGTAAGTTTTCCTTTTAAGGAAAACTTTATTTTCTGATATGATCAAGTAGTATTTAAAAAGTTACTGTCTACCTTGCACAGTGAAATTATAAACTTGGATTTGAAAAGTGTTTTCACCTATTAAAAGAAAAAAAAAACAAATGTATCAATTAAATGGAGAGTCAATTTGTATTTTTTCTAAGTTGTAAAATAAATTTATAAGTCAAGAAGCAAGGAGAATAAAGAAAAGGAATGGCCAGACTGGGAAAATTTTACTTTTTAATCACAGAACTTTTTCTTTTTAAAATTACGTTTAAATATACATGATCAACATACATTTGTAAATATAATCTTATCATGCTTCCCCCCAGGACAATATTTGCTTTCCTGTTTCTGACATGCTTGGCATCCCTTATCTACTTTCTCCCCCTTCCATATCCCTGTCAAATATCTCCTCCCCCCATGACCCACGTTAAAACCACCTAGATTCATATCTTTGTTTTTGTCCCTGCTCGTGTAACTGTATAAAAACATATATACTTAAACATTTTTACAAAGATTTTATTGGATCACTGTTGGTATAACTGGGATTATGTTATAGAAACTTTTTTGCAACTTGCTTTTCTCATTCAATACTTGCAGGGAAGGAGGATCTCCCTTCTCTCTCCCTCCCCCTACTGAGATGTCCAATCTGTTATTTCTAATGGCTCCATAATGTACCATGGTGTGAATGTTATCATATTATTCAGTCATTCTTCTATTCATACATCTTCACCTCCTTTCCAGTATACCGCCACTGCAAAGAACTCCAGCTGTCCTATCCAGCTCTGCTGAAGAGAAAAGCATCCCTTCGATTGGTGTTTCAGCTTATGTTTCAGTAGCAACGGCAACTAGGTAAGGAGGAAATCTGATATGGGCTCAACTGCTGGGCCCAGAGCAAGTTTGAAGGGCCAAATTGGATATAAATTACCTATACCTCATATGGTATGGTGAGGTATACTATAGTGGATCCCTCTGTACTGAGTTTTATTAGGAAGAAAACATTTTTTAATAACTTGGGTTTTCCCTTTGTTTCTTTCATTCTCAAATAATTTAGCAATCACAAGATTAGGAGGCTCTGGGTAGAAAAAGGAGCAACACTCATATTTTGGAGGCAGCTAGGAGGAGGAAAGGGTGAAAAGATTTCCCACAAATGGGCCTCTGTGGGTATCATTTCGGTGTTCCTAGTTAAACTGTAGATTTTCCCAGAGAAACAATAATTTATTTTTGTTTCAGAGGTTCTGATGGAGAAAGAGAAATAATGATTCAAAAGGTGAAATTATGTAGGTAGACTGAGAATCCAGCCACTTCATGCAAAACAATTCTGGATGAAAAATGTTACAAATTACCAGTCTTTTTGTTAGTTGACTACTTCCTATATTTGTAAAAGAAGAAAATTCAATAAAAGAGGGCAGGGGCCTGTTTTTGTCTTTGAGGTTTAGTTATCAGAAATTGTAAATGTTTCTCGTCCTTAGTTTCACCTACAAAGAACACCAGAGACCATACTCTGAAGTTATACTGGTTGGACTCCAATGCCATGTCATCAAAATATTCACTAATTTGTGTGTGTGTGGGGGGGGGGGGGCGGAGGGAGAAAGAGAGACAGAGAGTGTGTGTGTTACATGCCACTATTTTGAAACTGACTAATTCAATTAGAATTTCCTTTCAGTGTTTATGTTAGGAAGGGCTGGTAAAATGTTATCAGACAAAATTAAAAAGAGAAGGGGACGGAACTGGTAGGCTATGCAGTTGTCATAGAAATAGTTATGGTCTTAATTTATTCAACATGTATTTGACTATCTGCTATGTGCAGGAAGTATTTGCTAGACTTTTGTGGGCAGTATGAGAAGGATAAGACAAAATAGTCTCAGCCTTGAGCATAAAATCTAAAAGGAAAGACAAGGTAAAACTTTAATTATATTTAATACTCTATATAGACTATGGAAAGAAACAGAATAGAGAGTATGCTTGAGATTTAGAGTCACAAGGACTGGGTTCTAAAGTGAAATAAAGTCATTGGTATAGAGAAGGTCCAAAGCCTGTAAGCCAGCATATTGGATGGACTGCCTCTAAGAATGCTTAAGTCACTCAGCATGACACCTGGACTTGGGGTGGAAAAGGCGACTCATTGCCAAATGGCTCTGACCAACAGGACCAGAAGTTGTGAAGAAGACCTGTGCTTGACAGACTCTATGGTCTTCTGATTTCCACACTTTTGTATAATCCCTTCCTGTGGAGTATGAGAGAGACCAGCGACTTGCTTCTAGCCATTGAAATATGGCAAAGGTGTATGTTGTCACTCCCTGGCTGTGTTACGTAAGACTCCAACTTTCTAGCAGACTGGCTTTAGAGTCTCCCTCTTCCCTGCTGGCTTTGAAGAAACAAGCTGTCATGAATCCTACTGCTGCAAGGAACGGCATTCAGCCAGCAGCCTGAGGAAGCCTGGATACCAATCGCTACCCAGCAGAGCCTCCAGATGAAAACAGCTCCTGGCCTTGACTGCACAGCTTTGCAGAGGGCCCAGGTAAGTACAGCCTCCTGAACCCATGGAAACCATGCAATGGATGTGCACTGCTTTAAGCCACTACATTTAGTGGTATTTGTTACGCAGCATAGCAAACTAAACCAGGTAGTGATGGAGTCAGGCCTTCTGGGTCTGGGCAAGATGGATTATGCCAGCTACAGCCTCTCTCCTGCCAATTACAACAACAACAACAACAACGAAACTGGACAAAGTATAATATAAACACAAACACATAAATAATGAAAAGTAACAAAAGTAGGTGGTTTGGGAAGAGGAGTTAAAATGTAGGGAAGGCAATCTGTGTGGGGGTGACTTTCTCATTTCCTTTTCTCAAACCTTTGCCCAGGGAGTGGGCCCCAATCACAGCCATGCTGTAGCAGGCATGGCACTGACACCTACAACCAAGAGAAACCCATCTTTCGCAGCAGAGGACTAAAGAAAGGAGCACCTGTGAGCTGGACGTATCCCAGGAGAGTCAGGGATCCCAGAGAGAAATCAGCTGGAAAAGGGAATCTCCCAATTCTGTGTACAAACCTTCACCATTTTGGGCTCACCTTTGAGTTATGCATTTATGGGGCAGACTCAAAACAGCAGAACAAAGGCTGTGAGATCTGAACTACGATGTCAACACCCCCCTGCCCCAAGCCTCAGACTAACTCCTACATGTGGGCCAGGCCCAAAGCAGCATAGTGAGAGCCTAGTACTGAGCTGACACTGGAAGCCTTGAACCTACCCAGGCTGATTGCCTGCTAAAACAAAAACAAAACAACAAACCAGTGTTTTCTAGAAGAGTCTGATAGTACTAAAAGTCTATATGACATACTCAAAACGTCCAGGATAAAATCCAAAATATCTCCTCATACAAAGAACCAGACTATGTGGCCAACTGTCAGGGCGAAAGACAACAGACATCAATGGCCAAATGACCCAAGTTTTGGAATTATCAGACAATGGCTTTAAAGCAGTTATTATAACTATGCTCCAGGAGGCAAATAAAAATACACTTGAGTAAACAAATAAAAGTTTAGAACTAAAAAACTAAACCATCTGAATTTAAAACTTCATTGGATAGGCTCAAGAGAAGAATGGACATGAAAGAGGAAAGAGTACGTGAACTTAACAGAGAAAAATTACTGAATTTGGAAAACAAAGAGACTGAAAAAAATGAACAGTACCTCGGGGACCTGAAGGATAATACTAAAAGACCCAACATTCATTTCACTGGAGGCCCAGAGGTGGAGAAGGAAGATCAGTGAAGAAAAAAATATTTGAAGAAATAGTGGTGAAAAACTTCCCATATTTGGTGATATACATAAATTTATAAGTCAAAAAGCTCTGTGAATACCAAACAAGATAAACTCAAAGAAAACTATACTTGGATATAACGTATACTAAATGTAAGCAGCCAAACTCAAAAGACTATGTCACGTAGGGTCCACTTATATAACAGTCTTGAAAAGGCAAAATTGTAGAAACTGAAAATAGACCAGCAACTGTCGGTGGGAGGAAGGGTCTGGCCACAAAGGGGCAGTGCAAGGGAGTTGTTTTGTTGGGCGACAGAATTATTCTGCATCTTCACGTGATGATGGTTATATGGTTGTATGTGTTTGTTAAAACTCACGTAACTACACACCACAGAGTGAATGGTACTGCAAATAAACTTTAAAAAAAGTGAATAAAAGGAATGACAGGAAACAAAATTTAAAAAAATTATAAAATGGTTGTCGGCCAGGCGCAGTGGCTCACGCCTGTAATCCCAGCACGTTGGGAGGCCGAGGTGGGTGGATCACGAGGTCAGGACATCGAGACCATCCTGGCTAACACGGTGAAACCCCGTCTCTACTAAAAATACAAAAAATTAGCCAGGCGCGGTGGCAGGTGCCTGTAGTCCCAGCTACTCGGGAGGCTGAGGCAGGAGTGGCATGAACCCAGGAGGCGGAGCTTGCAGTGAGCTGAGATCGCGCCACTGCACTCCAGCCTGGGTGACAGAGCGAGACTCCATCTCAAAAAAATAAAAAAAAAAAACAACGTTATAAATGGTTATGGTGAAAAGGGTTCAGGATAATGTTGAATCCTTCCCTCATGCCTCCGCTCCACCCTGATTCCTGGCCTGATGAGAAGTGGTTTCAATGAAGTGCAGACAGTATGTGTTGGGGGCATTGAGGAGGGTGCAGAGCTAAAGATAAAGGTCTTTGTTAACCAGAGGACCATGCACCACAAGGCAGGGGGAAAAGATCTGGAGAAAAGGATGAGGAAACTTCAGAGCAGCACTGGGATTTGATTACTAGTTAGGAAGAGATGACAGCAGGGACCTATACTTCGGAAGGGTGGTGAAGAATCACGGAGATCGTAAGAGAGGTATGACAAAATCAGCTGGTCTCAGGTATTTCAAAGGAACCCTGATATTATTTTCATTTTAGAGTTAATACAGACTTCAGCCCCAGGATTTAATTCTCGAGACTCACTATCATGGCTCAAACAAAACAAGACAAAGCCCCGCAGCCCAGTATGGAGTTACCGCAGCCTGAACTGACCACGCTTCTTAAGAAACGCGTCTCTTGGCCTCTCACCTTTTCAGCATCTTATGGTGCTTCTTGTCTAGCCACTGACACAGGTATTCCACCTCCTTGCTTCACCAATGTCTTTCTATATTATCTTCTTCCATTTGGCTTTTTATCACAGAACAAGTAATGCTTCTCATTTTGGTTGGCTGTCTCTGTGAAATAAGGTTGATGAACTGTCTGTTACTCTGCCACTCAGCTTCCTTTCCTCCTCTCACTGGTATCTGTATCCTGATTTTCCTCTCACCCACAATCTGTGGACTTCTAGGGGCAGTGGCTCCAGGGATCCATTTTGTGTCTGACTAATCGAAGGGCACAGCATCCCCTGGGCCACAGTGCTCAGATTCAGGGATGACCCTGGATGTGAACCAAACAGAATCAGAGGGCTGGAAGTTACTGCAACCATCTTTCAACCAGAGAGAGCCAAAAAATGAAGCCAACACCAAAGAAGGGAACTAAGAAATGGAGAGAAAAACTAAGTGTCTGTGAGGTATGCCCTCTTGAGTTCAGGAATAAGTTGTTTTTGCAGCCTGGTATCTCAGTGCTTTGCCGTCCCCTGACCAAGGGGTGAGCATGAGACTCACAGTAGGCCAATCAAGACATATCTTGGAATAGGAACTCTGAATTGAAGTGGCAGACACCTGGAGTGGATTCACCGCACTGACTGTGCCCTACAAAACCTGCCATCAGTGCCTGCTACCTGGATTCTCTAGGCTGCACGGGTTGTGTCCTAGTTTTCCAGCTTGTCCTTCAATTTTGTCATCTACCTCACTTCCTTCCAAATGTTCCTCTTTTTTTTCTCCTTAAATTTGTACAGTTGCTTCCCACTGTCTGTAACCAAGGAATCTTGATAATGTAGTTTATCAACAATCTATTTATTTAAACCTCGGCTTACTCAGTAAGCACTGACTGGCTGCAGCATTATTTGATTACGATTTGTCTTAACTAAGTAGGTTCAGTAAACACTTTTACCACTATAAAAATTACTTTAGTATTGCCATATTAACATGTCCATTACAAATATGGGAGGATTGTTGTTTGTTTTTGAGACAGGGTCTCACTCTTTCTTCCAGGTTAAAGTGCAGTGGTATGATCACAGCTCACTGCAGCCTCGAACTCCTGGGCTCAAGCAACCCTCCCACCTCAGAATCTTGTGTAGCTGGGACTACAGGCACAGATCACCATGCCTGGCTAATTTTTAAATTTTTTGTGGAGACAGTGTCTTGCTGTGTTGCCCATGCTAGAAGTATGGGAGTTTTAAGTACCACGTTGTGAAAACCTTTTCTTGATTTCTGAGTTTAAAGTCACCTCAAATTAAGTCAGAAAATGACAGTATAATTTTACTAGCACTCCACTTTCAGTCAACTATATAATGACACGTGTGTGTGTGTGTGTGTACTTTAAATGTGCTAAAGTAACAGAAGAAAATCTCCAATCAGTCTCTCAGATACAGTAGTCCTTGCTGGTACATCCTGGCCTATGTGTTACAGAGTGGTTATTAATAATGCTTGGGATTTCATTGTTTGCAAGAAATCTTAGGAATATGTATTCTGTAACCACTGATAAGCATAATGCTTTTCCCAAAAAACTACTTAGGAGTTTGGAGGTGGGGATTTATTGCCTCTCAGTGCCAAACTCTGCTTTTTGCCTGCTCTGTGAAAATGGATCTGTGACCTTTAACTATTTTTCCTTTGCCAGCTGGCATGATGTTCAGCTTTTTCAGTACAGGGCACTAGAGACATAGCAGGAGAAGAGTTCTGCCTCCTGGCTAGAGGGCTCCCTGGCAGGATCCTGCAGGCACACTCCAGCCATGTCGCCACCCCTGCACACACAGTGCCTCTGGTGAGATGCCTTCCCACGAACTGCTTTCAAGTTCCGTCAACACAGCATCATAGTGACTTCTCTGCCACCCCGTGAGCCATGGCTGTGATCTCTCACTGGATGTTCCACCTCAGGCTGGGGGCAGGGGTCTCCTCCTTATATCTGCTATTCCTGAATCCTCTAAGGCTTTCTTTATTCTGACTAGCCAATCCCTCATTATTCTAATCCCATTACAGTTAACAATTCTTGACAGTCACCTTTCCCTGTTCACATAACTGTATGGTTTCTCTCTCTTGGCTGATAGAGGAGCCCATAAATTAGAGCTTATTTCAATCCTATCAATAAACTGGAGACTTTTAAATACTGTCACACCAATCAATCAATAAAATTCACAGATGTGCCTAAATGAAAACATTACATCAAAGTATAAAACAACAAGCTGTATTTAACCAATAGCACAAAGACCTGAAATATCAACCCTGACAGATGGAGTGAAATAATTATTTTTGCTTGAATTTGGCACTTGCCTGTTGTTTTGTTTTTGTTTTTTTTTTAAACTTCATGGTATTTCTGTGTTCTGAAACTTGTGGCATATTTGGGCAAGTTTAGAAAAGGTTCTCCTTCATAATTACAAAAAAGAAAGGACAAAGTCCCAGCACCATATAAGCGTTGGTCTGTCACTGAAGTGATGAAACGGAGCCTGGGGCAGTTATCAATATAACAACTACATGAGAACTGACTGCAGATGATCCCCAGGGTGGCTTTCTATTCAAAGGTTTTGCAATTTTGTGAACTAAAAGGACTGTTAACTGTGTGGATTCAGTTTCAGGAGCCATTAAACTAACTTATGTTCAAAGGTGGATTTTAATTTGGGAGAGCAGGTGAGCATACAAGACCTGGGCAGAAAGTCCGATGACAATCTGCACAAGAGAAAAATCAAATATAAAAAGAGATGATACCACCATCCACCCAGTCCCTTGATCCAGAAACATCTGTGAAGCCCAGGGCTTGCATGTGAGAATAACAGGAGTTTCAGGGGTTTACACTGGAGTAATAAGCTGATAAAGGACATGAATGTCTGCCTAAATAGTTTCTTTTTTATTTTTTGAGACAGTCTCAATCTGTCACCCAGGCTGGAGTGCAATGGCACAATCTCGGTGCACTGCAACCTTCGCCTCCTGGGTTCAAGCGATTCTCCTGCCTCAGCTTCCTGAGTAGCTGGGATTACAGGCATGCACCACAATGCCCGGCTAATTTTTGTATTTTCAGTAGAGACGGGGTTTCACCATGTTGACCAGGTTGGGCTCAAACGCCTGACCTCAGGTGATCTGCCCACCTCAGCCTCCTACAGTGCTGGAATTTCAGGCGGGAGACACGGTGCCCAGCCAATAGTTTCTATAATGAAACAAAATAGAAAAAAAAGTGACTGATTATATTGCTGCAGGAAACAACCCCCACAGGTACCAAGAAGCTTGTCAATATTTCACATTAAAAATGTGAAATGTAAAAACTTAAATTTCATAAAATGAAGAAAATTTACCTGAAAAATATCAATTAACAGAAAAACATTTTAATTTCCTGTTTTCAAACACGCAACAGGTTCAGATGCTGCCCACACCCTGCAAAAGTTTAGACAGAGATCCTAAGGGAACTACCTCATAAGAAAAAAAAAGGTTCTAATTAAGTTTAGTCTTTAGTCATTCATTAAATAAACACAAACCAGTATACTGATTACTGGAGCAAACTGAGATCACATTTGAGACTGTGAGCTGCATAGTCCCATACTTTGTATACTAACAAGTATTTATTAGTTATAGCTCGTTGTTTCTGTCCCTTAAACAACTTCCTGGAAATTACTATCTTACATCAAAAACTAAAATTCAAAGCATAAAATTGGTATGAACTGTAAATCTAATACTATGTTCATATACCAATCTCAAGAAGCAAATATTTCCTATTACTCTCATAAAGTCAATGTACTGCTAATTGCCACCTTTTGGCTTTCTGGTTTCTTTTAAAATAAAAAAAAGTGATAGGGCCGCACGCGGTGGCTCACGCCTGTAATCCCAGCACTTTGGGAGGCAGAGGCGGGTGGATTACCTGAGGTCAGGAATTCGAGACCAGCCTGGCCATCATGGTAAAACCCCGTCTCTACTAAATATACAAAAATTAGCTGGGCATGATGGCGGGTGTAATCCCAGCTACTCAGGAAGCTGAGGCAGGAGAATCGCTTGAACCCAGGAGGCGGAGGTTGCAGTGAGCCAAGTTCGTGCCACTGCACTCCAGCCTGGGCAACAGAGTGAGACTCCATCTCAAAAAAAAAATAAAAATAAAATAAGTGTAGAGTTTACCTCCTCCAAGACTTTAATGGAACCACATCTACTAATGGATTAACACGTACTCAGAGGTAACCTAAAATTTGCCACGTTATTTTACTATTTGATTCAATTCCTCTCTCTGTCCTTTACGGATTCTCATGAACCATAAGAACACCCACCTGTTCTACAAGGGAAGAAAAAGTTTCCCTAGCATTCAGGTCTAAAAGTAAGTTATTTTAGTGGGTACCTCACACAGGCGACGTAGTCATGCACTAGACAGCTTCTTTTTTGCGCTAGCATGTGTGTGCCAGGGTAGGCTTTATTAAATCATCTTCTGCAGCCTCTTGACAGCCAAAAAGCATGACGGGAAAACTCAAGGAATTTGCAAAAAGTCAGCAATTATCTGGGGGGCCAAGGCAACACAGTCCAAGTGTGAACGTTCCCAGTGGTTTTGCTTAATCTTTTTTTTTTTTTTTTTTTTTGAGACGGAGTCTCGCTCTGTCGCCCAGGCTGGAGTGCAGTGGCGCGATCTCGACTCACTGCAAGCTCCGCCTCCCGGGTTCACGCCATTCTCCTGCCTCAGCCTCCTGTGTAGCTGGGACTACAGGCACGCGCCACCATGCCCGGCTAATTTTTGTATTTTTAGTAGAGACGGGGTTTCACCGTGTTAGCCAGGATGGTCTCGATCTCCTGACCTCGTGATCCGCCCGTCTCGGCCTCCCAAAGTGCTGGGATTACAGGCGTGAGCCACCGCGCCCGGCCGGTTTTGCTTAATCTTAAGATAAAACTTAGAAAATCAAACAATCCTCCATAAATACCGAGTTCCAACTGCAAAGATACTAGGGCAGCAGACAGTGTGAAGTGACAGTCTTTGGAAAAACTAATGGTAGCAAGAGCTGTCATTTACTCAGCACTGGGCTCGGAAGGTCTTTCAAATAGATGACTTCATTCGCTCCTCAAATCGATCTTGTTGAGACAGGTATCACCTGCATCTTCAAGGAGAGGATCAGAGGATGAAGCTCAGAGGACCTCTGCGTACAGACACAGACAGTAAGTGAGAGAGCCACAGAGCTGTCGTCATTCAACTGAGGTCGGACTGAGTTTCAAGCATACGCTGCATCCATACCACGCTGTATCCCTAAAGAGCATATATTCTTCACTGCGGTCCAAAAGTGACAGCCGTATGCTTCAAACTTACAATGAACTGATAGTAAGGCTGACCTCATTTTTTGGAAATTGAAGAGGATAATCAAAACAATTTCTTATATATATATCAGTTAGAGTAAAAGCGAAGCTGCTATAATAAAGAGACCCCAAAATACAACATGCTCAAGATGTTTCTCTCCTGCAGTCCAGAGAGGCTGGCCAAGCATCCTTGTTCAAAGTTTGTTTTATTCACTAGAGGAAGGAAAAGAGGAATTGAAGAGCAAATTATTTCCTTTTTGGTTCATGCCCTGGAAGTTTACGTATTATTTCTGTTCACATTCAAGTGACCACAACTTGCCCACATCTAGACACAAGGAAGGCTGGGGAAAATGTCTCTAAACGTGCCCATCTAAAACTTCTTTCAAAATGAAGATATGGGGAGAACGCATTCAGGGGGTTAGTTGACCATCTCTGGAACCAGTGGATGGCTGCCCACCTCCACACATAGATAAAAAATAATTTTTCTAAAACAAAACAGATACACATACAAATTTGGGTTTGTGTGTGACTTGAACAAACAATACATACATCAAGCCCCTGAGATTTGACTCTACAGGAATATGATGAAAATGATTTCAGCCAGAATTTCTTCAAGGGATCAAGATATCATCAGTTACCTGCTATAGCTACAGAAAAATCCTATTAACACTTGTACAGAATAACGAGCAACATACATCCCTGGTAACCCTTACAGAATGAATTTGTTATAAAATACGAACTTTTATACCTAATCTACCTTCGAATATAAGATGCACCATTATTTTATGCATCACTAAGAAACAAAAATGCTGCCAATTATACCATGATATATAGGCCATTGACTGTAAGATGCATGTCAATTTCAGAGATGTTAAAAATGGGAAAAATGTGCTTCTTAGAATAAATGAAATACAGCGTGCCCCTGAAGTAACAAATCAAACTGATTGACCCTATGAAATTACTGAGTAAAAACCAATTAGATAATGGAAGACAAATTGCCATAGTTGCTAGCAGGCCATTCTTTATGGTGATAATATAGATAAACATTATACTGAGGCCATACCTACACTTAATGAATTTTTTAAAACCTAATTCTATGGGAAAGACAGACAATTTCCTTCATAATACATTAATTACAGCATGCTAATAAGAAGTGCAGGGTGCTATGAGAGCACTTAAGAGGAAGGATTCTGGCTGGTCAGGAGGTCACAGATTTCCTGCGAAAGTGAGCTAAGTTCTGAAGGAGACCTGGTGGCACAACAGGGGACAACACGCATGAAAGTTCTACAGTGGGAAGGCACACAGGATGTTTGAGAAACGGCAAGATGATGGGGGGCCTAAAGGCTGCAGAGCAATGAAAGAAATGGCTACACCCAGTCTGGTGGGGAAGACTTAGGTTAAATTTTTTTGTCTTTATCTTCAGAGCAATGAGAAGCCAATGAAGAATTTTAAGCAAGGGAGTAACAATCAGTTATTGATGAGATCATTCTGGCTCCTATGTGGAATAGATTACAAGAAGGTAAGAGTGGACTGGTGGAAACCAATGCGTAGGCTACTGCAGTCAATATAAGAGTTTAGACTTGGTAGTTTAGATCTGGGGATGCAAAGCAGGCTTGAACACCATTCAGAAGACAAAATGAACAGAAGTGGGTGATGAATTGGATATGGGTATAAGGGAGAGGGAGGTGTCAAGAACAATCCGTAGGCTTCTCACCAGTGTGACTAAGTGTATGGTGGTCCGTTCACTAAGATAAACACTGGAGAAGGACACCTCGCGTTTGAGATGCTTGAAACATTAAACTGGGGAAGGGAGCTGAATGTAAAATTCCAGAGTTCACAGGAAAGATCCAGACTGGAGAAAAATTTCAGGAGATGTTAATGCAGAAATATAAATCAAAGTGAGGGTTATAGCTGAGATCAGGTAGGAAGGGAGTTTGAGAGTAAACAGGAAAGAGGGCCTGAGATGGGGGCTTAAGGAACAACAGCATATAAAGATCACGCCCAAGGGGATGATTCACTCATTCAAACATCTGTCCATTATTTGGGCATCATTTATTAATAACTGGCCACACAATGTGCCAGAGTTGATTTTAGGTATAAGGATATCCACTGACAA
Organism: Homo sapiens; assembly: GCF_000001405.40. Taxonomy (NCBI): domain Eukaryota; kingdom Metazoa; phylum Chordata; class Mammalia; order Primates; family Hominidae; genus Homo; species Homo sapiens. The sequence goes on along the minus strand of NC_000017.11, from coordinate 77,989,678 downwards.
GATACGTAAGATCCCTATTATCAAGAGCTTACAGTTAGTGGGTAAACAAATACAAACACAGGTAAATAAACAAAGTAATTTCAGTTTTTCATAAGTAATTTCCTAAGTACTATGAAGAAAATAAAGTTGGCATTGCAACTCAAATTCCATGACTGGCACTGATTAGCAGGTGAAGAGATTTCCCAAATGATGAATTAACTACTGAGCAAGTCCCAGACAAAGTACAACCTTCCCTGAATGTATATGACAGTTGCTTTTCAGAGTTTCCAGAAACTCAGCATATATTACAACAGCACAAAAAATTCTATACATGTAAAATAGGTTCTAAGCTTAAGTAAATTTTTCACCCAAATAATATCCAGAGCGAAATTCAGAAGTCATAACAGATGTACTAATAGTCTTACTTGCATGGAAGTAGGTCCAGGCACAGAATACCTAGGATCTCTGGCTCCTACCCACTAAATGCCATTGTGCCCAACTCGAATCACATGACATCCCTAAACAAAAGTCCATCCTTCCAAAGGTCTGCCAAGGGGCTGGTCCCTCCCTTCTTCAGAACTGCCACTTTAAGCCAAGAAAGTAACATTGTGTTAAGTGACACAAATTCCAAGAAATTCAGATGCTCTGAGGTCTACATACTCATGACTTCTAGTTGTAGATACTTCCACCCGGTGAAAATTCAATCTTTCATTCAATACATACTTATTAAGAGTGTACTATATGTGCCACATGATGTTCTAGGTCCCTGCTTTCGTGGAGCTTACATTTTAGAAAATGGCAGTAAACACAACTACTTGAAATGAAGATGATCCAGAATGTGGCTCTTACATTTTAAATCTATACACCCTTGCATCTCTCAGGTAAAAGTACACAAAGTCTCCTTGAACATTAATGTTATTTTCCCCACTAACTGTTCTTCATTTCTAGACACATGTACCATAACACAGAATTTAAACATTCAGCACCCAAAGAATGATGTTCAACACTGAAAGAAACAACTGCATAGTTTCAAATTCCACTGAAGCAGTTTTAAAATTTGAAAAACTGTTTGAAATACAAATAATAGCCCCTGGTGGTAAAAATGCTAATTATAACCAAACTTTTGTGGACTCTATGCTCAGATAAAAGAAGAGAAAAGCAAAAATGGAAGCTGTGAGTTTTTAACGGGAGGAATCATTAAAGTACAGGAATAATCTTCTGTGAGAACAGATTCACAGATGGGCAGATGAAGAGAAGAAATTCTGATGCTGGGAAGAAGATGCAATGGAAAAATAAATAGCTGGAAAATGTGTGTGTGTGTGTATAAAGAGATAGCGTCTCACTCTGCCACCCAGGCTGGAGTGCAGTGGTGCTATCAGAGTTCACTCGACCTCCTGGGCTCAAGTGACTCTCCCACCTCAGCCTCCTGAGTAGCTGGGACCACAGGCTACACCACACCCAGCTAAGTTTTTTAGTTTTTTAATTTTTTGTAGAGACAAGGTCTCATATTTTTTGAGACGGAGTCTCACCCTGTTGCCCAGGCTGGTCTCAAACTTCTGGCCTAAAGCAATCCTCCTGCCTTGGCCTCCCAAAGTGCTGGAATTACAGGCATGAGCCACTGTGCCTGGCCATAGCTGATAAATATTTCTAATTGGCACAGTACTGCTGGTACACAGTTGACCACCATCTTAATTTACACTCTTAAAAAATGCTTACTTCAGGCCGGGCACGGTGGCTCACATCTATAATCCCAGCACTTTGAGAGGCCAAGGCGGGCGGATAACTTGAGGTCAGGAGTTCGAGACCAGCCTGACCAACACGGTGAAACCCCATCTCTACTAAAAATATAAAAATTAGCCAGGCATGGTGGTGTATGCCTGTAATCCCAGCTACTTGGGAGGGTGAAGCAGGAGAATCGCTTGAACCCGGGAGGCAGAGGTTGCGGTGAGCTGAGATGGTGCTCGCGCCACTGCACTCCAGCCTGGGCGACAGAGAGAGACTCTGTCTCCAAAAAACAAACAAACAACAAAAAAACTCCACAAATACAATTTGTAATGACAACAAAATATTTTGTTGATGGACCATAATTTACTTAATTCCCCGGTTGCTTATTTAGGTGTTTCCATTTGACACTGTTTTTATCACTAATCCCCTTTGTTTATATTTGTTCTGTATTGGTGATTATTCCAGTTTGTTCTGTATTTGTGATTGTCTTAGGAGAGATTTCCAGAAACAGACTTCCTAAAACAAAAGGGTATAATTAAGGGTTTCATTATGAAACTGCTTCCAAAAGCATTTTAATAATCTGTAGTTTTATTAGCTGAATACAAGTGTGCTTATTTCACAACAATCTCATAAGCACTGAGTATTATAATTTTTAATCCTTGCTAATCTGATAAAGTATTTCAGTGGCCTTAATTTACAATTCTTTGACTATTAATGAACATATTTCCCCATATTTGTTATCCCACATGAATTTCATTTTCTGTACATTGCCTGTCTATATATCCTGGCCCGTCTCTTCAGTTCTTAGTGGGCTTCTTCATAATGAACTTATTAAGTTTATACATGTTAAATACATTAACCTTTAATCATGTTGCTGTAAACACTTCCCCCAGTTTTTGTCTGCCTTTTGTTTTTGGCATTCACCAAGTTTTAAACGCTAATCAAATTCTACCAAAAATTTTCATGAGATTTTACTTGTATTTGTAGGAACTATTCAAATTAGCTCTTTTTATTCTCTAGATTTCTTAAAATTTTTTCTATTATACAGATGATACTTCATTTAAAGTTTATTTTGGTATGTGGTAGACACTAGGATCTACCTTCTTTTCTGTAACTAACAGTGCCTGGGAGTCATTTAGTGCACGAGGACTAAATGATCCTTCCTGTCTCTGCTCATTTGTGACAATGGCTCTTCATACATCAAATTCATGTATAACAGATGGGCCTGAAGACCATTCTGCTCCATTAATAACTGCACGCTTCTGCCACAATGACACTATTTAAATTATTCCAGTTTCATAAAATTTTGGTTATCTGCTACCACTAGGTTCCTTTCATTATTTTTTTAAAGTATTTATTCTTTTATCCTTCCAGATAAAATTTACAACCATATTGTCATGCTCCAAAAGAAAAATACATTTTTTAAAAATTAGAATTGCTTTAAACATACAAATTAACTGAAAGCTCTGTAAGAATTAATTTTCCTATTTGAGAACATCTCTCCATTTTTTCCCTCTTTCAGTGAAATTGTCATTTCTTCTTCTTCTTTTTTTTTTTTTTTGAGATGGAGTTTCACTCTTGTTGTCCAGGCTGGAGTGCAATGGCGCGATCTCGGCTCACCACAACCTGTCTCCCGCGTTCAAACGATTCTCCTGCCTCAGCCTCCCAAATGGCTGGGATTACAGGCATGTGCCACCATGCCTGGCTAATTTTGTATTTTTAATAGAGACGAGGTTTCTCCATGTTGGTCAGGATGGTCTCAAACTCCCGACCTCGGGTGATCCGCCCACCTCGGCCTTCCAAGTGCTGGGATTACAGGTGTGAGCCACTGTGCCCAGCCCATTTCTTCATATTTATTTCCTGTACATGTTAAGCTCATGTCTAGGTATTTTATAATTTTTTTAAAATTGATTTTTATGTATTAGATCAAATATCCTGTGGATTGCCTGAATGGTTACTGATGGTAAGTATCTAGTCCAGTTACTGACTTATCTATACTGCATCAAATAATTTTTTAGCTTATCATCTTGGGTTTTCTGGGTATACAAGCTGTAAATAACAACCATTTTTCATGGCTTAATTTCTATTTCCTGTTTTGGTAGTCAGAATTCTAAGATTCCTCCTAAGATTCCTGGCCCCTGGGATACACATACCTTCCCCTAGTTAATCAAACACGAATGTAGGTACTATTTGCAGGGACTGTGCAGACGTTAATTCAAATCCCAAATCAGTTGACCTTAAGACAGAGAGACTATCCATCCAAGTAGGCCCGATTAACCCTTTAAATTTGGGTTTAGAGGTCAGAGACAGAGGACGTCAGAAGTTCAAAGTATGAGACAGATTCAACACAGTTGCTGGTTTTTTTTTTTTTTTGAGACGGAGTCTCGCTCTGTTGCCCAGGCTGGAGTGCAGTGGCGCGATCTCGGCTCACTGCAACCTCTGCCTCCAGGGTTCATGCCATTCTCCTGCCTCAGCCTCCCGAGTAGCTGGGACTACAGGCGCCCGCCACCACACCTGGCTAATTTTTTTTTTTTTTTGTATTTTTAGTAGAGACGGGGTTTCACCGTGTTAGGCAGATGGTCTCGATCTCCTGACCTCATGATCCGCCCGCCTCGGCCTTCCAAAGTGCTGGGATTACAGGCGTGAGCCACTGCGCCCAGCCTCACAGTTGCTGTTTTAAAGATGGAGGCTACAAGGCAAGGAACATGGGTAGCCTAGGAATTGAGAACTCCTCCTCTGACAGCTAGCAAGGAAACAAGGACCTCAGTCCTATAACCAAAAGAACTATGAAGGACTTATGAAGTAACACTGATCATGCTTTAAACCTCTTAAGTTTGTGGTAATTTGTTACGCAAAAACAGAAAATGAATACACCTGTCTTATTTAACTGGCGTAGCTTTAGACAGCAACGTTAAAGATTAAATAGTAATGTTGTTAGTAAGTCTTAGGGAATAGTCAGGAGCCAGAAACCATACCAATAACTAGAACAGGATAGAGTTAATATGAAGATGTGTTAACTAGTAAAAGGTGGTTATGTTTTTAGAGGGGTAAAAATAGTTCCTTATGGGGTCCAGAGAGAGCAAATGCAGAAAGTAGATACTTACTATAATAGCTCCAAGCTAAAAGAGTGTGTGTGTGTGTGTGTGCGTATAAGAGGCTAAGAACTCAGAGGAAGATCCCTCCACGCAGGACTGGAGAGGGCATGGCTGCCACAGAACACACAGCTAGAGAGTAGCAGAAAGACCTAGAAGAGGGAACAGGGAAGAGGTGGTCCACAGGAGGGCCCTACTGGGAGGCAGAGAAACTTCCTTGAGGGTACAGGTGGGCTGAGGCTGCTTCATAGGCACCACTGAGGTGAGCACTGCCAGGGCTCTCCTATGCCAGCCTGCTGACTGCTGCACCAAAAGCACACGCACTGAAGGAGGGAGTGGAGAGATACCCCCTACTTCTTTTTTTTGAGATAGAATCTAGCTCTGACATTTAGGCTGGGGTGCAGTGGTGCAACCACAGCTCACTGCAGCCTCAATCAAGCGATCCTCCCACCTTAGCCTCTGGAGCAGCTGACACTAATGCATGCGCCACCACACGTGGCTGTTTTTTTTTTTGTTTTTTTTTTTTAAGTATTGATGAGGTCTTGCTATGTTGCCCAGTCTGGCCTCAAACTCCTGGGCTCAAGCAATCCTGCCTCGGTTTCCCAAAATGCTGGGATTACAGGCGTGAGCCACCGTGCCTGGCTGGGAAGACCCTTTTCTCCTCTATTCCTCCTTACATTGTGTCTCCAGTGCTTCCATTGGCAAAGCCTAAAGTGAAGCCAGCTCACCAAAGGGAAATGTCTACAGTGCCCATCTCCTGTATCAAAAGCAGGGCATAAATGGATGTGGATTTACATAAACTGGGAACTGAGCAACAATAAATAATTGGCACAGTCCACCCCTTTGGCTACTTGGCTTCCATACACACCCTCTATATTTGAAGTATCAAAACAACTCTGATTCCACATGAAGGTAACATGCAGCTACCTTCCTATAAATGAACATGTTCTCACCTTCTCCCCAAAATGAGGAGCTGCAGTCCGAACAGACATTGTATTAATCACTGGCTATATTAATTACTCCTTAAAATTCAGTTAACAGTCCCACTAAATATTCTGTTCTCTAAAGATCAAATTAATTAACTTCCAGTAATTATATATAAAATAAGGGGGGAAAAAGCAAAGTTAATACATATAAACATACAGACACAAGAAAAAATATGCTAAGTTACTACAATCCTTGCTTCTGCACCTGGTTATGAACGCATGGATGGTGTCCCTAACTTTCTTCTCTCACTATGCATCCAACATGTCTTGTGACCTCAATTAGAACCTCAGCCAGTCAGGGTTCTCAACATGACAGGGTGACCTAAACCTTCATTCCTGAAACATGTGACTCCTCAACAGACCTGCCTTTTCTTGAGTACTGCAGTTTTTCATTTTGTCTCTAATATGGTGCAAAGAAGTACTAAGAGACACTCTAGAGAATCCTGAGTTACAAACATCCTCCTCCCTGCCCCCATTGTATAGCATTACCCCATTTTGCCTTGGTAATCAGAATTAAGCACTCTAGTCAGGAGAGTGACCTCTTTTCCTACCTGTTGGTTCAGTGGCATCAACAGTCCCAAATGGGTTATAGCCTCATCTTTCAATTCAATGGAACCTTTCTGTGTCCTCTGGTAGTAACATTCCCTATTGGAAAATAAGAACTCCAAATCCCAGCAGAACTCAGTTGCTAGAATGGGAAGCAGAAATTCTAGGGGTGGGTTATAAGGTATAACAGTAAGAGACTGCTTTCAGGGTTTTACCATTAAGTATAATATGAAAGTTGGTCTGTGAATTTACGCCATATTCAACAAATATCCTGCTCTCCCTAATTTGTGTATAATAGAAGAAATAGGGACACTGAATCTATCTTTTTGTCCTTTTGGTTCTGTTGGCTTTTGTCTTTTAAAGCTCTGTTATTAGGTGCATACATATTTCTTGGTGGATTGACTCATTTTTCATTACAAACTTTCCTTGTTTCTAGGGATGTCTTGCCTTAAAGTCCATTTTGTCTGTTACTACTTAAATTAACCATCTTACTACTTGTTTTGAACTTGTCCTTTTTTTTGACATGAAATCTTGCTCCGTCACCCAGGCTGGAGTGCAGTGGCACAATCTCGGCTCACTGCAACCTCTGCCTCCTAGATTTAAACAATTCTCCTGCCTTAGCCTCCCGAGTAGCTGGGACTATGGGCATGGGCCACCACACCCAGCTGATTTTTTATTTTTAGTAGAGATGGGGTTTCACCATGTTGGCCAGGCTGGTCTTGGACTCCTGACCTCAGGTGATCTGCCCGCCTCAGCCTCCCATAGTGCTGGGACTACAGGCATGAGCCACCGCGCCTGGCCTTGTTCCTCCTATTCTATGATCCTTTTTTCTTTTTTGTCTTTTTTTGGACAGTAAATGGTTTTTATTATTTTATTTCCTTTCTCCTTCTCTATTAGCTTGGTAGCTATAAATTCTCTTTCTATCCTTTTAGTGATTACTCTAGAGTTAATCAACTCAAGTTCTATGAAAGAATTATGTCCTGCAGAAAACATTCTGAGTGACTATTTTTTTTTTCAGTTCTTACAAGGCATTCTAAATGTAAAGAAGTTAATTCATAATATATAATAGATGCCTTAGCACAGATGTCTTAGTTCTGGCTGCTACTAACAAAAATACCATAGACCGGGTGGCTCACACAACAAACATTTCTCATAGTTCTAGAGGCTGGGTTCTATAGACCCTCCAAGACCAGGGTTCCATCATGGTCAAGTTCTGGTGAAGACCCTCTTCCTGGCTTGCAGATGGCATTCTTCTTGCTGTGTCCCCATATGGCAGAGAGTAGACAGAAAGAAGCAAGAACTCTGTGTCTCTAATCCCATTTGTGAGGGTTCCACCTTCACGAACTAAATACCTCCCAAAGGCCCCACCTCCTAACACCATCACGCTGGAGGTTAGAATTTCAACATACAAATCTTTGGGGAACACACACACTCAGTCCACAATACCTAGGGGTTGTCAAATCTCTTCTATCAAGGGCTAGACAATAAATGTAAGCTTTGTGGACCACAATGTCTCTGTAGCAGCTACTCAATTCTGGCGGTGCAGCATGAATCCAGCCATAGACAATATGTAAACTAACGGGCATAGCGGTGTTCCACCAATAAAACATTATTTACTAAAATAGGTGGCAGGCCAGATTTGACCCACAGGTTGAAGTTTGCTGTCTTTGAACATTATGATGTGATTCTCTCACCAAATGTGATTGAGAAGGACTACCCTAGATATTACTATCTCTGACTCATTAAAATCTAATATAAATTACAAAGACCTGAGGACATTTAAACTATATTTATCTTTGTAATATTGTGAAATATATATTTGGTCTTCGATCCTGCTTCCTGGCATATAATTCCTAAAATCCTTCCAAACTCCAAAGTAATGTCTTTTTGTATGCTAATGAGTTGACTGATAGCTGGCAGCCTCTTGTTAGCTTCAGGATGGGGGCTGGTCTCCATAAACACCAAGGCAGGATTAGAAGGTTAGGACTTTCAGCCCTACCCTCCAATCTCCAGGGAGGGTAGAGGGGCTGAAGGTTAAGTTGATCACCAATGGCCAATGGCTTAATCAATGATGCCTTCATAATGAAGTTCTCATAAAAACCCAAAAGGGGCTAGGAGCAGTGGCTCCCAGCACTTTGGGAGGCCAAGGTGGGACTAGTTTGGCCAACACAGTGGGACCCCCACCTCTACAAAATTTTTTTTAAAAAATTAGCCTAGCATGATGGTACGTGCCTGGAGTCCCAGCTACTCAGGAGGCTGAGGTGGGAGGATGGCTTGAGTCCAGGAGGTTGAGGCTGCAGTGAGCCGTAACTGCACCACTGCACTCCAGCCTGGACAATAGAGTGAGACTGCCTCCAAAACCAAAAAACCAAAAAACATAACAAAACAAAACAAACCCAAAAGGATTGGGTTTGGAGAGCTTCCAAATGCCCGAGCAAATGGAGATGCCAGGAGGGCGGTGCAACAGAGAGGGCATGGAAGCACCCACCCCCCATACCTTGTTCTAGGCATTTCTTCATCTGTTTCCTTCATAATATCCTTTGTAATAACCTGGTAAACGTAATTATTTCCCTGAGTTCTGTGAGCCACTCTAGCAAATTAACTGAACCCAAAGAGGGGTGGTGGGAATCCCAACTTGAAGCTAGTGGGTCAGAAGTTCTGGAGGCCCAGACTTGCAACTGGTGTCTCAAGGAGGGACAGTCCTGGAGACTGAGTCTTCAACCTGTGAGATCTGAGTTATCTCCAGGTAGATAATGTTGAAATGGAATTGGAGGGTACCCACCTGATATCCACAGCAGAACTCCTTGCTTGTTTGATGTGTGAGAAGAAACCCTCACACATTTGCTCACAGAAGTCTTCTGTGTTGAGACCGACCCAGCTGGTGTCCACTGCAGAACTGACTGCTTGCTTGGCACGTGGGGAGAAATCCACACATTTGGTCAAAGAAGTCCTCTGTGATGATCACTGTTGTAGAGTGAGAGCCGAGGAAAAATAACCTGTGTTTTTCCCCCATCAGAACTCTCTTCCAGCTTTCTGTGTTGCTGTTGCCATTTATTATTTTTACTTTAAAAATTTTTAAGTTCCAGGTACATGCGCAGGATGTGCAGGTTACACAGGTAAACGTGTGCCATGGTGGTTTGCTGCACCTATCAATATTTTTACTGTTTTACACAGTTCACATTATTTTAGATGTATTCGTCTATCTATCCTTTCCAGTGCTCTTTACTCCTTCCTGCATCTCCATGCTTCCAGCTGGGATAATTTTCCTTTTACCTGAAGAACTTTCTTTATAGTACCTCTAGTGTAGATCTGCTGGTGATGAATTCTAATTTTTGTCTGTCTGAAGATGTCTATATTCTCACTTCATTTTTGAAAGATATTTTTGCTTCATACAGATTTCTAGGTTGGCAGTTATTTTCTTACAACACTTTGAAGATATCGTTCCACTGTATTTTGATTTCCATTTCTTTGCAAAGTAGACTGTCCGTCTTTACTGCCGCTCCTTTGAAGGTAATGTATCTTTTTCCTCCTTTGGCTGATTTTAAGATTTTCTTTGTTTTGGCAATTTTTCCTCTCTTTTCCCTTTATTTTTGTTTTTTGGTATTGATTCTGCTTAGAGCTACAGTGATTCTCAAATATGCAAGTCTGTATTAGTTTTGGAAGATTCTCAAGTTATTATGTCTTTTACTATTGCTTCTGACCTATTCTTTCTCCTCTCCGAGATTCCAATTATAAGTATTTTAGACTTTTAACAGTGTCCCATTTGTCTCTTACATATTTTTCTTTTTCTTTTCATTTTCCATCCTTTTGTCTCTCTGTGCTTTGGTATGGATATTGTCTTCTGATCTATCTTCTAGTTTACTAATTTTTTCTTCAGCTAAGAATACTATTAAACCCTCCTGTTTAATTCCTAATTTGAGTTGCTGCACTTTTAAAAGTTCTTTTTAATTTTTAATTGATGCATAACAGATACACATACTTTCAGGATTCATGTGATAATTTAGTACATTCATATGATTTGTAAGGATCAAATCAGTGTAATTGGGATATCCATCACCTTAAATGTCTTTATGTTAAAAAATTCAAATTCTTCTCTTCTAGCTATTTTAAAATATACAAAAGATTATTGTAAACTATTGTCACCCTATATTGCACTTTTCAATTCCAGAATTTCCATTTAACTTTTTTAATAGTGTCCAGTTCTTTCTGAAATCCTCCATTTGTCACTTAATTTACTAAACATATTTATCAACATTACCTTAAGGTCCATGTCTGATAACCCTAATATCTAGATCTCCTGTGGGTAACCTTATCGCCTGCCTCTTTTTATATGCTTAGTTTTTGACTGAATGTTAATCTTGCATGCACAAAACTGTGGAGATAGGCTGAGGCTGTGAATGTTACCTTCCTCTAGAGAGGATTTAGTTTTGCTTCTGACAAGCATTTAAGAGCAAGGGTGAATCACTTTAATCTATTTCAGCCAATTCAAAACTAAGTTTTTGTGTTTTGTGAGGGCTGGATTTCAGGAAAATTTTTAGGTTCACCATACACCTAGGGTAAAAAGTTGGGGTTTTTAGGGGGTAAGAAGGGTGGTTCCAACCAAAAGCCTGGGATGTTTACCAGGGTCTGTCATCCCTGAACTCCCGTTTTTGTGACCCCCGCCTCTGACATCTATTGAAAACTCTGCTTAGCTGCTCAACCTCAGCTTTTTGTTCAGGTTTTCAGTCCTAGCACTGAAGCTGGCAAATGCTTCTGAGGGGTCATGTGGCACCAAATGTTTATTCTGCCTCTTTAGACCTCCCTTCTCTCTAGGATCTTGGCCTCAAAGTCTTCAGTGTCCTAGTAGCTTCTAATACCTTCAAACAGTTGCTTTTTATTATTTACCTAAGCATTTTAGTTCCCGGCGGCAGGGTTGGTCTGACACTGGCTAGTCTGTCTTAGCCAGAAGCAGACACCCAAAATAATACTGAGCTTTACTATATGACCTTACAGGTAGCAAGTGAGATAATCTTATGAATTTACTTCCTTGATCTACCAATGTGGAGGAATATTAGTAGAGTTCTTTGCATTCTAAAGATAAGCCTTACTTCTACTATTCTATTGTTTTAATATGCTGTTGCATTTGTCTCAAATTCTCTTTAGAAAGAGGTTTTAGGCCGGGCGCGGTGGCTCACGCCTGTAATCCCAGTACTTCGGGAGGCTGAGGCGGGTGGATCACAAGGTCAGGAGATCGAGACCATCCTGGCTAACATGGTGAAACCCCGTGCCTACTAAAAATACAAAAAAAATTAGCTGGGCGTGGTGGCGGGCGCCTGTAGTCCCAGCTACCCAGGAGGCTGAGGCAGAAGAATGGTATGAACCTGGGAGGCAGAGCTTGCAGTGAGCCGAGATTGCGCCACTGCACTCCAGCCTGCACGACAGAGCGAGACTCTGCCTCAAAAAAAAAAAAAAAAAAAAAAGAGGTTTTAAAGAAAAAATACTGATACTGATGAATTACACTTTCTGGTAAATTATTTTAAGAGTCTCACATACACTTATGTGACAAAAATCTAAAGTTAGATATTTGCCTATCATTTTTTGTGTCTTTGGTATGTTAGCTTCATAAAATAAACTGGAAAGCTGTCCCTGTTTTTTAAGTTCTTAGGCAATTTACATAGTAAATATTAAAAGCATGAAAGGTTGAAAAGGAGAAACTTTTTGGAGATAATTCTTTTATAATTAAAATTTCTTTCTTGTTTTATTTAGGTTTTCTGAATTCTCAAAGGGATCTGGGACTACTTAAAAGATCCTATCCTAGCACATAGCTAGGGCTTAATAAATGCTGGTTCCCTTCTGAACTAAAAAGTTGTCTTTTTGTTTTGCAACATATCATAAAAAATATCTACCACTTCGGAGACAAGGAGTTCCTTTTCATAACCCAAAGCTTTAACTACTGGAGATTAGGGGTCTAGCAAAGATACTAGTGGAAATGAAAATGATACATTAATGCTCTTCATATTTTCCCCATCACTCCTATCTCATCAAACTTTGTAGAGAAAATTTATACCAGCAGAAGTCAATACAGAAATCTACTACATATGAAGATTTATTCAATTAATCAAGCTATATTTACTAAATACATATGTATAAATCAATACACACAGCTAAGTTTTATGAAAAGATAAACTAAACATGAATCCTGCCTTCAAGGAGTTTATAATCTAGTAGGAGAAAGAAAACGTATATATAGTAATCATTATAAAAGTTAGAAAGTCTAAGTACCATAAAATAGATACCATCTGGAAACATTTATCATATAATGATTAATACAATTTGTACACAAGTAGCAACATGTTAAGCATTCTATTTTTTTCCTCTTTAACATACCTGTAAAATGAAGGGGAAACCAAGTTTTTTTTTTTTTTTTTTTTTTTTTTTTTCTGAGATGGAGTCTTGCTCTTGTCGCCTGAGCTGGAGTGCAATGGTGCAATCTTGGCTCACTGCAACCTCCACCACCTGGATTCAAGCAATTCTCCTGCCTCAGCCTCCCCAATAGCTGGGATTATAAGCACCTGCCACCACGCCCAGATAATTTTTGTATTTTTAGTAGAGATGGGGTTTCACCATATTGGTTAGGCTGATCTCTAACTCCTGACCTCAGGTGATCCACCTGCCTTGGCGTCCCAAAGTGCTGGGATTACAGGCATGAGCCACCGTATCCGGCCCCAAGTTTTATATATGAAGTGACTTAGTGACTATATATTGCTTAGGTATCTGATCTTACCAAATAAAGTTTTACCTGAATAGCTGACTTCAGCGATGAAGAATCCAACACCACATTAAGATAATACCACAGGAGACAAATTTATAAGCATTTCTGGAACCCTAACTGGGGCTACTGTGTGTGAAATACAGTAAACTGAACTGACAATCTGATCATCACAAGAACAAATCCTAATAGTCTTCACAAAGAATATGAATTCAATCTCTATCCCACATCTTTTGCTCAATTTTATATGCTAGCATTTGTAGATGTTTTCAGGGCAAAACAACCTCCCTCACCCACCTTATAAAACATACCAAAATGATTACTATAGTCATGTCTATGATAGGGTTAAATTTGACTCACTTCTTTGAAATTACAGAAACGTATACACAAATATGTAATTAAAGAGCAAATGTGTGATAGTGAGAAACAGACTACGCAGGGCTGAATATAAGGAAGATAACATGAGCCTACAATGTGAGAAACTTACATACTATCTCATTTAATTCTTACAATAATCCTGTAATAGTATATATTATTATTCATTTCTTCTAGCTGAGCAAACAAAGGCTCAGAGAAAATAAAAATTAAACCCAAAGTCACCTAGCTAATAAGTGGCATTCCTAGAAATCTAGCCCAGAGTTGACAACTCACTCTAAAGACCATGATCAGTTGAGAAAGTTTTATAACACCATGGAATGAGAAAAATAAAGACGACCTACATTTTTCATAAAGATGCATTTATTCAATTTATAGGATTCTCCTATAAGATGGTATCCTTTCCACTTCTTTGCATGAGAAAGTCCTTTACTTTATAAAGTAATGATAAAAGTATATCATGGTACTTTTTATTCAAGTCTTATGTGGCAAGAGTAAAAGATGGCAACTGTAAATTAGTTTCCACTTCTGTTGTTGAACCTTTACTCTTACATGATGTCCCAAAGCCTCATAATCACAATGCTATTTCATATTTTCAAAAGACCAGATTTTACCCAAAAAAGAAAAATGTTTGATTAAATATTTAAGAAATGATTACCTTCCTACATGAATGACAAATATTTTTAAAACTGCTATGTGTAGCTGCCTTTATAGGCAAAATTATAAGGGAGGTCTCCCCATTCCCTCCACCACCATCTTTCCACCAGTTGCCCAGTTTTAACAATTTGGCTTCTTTCTCCCTCCAGCACACTGCATCTGCCCTCCCACCAGCACATTTCAACACTCAACCTCAGTGGATATGCTCATTATCTTGACTGTGGCTGTAGTTTCACAGATATATATGTATATCAACATTTATTGAATGTTATACTTTAAATATGTGCAGTTTAATGTATATCAGAAAAAAACCTTAATACAGATGCTAAAAAAAAACCTCCTAAGGTAATAACGTATTTGATTCTTTTGATGTACATTATTATTTTCACCACCTGAAGGTATTTACACCTGTTTTCATGGCCACCAGCAAAAGATGCATGGAAGAATTTTTTTCCCCCCATACATGAGACTTAAAGAAATTTCTTTTCTCATCCTCCTCAGTATCATATTTAAGTTTTCTCAACTGAATGTTTCTTTTTTAATCTGGCTTATTTCTTTCTTTGATTACTAGAAAGATACATTTTAAAGATGTTTGTTTACAAATTTGTTTTGCAAATTGTTTTTTCCCTTGCTCATTTACCTATGGCAAAAGGCATGGAATTAGTTTTCTGCAAAACCTGGGTTTGAACCCAGGACTACCTGATCTTGGGCAAGTCACACTGCCTCTTTAGGTCTCTGTTTTCTCCTCGGTGAACTCTACAGAACTGTGAATTTTGAACAGACTCAATGAGTTAAGATTTGTTCTTGGAAACATAGCAGAGAAACAAGACATAATACCTGTTAATAGCACTGTTGTTGCTAATCTATTATCACCCTGACTACACATAACATTGAATAACAATGGTAATATAAACCCAAAACGAAATGAACCAAAAACATACACAAGTAGGGTGCAGTGGCACGTGCCTGCAGTCCCAGCTACTCTTGAGGTTAAGGTGGGAGGATCTCTCAAGCCCAGGAGTTCAAGGGCAGCCTGGGCAACACAGCAAGACTCCATCTCTCCCTCTTACTTTTTTTTTGGGGCGGGGCGGGGGTGGTAATGAAAGAGGGGACATGACTGCTGATTTTACAGGAATTGAGGTAGGTACCATAAACAACTTTATGCCAACAAAAGATGATTTAGATGAAAGTACAAATTCCTAGGAATAGACAAATTAACAAAATCAATGCAGGAAAAATGGAAAATTTGAATGGACACATAGCAAGAAATCTCATCTGTTTATCAGCTATTTGTATATCTTTTTTGGTGACATGTGTATTGAAATCCTTCGCCCATTTTAAAATTGGGTACTTTGTCTTATTATTAAGTTACGAGAGCTCTTTATATATTCTGAATACAAGTCCCTTACTAGCTTTATGATTTGCAAATATTTTCCTTCAGCCTGTTTTAACTTTTCATGTTCTGTTTTACCTCCATTCTTTTTCTTTCTTTCTCTCTCTCTCTCTCCCCCCTCCCCCTCCCTCCCTCCCTCTCTCCAGGTCTTTTTGCATTTCTGCATAAATTTTAGAATTGGCCTGTCAATTTACAAACAACAACAACAACAACAACAAAAGCCTTCTGGGATTTTGATAGAGATGCATCAAATCTACAGATCAATCTAGGTAGAGTGCCAGATTAACAATATTGTGTTTTCCCATCCATCAACACAGAATGTCTCTCCAATTATTTGGATCCTCTTTAATTTCTCTCAGCAATGTTTTTGCAGTTTCGGTGTAAACATCTTCACTTCTTTTGTAAATTTATTCCCCAGGATTTAGTTGCTTTTGATGTTATAGTGAATGAGTTTTCTTAATTTCATTTTCAGATTGTTTACTGCCAGCATCAAGAAACACAAATGATTTTCAAACACTGGTCTTGTAAGCTGTGACCTTACTAAACTTATTTACTAGTTCAAGTAACCTTTCTTGTGGATTCCTAAGGATTTTCTATACACAGGGTTATGTCATCTGTGGATAAGGACGGTTTCACCGCTTCCTTTCTAATCCAGGTGCCTTTTATTACTTTCCCTTACCTGACTACATAGGCTAGAAGCTCTAGATCAGTGCTGAATAGCATTGAACTGATATTCTTTTTTTCCCAGTTTTGGAGAGAAAGCATTCCGTCATTCACTCTTCCGTATAATATTACTGTGTTTTGTATGGTTTTTCATATATGTGCTTTTTATCAAGTTGAAGCAGCTCTCTTTTATACCTAATTTGTTGAAAGTTTTTCTCATGAAAGAATGTTAGATTTTGTCAAATGCTTTTTCTGCATTTATTGAGATGATCATGTGGTTTTGTTCTTCATCTATTAATATGGTGTATTGCCCAGGCGTAGTGGCTCACGCCTGTAATCCCAGCACTTTAGGAGTCAAGACGGGCGGATCACCTGAAGTCAGGAGTTCAAAACCAGCCTGGCCAACATAGTGAAACCCCGTCTTTACTAAAAATACAAAAATTTAGCTGGATGTGATGGCAGGCGCCTGTAATCCCAGCTACGCAGGAGGCTGAGGCAGGAGAATCGCTTGAACCTGGGAGGCGGAGGTTGTGGTGAGCCGAGATCGTGCCATTGCACTCCAGCCTGAGAGAGAGTTGCGAGACTCTGTCTCAAAAAATAAATAATTTATGATATTATTATTTATGATGTTATTGGCTCTGGCATCGTGGTAACATTGCCCTCACTGGATCAGCTGGTAAATGTACCTTCCTCTTTTAATTTCTGGAAATGTTTGTGAAGGCTTGGTATTAGTTCTATGTGTTTGACAGAATTCACCAGTGAAGACAAAATAACCTGGATTTTCTTTGTGAGAAGATTTTAAATTACTAATCCAATTTCTTGCTATATGTCCATTCAAATTTTCCATTTTTCCTGCATCAATTTTTGTTAATTTGTCTATTCCTAGGAATTTGTACTTTCATCTAAATCATCTTTTGTTGGTATAAAGTTGTTTATGGTACCTACCTCAATCGCTATAAAATCAGCAGTCATGTCCCCTCTTTCATTCTTTTTTTTTTTTTTTAAGACAGAGTCTTGCTCTGTCTTCCAGGCTGGAGTGCAGTGGCGCCATCTGGGCTCACTGCAACCTCTGCCTCCCAAGTTCAAGTGATTCTCCTGCCTCAGCCTCCAGAGTAGCTGGGATTACAGGTACCTGCCATCATGCCCAGCTAATTTTTGTATTTTTGTAGAGATGGGGTTTCACCATGTTGGCCAGGCTGGTCTTGAACTCCTGACTTCAGGTGATCCTCCCACCTCGGCCTCCCAAAGTGATGGGATTTCAGGAGTGTGCCACCGCGCCTGGCCCTCTCTTTCATTCTTGATTTTAGTAACCTGTGTCTCCTCTAGTTTTCTCTTGGTCAGTCTAGCTATGGGTTTGTCAATTTTGTTGATCTTTGCAATTATCCAGCTTCTGATTTTACTGATCTTCTCTATTGTTTTTATGTTTCTATTTCTTTGGTTTCCACTCCAATCTCTACTTTTTTTTTGTTTGTTTGCCATCGGTTTAGTTTGTTCTCTCTAGATTCAGAAGGTAGAAGCTTAAGTGACTGATCTGTGATCTTTCTCCTTTTCTAATACATATTTAATACATTTAAAGCTATACATTTCTCTCCTAGTACAGTTTAGTTGCATCATGTCAATTTTGACATGTTCTTTTTTTTTTTTTTTAACTCACTTAAAAATATCTTCTAATTTTCCCTTGTGAGCTCTTCTTTAACCTATGGGTTATTCAGAAATCTCTTACTTAATTTCTGATGGACATACATGGAGTGAAAGAGAGAAGTCAATGGGGACTCCAAAGTTTTTGAGTGGAGCAACTGGAAGGATGGCAGTGCTTTTCAGTGAGTGGGAAGGAATGCAAGCAGAGCAGATTTTAATCTCTGGAAATGTTTGTGAAGGCTCGATATTAGTTCTATGTTTGACAGAATTCATCAGTGAAGACAAAATAACCTCCTGAGGTTATTTTGGGGCAAGAACAGGGGTGCAGTTCTGGATCTGTTCAGTGGAAATGCCCATTAAAAAGCCATCAAGATGTGGAACAGGCAACTGGATATGGAAATATTGAGTCTGGGGAGCAGTCTAGGTTGGTGTCTTCAGTGCGTATGTGGTATTTAATGTCACAGGACTGAATGAGATGACCAAAGGAATGAATAGAGAAGAGAAAGTTTATCATGAGAGAAGTCAGAGAAGGGTTCATAAAGGAGACTGGTTTCATGTTAGCTATTTTAGGAAATTTAGAATTTGATCTGGCAAAGACAGAAACCAATTCAAGCACTTTATCACCCAAGGTGTGAAATAAATGTTATTACAAGACACCTGTAACTAATGCATGTGTTAATGATACCACTAATAGATTAATTTAGATAACAAATTCCAGAGACTTGGGTCTCAGATAGACATTTTACAATATGGATATGTGAGGCTTATTTCATATATCTTTACTAAAATTATAACATCTTTACATTGCCCGTGTTACTAAAACAAGAATTTTATACCCCCCACCTACTTTTTTCTTTTCTTTCTTTTTTTTTCTGAGACAAGGTCTATCACCCATGCCAAAGTGTAGTGGCAGGATCGTAGCTCACTGTAACCTTGAACTCCACAGCTCAAGTGATCCTCCCACCTCAGCCTCCTGAGTAGCTAGGACTACAGGTATGTGCCACCATGCTCAGCTAATTTTTTCATGTTTTAAAAGACAAGGGTCTTGCTGTGTCGCCCAGGCTAGGCCAATTACCTGCTTTTATCTATACCAGGGGTGTCCAATCTTTTGACTTCCCTGGGCCACCTTGGAAGAAGAAGAATTGTCTTGGGCCACACATAAAATACACTAACATTAATAACTGATGAGCTTAAACACACACATACACACACACACACACAAATCTCATAGTATTTTAAGAAAGTTTATTAATTTGTTTTGGGCCGCATTCAAAGCTATCCCGGGCTGCAGGTTGGGCAAGCTTGGTCTATACCCATATGACTCTATACCAGTCTCAGTCATTTAACATATATCTCTCCTGAAAGTTGTGATATCAAAGTAAAGCAGCAGCCAGGTGAGGTTGCTCACACTTGCAATCCCAGCAACATAGGAAGACCCTGTCTTTACAAAAACAATTTTAAAAATTAGCCAGGCATGATAGTGCATGCCTGTGGTCCCAGCTACTTTGGAAGCTGAAGTGGGAGGACTGCTTGAGCCTGAGAGGCTGAGGCTGCGATGAGCTGTGACTGTACCACTGCACTCCAGCCTGGGCAACAGAGTGAGAACCTGTCTCAAAAAGAACCAAGAAACAAAACAAAATGTAAAGAAGTAAAACTGTTATCCTTCCAACTGGAAAGCCAAATAATGAAATACGCTTAGCCCAAACCAGGTGTCTGAATCTGCTTACAAGTCTTTTCAAACTTTTTGTGTTGAAGAACCAGAAGAAAGATATAATGCAGAAGAAAAATGGGTCAAGTGAGGGAAATTGCTTTCCAACTGAGATTTGAGATTGAATAGGAAGTAGCTGAATTAAATGGAAGAAAGACAGTTATCATCCATTCATATGCTGCTCTTACATGAGTTATCAAAGGCAGCTTACTTCTAGCTTACCCCATTAACTAAAGCATTCTAGTTTCAAGGTGATACATTTTTTTCAGAACTGTCTTCTCACCTTTTATAATTTAGATAAAAACTAGAGTCCCTTTAAGTGGGCTTAATTTTTTCAGTAATGTTAATTTTCAAATAGTGCTCCAAGGAAAATTTGCTGCTATGGCAGGAAAAATAAAGGAATCCGTGAGATCTCTGCTTGTCTCCCAGGCACACTGCTGCCTACACTGCATTCTAGATGCCAGAGTTAGAAATCAGAGAGAAAAGAACATCAGGCTTTTCAAGTATAAATAACGATTCTTATAAACACATAAACGTTAGTTTTCTCTTAATAGGTCAGATGCCACAGATCAAATTTGAGGTCCCAAAGATCTCTCAGATTTTTAAAGATAATGGAAATTGCCGGGCGTGGTGACTCACGCCTGTAATCCCAGCACCTTGGGAGGCTGAGGCAGGTGGATCACCTGAGATCAGGAATTCGAGACCACCCTGGCCAACATGGTGAAACCCCGTCTCTACTAAAAATACAAAAATTAGCTGGGCATGGTGGCGGGCACCTGTAATCCCAGATACTTGGGAGGCTGAGGCAGGAGACTCGCTTGAACCCAGGTTGCAGAGGTTGCAGTGAGCCGAGATTGCGCCACTGCACTCCAGCCTGGTGACAGCGAGACTCTGCCTCAAAAAAAAAAAATTTATTAAAGATAATGGAAATTATACTACCTCAGTCAGTCTGAATGAGGTAGTGCAATAGAGCGGTGAGGAGCACAGCCAATGGAATTAGGTGACCTGGCTTCTTCAGAGTGCCTCAGTGTTCTCCTCTTATTAAGGAGAATAAATGAAATAACATATTAAGTGCTCTGTACTTGGCACATGGTAGGCACTCAATAAACTGCCAGTATGAAGTCTGGAATCCTTTCACCAGCTGTGGGCTGGTATCTCAACGCTAACAGGCTTAGCGTCACAACAGTACACAGAATGAAAGAACGCTGTGTTCACCCTGTTGCCTCAAACCAGGTCTCTCTCTACTCCCAACTCTCAAGTGCAGTTTCAGGAGGGCAAGTGGGAAAACAGGGGGGAAAGGTTGTGGGAAAGACAAATAAAAAGTAAGAGAAACTAATGAGAACTTTTGTGAGTGTTCCTAAAGGCTGAATTTTTAAACTCACGTTCACTAATTTAAGATTTAGTTGGAAAATCACAAGTTAAAGAGAACAAACCATTTTCTGAAGACTTAAGATCTACCCAATCAAAATTCTGCCATCCAAGGCTAAATAGGCATGTGCATAAGCTATTTAAATAACTACATCTCGGGCCGGGCACGGTGGCTCACGCCTGTAATCCCAGCACTTTGGGAGGCCGAGGTGGGCGGATCACCTGAGGTCAGGAGATAAGAGACCATCCTGGCCAACATGGTGAAACCCTG
The DNA here is from genome assembly GCF_000001405.40 of Homo sapiens. Classification (NCBI taxonomy): domain Eukaryota; kingdom Metazoa; phylum Chordata; class Mammalia; order Primates; family Hominidae; genus Homo; species Homo sapiens. The sequence continues at coordinate 77,968,529 of NC_000017.11, read as the reverse complement.
TCTCTACTAAAAATACAAAAATTAGCTGGGTGTGGTGGCGGGCGCCTGTAGTCCCAGTTACTTGGGAGGCTGAGGCAGAAGAGTCGCTTGAACCCGGGAGGCGGAGGTTGCAGTGAGCTGACATCACGCTACCGCACTCTAGTCTGGGCGACAGAACAAGACTACGTCTCAAACAACAACAACAACCCACTACATCTCAGCCAGGCGCGGTGGCTGACGCCTGTAATCCCAGTGCTTTGGGAGGCCGAGGTGGGCGAATCACGAGGTCAGGAGTTTGAGACCAGCCTGGCCAACATGGTGAAACCCCATCTCTGCTAAAAATACAAAAAATTAGCTGGGCGTGGTGGCAGGCACCTGTAATCCCGCCTACTCAGGAGGCTGAGGGAGGAGAATCGCTTGAACCTGAGAGGCAGAGGTTGCAGTAGCTGAGACCATGCCACAGCACTCCAGCCTGGGCAACAGAGCGAGGCTCTGTCTCAAAATAAGAATAAGAATAAGAATAATAAGAATAATAACTACATCTCAAATTTTTATAAAGTAACCTTTAAAGGAGTACTGAAATTATGAGTAAACATAAATTGATTTCAAGAAAAAGAATACTGACAATCTCTTTTTAAAAATCCTCTTATTTCCAGAGAGTTTTCCCTAAAGGAGGGCGGGATATAAGTCTATCCAGAATAATGCTAACCAGACATTCTGGCTTGGCCAGAATAATCTCATTAGTCATAACACTCATTTTTCCAATGGGCTAGTATCTAAAGACCATCATCAAATCTGTGAAAGACAAGCCAGGAATTACCTTGTAATTGATCTATCATACCTACAATTTTGTTGTGCATGAGAAGCGTCACACATTGTTTTTTCATGATTGGGTCAGTGGCACTTATTGGCAGTGCCCAGAGGCCTCAGGAAAAGGAACTAGCCACTCCTTCAGGTACCCTACAGAAAACAGTAGTGCAGGGAGCCCCTATGATGACTGTTCCTCACCTGTCAGCTTCCCAATTCCCCTCAAATCTGCAGATACAGCCCCACGTACCAGGCTTACTAGTTGAAAACACAGTTGATCGTTATTCTAAAAGATTAAAAACCGAAGAAACATGTTCAATTATCAATCTTCTCTCCCCCCCCGCATGACTTGTGGAAGCAATATCTCTGAAGAAACAGATGATTGTTATCTAAATATCTTCAAAATACTATAGACGATGTAGGGATTACAAAGATGAACATGTTATTATCCCTGCTAATAAGTAACTCAAATCTTAAGAAATTATCATGATAATGAAGTTTTTTTTGCAAAGCATTAATCTGCAAGGAAATGTGCTGAAATTTAAAGTCTAAAGTTGATAGAAAAGAATAAATAACAATGCTCAATTAAATGCCACACTACATATACACAAAAGTCCAACAGTGGCTAAGATCCTCATTCATCACCTGACTGATAAAATAAAAAATATTTTTATCTGTTTTAAAGTTTCCCCACTCTACAGGAGTAAAAAAGAATCTATTATTCCTTAAGTTTAAGGAATCTCTTAAGTTTACCTAAAATTTAAAAATTCTAGTAACTTCAACACAATTACTAATGCTGCTATTCTATTTATGTAATGATTTGATCTTATGCTTCCTTGAAACATTAAAGATTTTTGTTTTCTCTTCTTTCCTGTCAACATTCCATATGCATAAAATTTACTATATACCTGGGACTGTTATATAAGATCTAGGTCAAGAATTTTTTTATGGGTATGGCCCTAAGAAAATCTGATTTCATTGAGAGTATCCACCATAATTAACAGCAGACGTCTATTATTACATGGCTCATCACATACTTGGATTTATGCTGTGAGTCAAATCTCTACTGCAGAACACAACCTCATACAATAAACTCGCCTAAAACTACTATCTTGTGTGTCATCTTTCCCCATCAGCATCTAAAAAGAATGTACTATGTGTATTTAACCAAATATCTTAATATTAGCTTCATTAATTTAAAGCCTCTGTGGCAGATTCTAGGAAGAGCAGTAAGTACCCTATGCCTCTTAGAACTCATTCTTTCCAACAACCCACGTCAATCATTTTGTATTATTTTATCCTGCTGATTCTTTGTAACAGCTTTTCAGTTTGACCCTACCAGTATGTAGGCATCACCTTGCACAGACAGCTACAACAGCCAGTTTTAACACCATACCTCTGCTCAAGGAAGATTCTAATCCAACACCTGATTCATGTCATGCCCACCAACAGCCACCAACGGTTCCTAAGGAGCCAACAACTAGAGGTTCCACCTGATAGAGCCCCTTCTAAACCTTATTGCCAACACAGAACCTCCATTTACAGCTAGGCCTCTGCACTCATCCAGTCAATAACTATATCCCGTCCCTACTATGTCTCAGCCATTATGTTACGCGCTTTACAAAATATTTCCAAACATGGCTTGCCCATTCGTCTCCTTGTAGAATATCCCTTTCATCCAACCAAGCTTTGCCAGCCTTTCAGAACTCATTTCAAGTGAAGTCTTGCCTAACCACTGCAGCCCACAGGCCCTCTCTGGGGATGACCAGGCACTCTTCCTTTCTGAATTTGTTAAAGTCAGTCCCACTGAACTAAAAAGTGGTATGAAGGGAAAACAATGTTCAATGGCCACATAAGTTTGGGAAATACTGGGCCAATAAAGGTAAACATATTTCTTTCACTGCTGGAGTTCTCAGAGCATCCAAAATTTTGACATGCGTCCTTAAGAGAGGAGATCCAGTATACAGCTATATAATGATCTATTACCTTAGGTTTTTGTCAACTTTTTAATATGTGTATGTGGCGTTCTTCACATGTATTGCTTTCTCTCTTTTTTTAACAACTTGTTTGGTGCCCATTTCTCTCACTATACTAGTAAGACAGCTCCAGGAGGGCAGGAAGAAGTTGATGTCCTTCCCCTGTGGCCGCTGCACAGGGAAGACATAAAGGTTTTGTGGAAGGAATGATGTAATCAGGCTCAGGCTTCAGAAGGCAGCACAGCGGAATGATAAAGAGCTCAAGCTCTGGCTTCCAAGGACCTAGACACATTTATTAAGGCTCTGATTTGGGGCAAATTATTCAACTTCCATCAGTTTCAGCTTCCATGTATAAAGTGAATATAATCACAGCTCCTAACTTATAAGCTGCTGAGGAGAAATGAATGAGATCATACACACAAAGTGCTCAGAAGGCAGTCAGTTAATATTGGCAGCTGGATAGCAGGACACAGAACAGAGGAAGAGACTCATTAAGCAGCTATTAAAATAATCCAAGCTTTTTCCATATGTGAGGGCTTTGAAGTGTATTGAGTTTAAATTCTGGCTTCATCTCCTATAAGCTATAGGATCTTGTGGAAATTACTCCCTTTGCTCATCTGTAAAATGGGAATGTTAAAAGCAACCACTTCACAGGAGTGTTGTGAGGATTAAATAAGATAAACTCATGTCCTTGGCACATAATCACATTGTAAATGCTCAGATTAGTTTTAAATGGAGATCTGGTTACCTAAGGATGCTTTCTAACCTCGTCCACTCCCACTTCACAATTCCCAATTGTCCTCAGTGACTCAAATGTACTTGTTCCCACAAATCCATCACCTTCTTCCCTTACTGTGCCTCCCTACCAAAAAAGACCTTGTTTAAGACATCAGCCATAGCCCCCTGAAGAACAAAGCCTATTAAATTCCCTCCCTACACTCTGGGCCCCTCACTCTGCACTTCATATTTCATATGGAGTATGAGAAAAAATACTTGTGCATCTCCCTCCTCCCCACTGTAATTTCTGAATAACCGTTGTCCACATCATCTCAACAACAGTTGGAAAGGTGACACCTGTGCCCGCGTTGCCATTTCCCAGTTTCAGATCTTAGTTTAATTCCCAGTTGCTATTTTCACTGAGATTTTCCCTGCTTCCTAAAAGAGTAATTAAAAAGAAATGATCTTTGGGAATAAAAAAGTAAACAATATCTTTGCCAGGCTCAAACCAAGCACTTGATTTTAGCTGTGAGAGATCTTATTCTTAATAAGCTAGAAGGCACACATAAAATGAATCAAACAAAGCACATATTCCCAATAACCACCTGGGCACCAACTTGCATCTGGTATTAGCCACGTCAAAAGACAGTCTGCACATTAGTAAAGGACTCAACCACAGACAAGAGTTATCCAACTGCTGAGAATAATTCAACTTGACACTGTGATACTATAGGTTTGTAGTTCAATCCTTCAGAGAAGGAAGTTATAAAGATACAATAGAGTATTAATTTCTAAAATGGTCTGAAGAAGAAAAACAGAGAGGGTCTTCAGAGTAAACCATTTGGATTTATACAAATAGATGCCAGTCACACTCTTCTTCATTTTTGTGCAAAAAAATTAAAAATTTGTTATGCCAAAAAGGTTCATGAGAAAGTGGAAACTGGGCCAAATTAGACCAATCCATCCCACAAAATATCTGGAAGATTCCAGATGACTCTTTGGGCCATGTGCACTGTGTGTGGCCCAGTGATCATATGGGTCTTAGGGCAGTGGTTCTCCAACAGAAAAGAAGTATTGCAACAAAGAGGCAAATAAAGAGGAAGATGGTGGGACAGACAACTCTTATTTCCTAGACACCCCTTATTTCCTAGAGCAAACATTTAAATCCACTGGCTTACAAGAGGAATATACTTAAGAAGCTATATTATTGCTCATCCTTAATCACTACTATATTTTAGAAAACCAAAGTTCCAATGCATAGCTGGAACTCAGAGAGACACAGAGAATATTAAGAGTTCAAAATAACATTGAGTGTTCCTTTCCCAAGACCATTACTTCTGTTGTGGTTTGCAGCCACAGAGGGCTCAGGAGAGTGCGAACAACTATCTGTGCTACAGCAGTGATGTTTTATGGCTGGATGCCCAGATTGTCTAGCTCTGCACACAGCTCTATAGTCTTTTGAAGGCTACAGAGGAGGAATGCATTCTTAACAAACAGCTCTCCATTCCTGCAATAGCTTCTTCATTCTCTGAAAACATCTAAAGCTAAGAAAAGAATTCATTTTTAGTAAAACTCCAAAAATGGAACAAACGATATGGATTTTCAGCATGTTTTAAACATGTAAAACCTTGTTATATATATCCCAGGTGGAGATTTTTTAAAATTACATAATTTACTTTTCATTAAATAAATTAACATTTCAAATGCACGATCTGTACAATAGGAAACTGTACCATTATTTTAATCGGGTTATTCAAACAAGTTCACTGGCTAAGATTATACATTTCTCAGTTTCAATTTCAGATATACACTTTCTGCACAAGGTTATATAGTTATTTCTGACAAGTAACCTTTACATTTTTAAGTAATTATATTCCTAAAAAGTTATGTATAAGCTGAAAATTTATAAATGGACTCCACTGCATTAAAGTCTATTTAAAGAAAGCTTATTGTATATCATTTTATAAAGAATGCTCTCCTCGTGACCACACAATTATTTAAAAACTCATTTGTATAAATTTGGATAGCCATAGACTGAGTAAAAGCAAGAAAACCTGTACAATCTACCCCCTACAAAATAGGAGCCACTTCTCACCTGATATTTTGCTGTCCCTACTCAAATCTATGACATCTTCAAACAAAATATTAAGATGTTAACTATCTAAAGTAACTAAAATCCAGTCACCTTCACTGGGACCAGTTGTCATGCAAGAGAGACCAAAGACTGTGTCACCAACACTTCAAAATATTTCCTTACTTCTCACCTAAAATATTTGAAGACCCTCTGAGATAGAGCTGGAGAAAAGGTAAAAACCCATGTCTTAAAATTATGAGAAAGAAGCCAAAACAAGTTCAACGGAAGATAACAAAAACAAAACAAACATAAAGTTACCTGGTTCTTCCCAGCTTATATAGACCCTTTCACGCTCAGTCTGTTCAGGACTCCGCCTCCTGCTCCCTCAACCTATCCTTCTGCCAGCTCCAAGGACGTCTATAAATCTGTTCCTGTCTCCTCCTCTCCATTTCTTGTGCCTTCTCCACCAGCTTCAGTTGCTCTTGGTAATCTTTGCTTGCTCTATCCCCAAATCTTAATTGTCCCATGTGTTTTACTTTGGTATACGGGACAGCCTAGAGTTCACAGCCAAACGATTTTCTTTCTTATAAAATCTTAAGTATCACCTTTGCACAATAAACCCTGACTGAAAGATAAACAGTCATCCAAAGCATAAGCATGCAATCGAATGCTCCAATTCCTATTGGGGAAGGCCAAAAAGACCCCCAAATAGTCTTTTAAATGGTTTTTCAATCTTAAAAGGTTGTTGGTGAACTTCTACGATGCCAAAGATATTCTATATACTCAAATCAAACAATTAACTTTCATCAGTAGTCTTTTTTAAAAAATGTCAAGTTAGCATCACTTTCCTGGGCCAAGCAAGACTAAGTTACAATCAAGACCTCATCCCCTTCAATTGGGGTTGGAGAGGTAATGTAAATACCTCATTCCCAGCCAGCACTGCAGGAACTGTGTCTTCCATTTCTTTCCAAACTGGAAACTCCCTTCATTAAGGAGAAAGGTTGTCCTACTCCAGCCCTGACCCTCCTCTGGCTTGGTTTTGGAAGTAAGCCAGATGACAGCATTTGGAAAAGCACAAATGTATCTCAGGAAAGCCAGCTGTTTAACAAAAAGGTGGCGGTAGCGGTGATGAAAAATACTGTATTTAGTTTCATATATCCTCTGTATGACTTAGTTATTTTTTAATCACCGAATGTCAAACGAAACAGTTCATTCCACTCTACCTTCACAATCAGCATTCTAAAGGCAACTATTTACTCCAAAGTTCCTAAGCCAACTAAATATAAATGTAAACCTGTTTCGAAATGATGTTAGTGTTAAGACATATGCTACTCGAAACCCACCCTCGCCCCCCGCAATAAACACGAAGGACGAAAATCTAAAACCAACACTTACATATACTCCAGGTTACTACCAGAATATTTAAATGGCAGAATCCGAAATGAAATTGTTAAGATTAAACCTTATGACAGACAGTCTCAGTATCAACCGTATTTAATTTCATACCTTAAAAGTAAAACCGGCCGAGCGTGGTGGCTCACGCCTGTAATCCCAGCACTTTGGGAGGCCGAGACAGGCGGATCACCTGAAGTCAGGAGTTCGAGACCAGCCTGGCCAACATGGCAAAACCCCGTCTCTACTAAAAATACAAAAATTAGCCGGGCGTGGCGGCGGGCACCTGTAATCCCTGCTACTCGGGAGGGTGAGGCAAGAGAATCGCTTGAACCCGGGAGGCGGAGGTTGCAGTGACCCGAGATCGTGCCATTGCACTCCAGCCTGGGCAACAAGAACGAAACTGTCTCAAAAAAAAAAAAAAAAAGTAAAACCGAGGTAAGGTCAGCAAGGTCTTTGTTTTGGACAAGAAGCACAGAAGAGTTACAAACAAGCTTTTAAAATCAGATCCTTATAATAAAAACGAGTGTGTGTGTGTGTTTACTATTACCGTTTTCTGAGCTATCAATTTCTCACGGCCTGACTATGCCTATGGTCAGGTCATGAGAAATCTGTATGAAAAACAGCTTCCAAGAATGTCTATTCTTATGAAAATAAATATTAAAAACTTTCTGTAGAAAAAAAACTTTCAGTATAGGTAAAGTTACAACTGTTCACATCATTACTTTGTTCTATTAATACACACAAAATTAATTCCGACAACTGAACTAGTCATTTTAAAAACCCTGTTTTGCATTATTTCCCCCAACAAAGCATCCTAGGGGTGCTACAGTGAAACATGCTCAAAGACCATTGCCACCTCTGCTGTTCTGGAACAATGTAAATTTCTTCAAGGTGCCCTCTACTAACCAAGTTCATCTGGCCTGGGGCTAAGTTTTATCATTTATTCTTTCATACAGTACTGAAGGAAATCCGGAATCTATGAATATCATTGCCAACACCCCCTACACATTTCAAACCAGCTACCACTGTCCTCTGAAATCACTCAAGCCAGGTTTCCAGGGTCTCAACTCATTCGCATAGTTATTCAATTCCAACTGCAGGAAATCACTTGCATAAAGTAGGCCTTATGCAGGCTCAAATTACATTCAGGGACGTACGAGGCTCTCACAGCGATCACCATAAATTGGCTACCTTGTACTGGCCGAAGTACGTCAACGTGAACACCAGACACTCGAGAAAAACCGAACCTCGGCTACACAATGGATTAACCCAGTCAGAAGGCTCCAACTTGCAACTCCTTAAAGACGCTGAAGTTGGACATCTACAGAGCACCATTTTGAGTTTAGAATCCGCAGTTCACGCCTAGAAATAACCGAGCGGACCACTCAAATGGAGGTTTCATTTGGCGGAGGCAAAGGTTTGAGACAACTCCACTAATTACGTGCAGAATCACCAATACCGTCAAATGCCTTCGAATGCAATAGGTGCAGCCACGATCTAGCGGCTCCTCCTCCCCTACCTCCCGGCACAACATCCAAGCAGCAAGCCTTCATTTTTGCTAAGATCCCCAAAGCTCCGTGTAACATGCTTGCCAGTTATTTCTTCCCCAGGTTAACAGGCAGGGAACCCCCACATCCACATCTGCACATTTTCATAGCTACGAATCAATTAATTAAATCTCGTCCTCAAGGTAAAGGTGCAAAGGAGGCACCGCTTAAAGCAGAGGCGGCAACCAGGCGCTCGGGTTACGTTATCTGATAACAGGACAGATGTTGTACGGCTCGTTTTCCTCATACGCATTACTCCGCAGTCCGCAGCACCGTTAGAAAATCCACCTGATTTCAGAGCCGCAGAGCGCCCAGGGGTCCTTCTCCGCCCACCCGCAGCACGCCCCGGGTTTTTCTCTTCCCCCAAACAACGGCACCGGGCTCCTGCACCAAAACACGGCGGGTTCGCGCCTGCCATCACCAGTGCAAAATCTGCGGGGGGCTGCCCGGAAAGGACCGAATTTCACCGCTGCATGAGTTTTAAAAGGGAGGGGGCACATCCATCTTCAGCCCTCCATTCCACTCCCGTTTGATTGTGATGCACACCGGGCGTCTGCACAGCCCCGTCTCACACTAGCACACACGCGCCCCGGCCCCGGCCGCTTCCCGCCGCTCCCCTCAAACCCGGCCGGCCCGGGGCCTGGCGCCGCACGCGGGTCGCTAGGGGCCAGCGCCCGCCCCGGCTCGGCTCGGCCGAACAAAGGGCCCGCGAACCTCCCGGCAAAGTTGCGGCTGCGGCGAGGAGCGGGCGGACTGCCGCGCTCACCTGGGCTCCGTCCCCGGCGGCGGCGGCGGCTCCGCGGGGCTCCGGTGGCGCGGGCCTGGCGGCGGCGGCGGCACGAACAACCGCCCGAGGGCCTCGGGAGTGCGCGGGCGGCGGGGGCCCGCTCAGCGCCGGCGCCACGGACTCAGGTCCCGGCGCGGGCGGCGGCGGCGGCTGCGGCGGCGGCGCGGGCGAGTGGGCGGCGGCGCGTCCCGGCAGGTCCAGGTCCGGCCCCGGCAACGCCGCGACGCGTCCTCCTCCTCACGCCCGGCGGGATGCGGCTCCGGCGGGGTCCGGGTCCTAGGCGGCGGCGGCGGCGGCGGTGGCAGCTGCGGACGGCTGGGCGCGGGGCCGCTCCGCTCCCTCCGCCTCCGGCTCGGGCGGGCCCGCGGCTACTGCGACGGTGACGGCGGCGGGAGCGCGGCGGGCGCTGGGACTGCCCTGTCAGGGGGCGGCCCGGGCGGCGCTCAAGACTGCGCGGCGGCGGGGCCGGCGGCGGCGGCTACGGCTCCCGGGGCCGTCGCGCTGAGGTGCGGAGCTGCCACCGCGGCCATCTTGTTGCTCTAACTGACAAGAACCCCCCTCCCCCCGCTTCAGCCAGACGGGGCGCTCGCGCCCCCTTCCCCGCCCCGCGTTGGCCTCCAACAGGAAGTCGTCCCGGCCCCTAGCACGTGACTCCCACCGTATCTGCATACCGGAGGGCGAACTGGCCAATCGGCACTCTGCACCTGAGCTCCTCCCCCGCGCGCCCCTCCCGGCCCATTGGCTCCTCGGCCAGGCCACGCCTCCTCCTTTCCCCTTAATACCCGCCCGCGCTGTGGTTCCCTGCACCGCGCGGGGAGCGCGCCGGGGTGCGAGCGGTGCGCGCTCCGAGTGGCCGGGACGCGCGCCAGTCCTGGGAGCTTGCACTGCTCGGGGGGGTTACGTGGAGACTTGCGTGGTGTCCTTTACCGCCGCCGCCTGCCCTCCGGTCCCTGGGCGCTGTGGCTCCGCGTTAGGGTGCTGGCGGGAGGGGTGCCGATCCGGTTCTGCGCGTCCGGTGGGTTCTCCGGGCCAGCGCCCCGCGGCGCCCGGGCTTTATGCTGTAATTGCGCCCGGCGGCGCCCGGCGCCCGCACCGGCGCGCGTCTCGCCCGTGCCGTGCACACGCCCTGCACCGCCCCACTTTGCACACGCACACGCACACGAGTCCTTGGGGCCCTGGAGCATCGTGCTCGCCTCGCGCCTCCCGGCCCGCCCTTGCGCTCAGTCGCTCCCCAGGGAGCGCCCAGCTGCGAGCAAAACAAGCCTCGCTGCGAAACAGTCCCCCGGGGAGACAGCCCTTTCCCCGGAGCACAGACACCACACCTTCACCGCGCAAGCCTTCGGTCCGGGCCGAACCCGGGCGCTCCGGCGCCTACGCACCCCACGATTCCTCCCCGGTGCTCCGTACGCCGCCGTGATCCTCCATTCCACGGCTCCTCGATATCCATTATTCATTAGTGGTAGGTAAGGTCAGGCGCAATGTGCAATTCGAAAAGTCCCTTTTTAACTTTCGGTTCAAGCCAGGAGAAGATTTTGAAACCAAGAATTTTCTCCATTTTCATGCAAGGTCGCAGAAGCAGGCTAGCTTTTCCCCCATCGTTCAGTGGAGGATCAGCAGTGCTACTTGGAAGTTGGTATTGGAAGAGGCCATTCCCTGTCTACGTGTCCCTGTCTTGAAGAGGAGATAATAACACACTAGTACTTTCGCAATGCAATTTTGTTACCGCAAGTGTCATGCTTTGAAACGACTGTGGATGAAAGAGACAAATTCCCCGCTCTCGTTTCCCTTCAGGGTCCCATGAGCTCCTTTCTTCTTACTGCCATATTTTAAGCCCTCCGGTAGTCAGATTCACAACCAGCCTCTAAAGGGTCGTCAAATGTCTGTTGTATCGTGTTGTGTATTTCCCCTCCCGAGAACCCACATCCCTTAGAAGGATCTGAAGGCAGAGGGAGCTGACATGGAGGCTTCTGCCTTGTCTATTCATTTTATTTACGTTCATTTAATTCTCGACTGCAGAGAACCTACATCTTTTGTATTTCTCAAAGGTAGAGGTATTATCACATGCTCCAGAAGGGAGTGCAAAATAACATCTTCAAAATAGGCAGCGCCCACGAAGTAGACTGCTGCTACATAAATGAGGAATCCAGGTATCTGGGTGGACCAGAGTGGACCAATCATTGTGATAAGCAGAGCTTCACTTTTTGGAAAATTGAACCAAAATACATTATTTAGCATTGTCTTTGGTTCCCTTTCTTATCCCCCTCCCTCAGTTTAATCAGGCAAAAATCGTCCTCTTCTCCAATGATATTAGACTCTGAGCACCGAGAAAAGGCAGAACTATAGAGACTATATGTTCTGAACCCCAAACTGGACTCATAGTTTGGCATGTGGACCTGTGACAGTAGAGATAATGTTTGAAACTAAAGTTGACCCAGAAACATTGAGGCATATGGTGGCCATGAATGTTAAGACTGCAGAGCAGTGTCACTTATTAGTGGTTGTTTGAACTGATAAAGTATGAGTAGGAACCCCAGGCACAACTGTAAAAATGGGTACGTTCATGTTTCGGGTTGGTCATCCTGTTATCAGCCCTGCCACCACCACCTTATAACTAAGGTATAAGTTGATCATCTATAGGGCTGGGCATGGTGGCTCACGCCTGTAATCCCAGCACTTTGGGAGGCCAAGGCAGACGGATCAGGAGGTCAGGAGATGGAGACCATGCTGGCTAACATGGTGACATCTCTACTAAAAATACAAAAAATTAGCCAGGCATGGTGGCGGGCGCCTGTAGTCTCAGCTACCTGGGAGGTTGAGGCAGGAGAATCCCTTGAACCTGGGAGGCAGAGGTTGCAGTGAGCAGAGAAGGCGCCAATGCACTCCAGTCTGGATGACAGAGCTAGATTCTGTCTCAAAAAAAAAAAGGGTAAAACCAACAAAATTACGTTTAAGAGGACTAAATGTTAAATGTGTCTCTTAAATTAAAATGTCAACTAGTTGAGGACAAATGAAGAAGACTTAGCTGGATACAAGGTAATGTAAAAAATTCTAGTTATAGATGACCACACGTTCAACAAGGCTAAATGTGTGAACTGCTTGAAGACGACAACAACACTACGTTAAAATAGTGTCCAGTTTAAGAGATTGCACTCTGAGCTGGTCAGATCCCAAATGGAGTGTTTTGGCCAGTTCTGAGCACCAGGGTGCAAGAAAGAAATCGACAAAGTTAGAGACTGACTCAGAATACAGCCAGTTGTTGATGGAAATCCTCCAGTCTGACCAACAGCTGAAGAAGCAGAAGAGATTGGTGCAGGGAAGAAGAGACAAGCAGGCCAGGATGGCTCTTTTCAGATATTTTTGAAACTCCTGTATGCAAATAGGTACAGATATATTCTTTGAAATCCTGAGAAGCCAACCTGAGATCAGTGGGTGGTAGATATTAGGCAAATTAGTTCAAATATACACTGCACCCTACAAAATGGAGTTTCTATCAAATGGAGTTATTAATAGAAACTCCATTTCGTAGGGTGCAGTATATACTGCTCAGGTGATGTGTGCACCAAAATCTCACAAATCACCGCTAAAGAACTTACTCATGTAACCAAATACCACCTGTACTCCAACAAGCTATGGGAAGAAAAAGAAACTCCATTTAGAAAGGTAGCAAGATCCACATCTGTGCAGGGGTTTAAGTGGAAAGACAGGATGATCACGTCCCTATCTCCATGACTATTGCAAAACAGATTACTGTGTTGACTAGCTCAGGGTTTCCCAAAGTGTGTTCCCCCAGACCAGCGGCATTGGCTTTACCTAGGAGCTTGTTAGAAGGGCAACTTCTCAGACCCCATTGCCAGACCCAGTGAATCGAAACCTCTGGGGATGGGGCCCAGGTATCTCCATCTTAGCCAGCCCTCCAGATGATTCTGAGGCGATGAAAATTGGAGGAGAGTAATAAAGACACCTTTTTGAGGGCTGTATTTGCGTATAATACCCCTCTCCATGCCCAGTCACTTCCTACCACACACTGGTGCCTGAATTACTCCATCCTCCTATTTCTGTTGATTTTACACGTATAATTTGCATCCTAATGATGGACTCTTAAAGGGAAAACCTTCAGGACTCCAACAAATGATTGCTTTTCAATGAAAATGTAAGAAAGCCGGGCTCAGCTCTCCCTGCTTGTCACCGATAGATAGCAACTGAACTGACTTAGAAAAATGTGATAAATTTACAGAGGCCTTTCAGACAAGCAGCAAGGCACAGGGCGTCGGTTCTCAAACTTTCTGTTGATGAGAATCGCCAGGGTAGCTTGTTTGAATTACAAATTCACCTTAGGTCCAGATGAGGCCCATGTATCTGCATGTCTAATCAGCTCCCCAAGTGATTCTGATGCCTTTGTCCTCCCACTATGCTGATAATAATATTGGAATAGAGACTAGAACCTTACAATAAAAGTAAGGGTGAGTCTCAACTCCACTGCTCACTAATTGTTTGACCTTAGGCAAGTTTCTGGGCCTCTGACTTCTCCTTTGTACTCCTCACTGAGTTAGAGATACTTGCTGAATTGCCGTGTATTACGTGCCAGGCAGCGAACTAGGTGCCAGGGATTTAAAGCTGCAAGCCGTGCTTGAGCTATGATTACAATGCATGGAGGTGCTGCAGGAGACAGAAGAGACTCAGGTCATTCTGAAGGGCTCAGGAAGACTTCTCCAAGGGCCTCAGATCTGAGTCTTGAAAGATGCAAGGGAAAGCAGTAATAGGTCAGAAGCTGATGGAAGGGCACTGAAGAAAGAGGGAAAGGTCAGTGTAAAGGAAACCCAAGAGAGCTTGCAGCGCAGCACTTTCAGGGGGCTGGAAGACATTAGTGGGGCTGCAACAGCCCAGGTAAGAGGAGATGGGAGAGATGAGCAGAGGCCAGATTATTATTATTATCTTTGTTTTTTGGAGATGGAGTCGTGCTCTGTCACTCAGGCTGGAGTGCAATGGCACAATCTTGGCTCACTGCAACCTCTGCCTCCCGGGTTCAAGCAATTCTCCTAACTCAGCCTCCCAAGTAGCTGGGGCTACAGGTGCGCACCACCACGCCCGTCTAATTTTTTGTATTTTAGTAGAGATGGGGTTTCACCATGTTGCCCAGGCTCATCTCAAACTCCTGAGCTCAGGCAATCCGCCCGCCTTGGCTTCCCAAAGTGCTAGGAGTACAATTGTGAGCCACCACACCCAAGGCCAGATTATGAATACAAGGAGCATTTCATGTGACCTTAAAGAGTTGGTACTTTATCCTTAAGGCAATGTGGAGCTCTTGGATGATTCCAGACATTATTACACTTGACTGTTAAAGAGAGCTCTCTGGAAACATTGTAGCAGATGACCTGGAAGAGGAAGGGCCAGGGAGGAGGTGATGGCAGGGGGTAGGCGGCCTGCACAGTTCTGCAGCCAGGAAACTAGAACTTATGGAATCCCCTAGAGTAGCAATAGAGGTTAAACGGAGAAGACCTGCTTGAAAGATAACTTTAAATTCAGCTCTGGGGGACTTGGGGTCTGACATATCTGGAGGGTAAGAAAATGGTAAAAGATGTTGCCTCGTTGTCTTTCTCAGTGAGAAAGGATGGATGGTGAGGAAGGGACTGTGGAAGGAGGAGTAGGCTGAGCTCGAGTCTTTGGGTGGGACCCTGAGGAAGAAGGGGTGAGCCTGGTTTGGTACATTTGGAGTTGCAGGCACCTGGGGCACGTCAAGTGGTGATGGTCAGACGTGGGGTGTCTGGGCTGGATAAGTCTCCTGGGGACAGTCTGCACAGGGCTGGAAGTTGGAGGCAGGATCATAGATGATGAGCTCGGGGGATAGGGATGAGGAGGGATGGTGAGAAGGCTGAGTGCTGAGCCTGAGGAGCACCAAGAAGAGAAGAAAACCCTAAAGGAGGCTGAGAAGGGACAGCCAGAGATGCTGAATCCCACCGGATGCCCCATGGAACTAGAGGGGCCACAAGGGGAATGGGTTCGAGAAAGGAGCAGGTGGCCAACAGTATCCATGCGGTAAGAACAGGAGCACACCGATGGAATCAGGCAGCCTCGAGGTCATTTTGTCCTCAGGAAGACAGAGCAGGGGCCGGCAGCAGGTTGCAAGGTGAGAGGAAGGCTGGAGACAGAGACTGACAGTGAGGAGGAACCATGCTTTTAAGTTGAGCCATTGTAATGGGTTGAAATGTGTCCCCCAAAAAGATATGTTGAAGTCCTCACTCCCCACACCTCAGAAAGTGACGTTATTTGGGAATAGTCTTTGCAGACAGAGTTAAGTCAAAGCAAAGTCATTAGCATGGCTCCTAATCCAGTACGACTGTGTCCTTTCTAAAAAGGGGACATTTGGACACAGAGATGCACACACAGGGAGGAGCCCATGTGAGGATGAAGGCAGAGATCGGGGTGATGCTTCTATAAGCCAAGGAACGCCAAAGATTGCCAGCAAGCCGTGAGAACCTAGGGAAAATGCCTGGGACAGGTTCTCCCTCCGAGCCTTTAGAAGAACCAGCCCTGCTGACACCTTCGTCTTGGACTTCTGGCCTCCAGAAATAGGAGAGAAGAAGTTTCTGTTGCTTAAGCCACCCAGTGTGTGATACTTCTTATGGCAACCCCAGGACGCTCACACTATGAAAGGAAGGAATGGGACTAAAGGTCAATATGAGACCAAGGAAGTGGTTTTGGTTCAGTGTTTTGTTTTGTTTGTAAAGGGAGCGACTCAAGCAGTGGATGTGCTGAGAATAGTGAGCCAGAGGAGGGAACCCAGGTGGGGAAGGTGTTCCAAAGGGGTTGAGTATGGAATAAGAAAGGTCTTTGGGCACATGGTGGAGGCGGGACCCTGTCAATGGTGCAGGGAGAGAGAAGATCACTTCTATCTCTGAGACCACAAGAGGCAATGGAGACAGCTGCAGAGGCAGGTAAGTCTACATGCATGTGTGCGTGTATGTGTTCACGAGCACACGCCTGTGCTTACATGTGAGTGTGTGTGCATAAGTGTTTGTGTGTGTACATGCGAGTGCTTGTGTTTGTGTGTGTGTACGTGTGTGAGCTTGTGTGTGTGCATGCATGCATGTGTTGGGGAGTGGTCTGTGGAAAATGGAGGACATATACCCAGTCTTCTTTATTTCTTTGGTGAAGTTGAAAGTGGTCTAAGATTTCTTCTAGATCTGAAGTTCTGCTTCTAGGTATTGAGTACAAGTTATTGTTTTATTTTATATTAATAGCATTGCTGTGAAATTACTGTTTGTGGTGTATTAAACCTAATAGAAAAACATACACCTTGTATCTTTGCCTATTATTAAAGCAAATTCCAGCCTCCAAAGTATATAGGACCACATATCTAAACTGTGGAAGGCATGTTTCATTTCCCTTTGTGTCTTTGGGTCTGAATCATAAAGTGACACTTTCGATGTTTCGGAGGCCAGCCTTGGTCAGTATTTGGACATTGCAAAGGTCTCTCTTTCCATTGACTCTATCCCTAGAAGACTCAGGGGTGGAAATCTGTGGAGAGCATCTGGGTGTGGAACCGGAGATGACTGATGAAGTTGCGATGAGGATGTCACCTGTTCGGGGGGTCTCAGGCACTGAAAACAGCCTCATTTATCTGGGCCCTGTGATACTGGGCAGATGGTTTTGGGGGCGCTGCGGTTGCTTCGGTCCAGTTCTGTGAAACTGGCAACCTGGTGTACCAGGGAGACAGAAAAGGTGGGTCAGGCTGCGGACTCTCATGGAAAGGATTGCTCGTGAGCTGTTACCCCGATGGGCTTCTCTGGCCCCACTTTGGGTGATAGATCTGGTGATAAACTAGAAGCAGGGCTTTGTGTCAACAGCCAGTAACTTTTGGATTTGCCCTCCGAGTGAACTCCTCATTCCAAGACTAGCTCCTTCACTCTTACGTTAATTGAGCAAATATTTGCAAGCATCTGGCATTGGCAAAGCCCTGCAGCCTTTCCAAGCTAACCTGGCCACCCCTCCTGTCCTCCCTCCAGAGCCACTGATGGTTGGAGCAAGAGTGTGAAAAAGGTAGACACAATTTTACCTCCCCATTCTCCTTGTTCTCTTTTCTGTAACATCACTTTCCATAATCTATCATTTGCTTCTTACTGTGTTTCTGGTTTATCGTAATGTTGTCAGCTTCACCAGTACGAGATCCTTGTGCATTTTGTTCACTAATGTATTTCAGGCACTTAGAACAGAGCTGGCACTGGGTGCTCCATAAATATTTTTGTTAAATTAACGAATTTAGATAAATGGATTAATGTCATAAGAAAGTTAATATCAATGTGCTGGAGGAGAAATCACATCCAGGTATTAGATGTGAGGGTGGGTCAGGGAACGCTCCATAAGGGATATGGGATCCAAGATGGCTTTAAAGGAATCGATAGGGTTCCTTCTTTCCTTCCTTCCCTCTTCCTGTCCTTTCCTTTCCTCCCTCCCCCCTCTCCTTTCTCCCCTCCTTTTTTTCATTTCTATCTACCTTCCCTCCCTCCCTCCTTCCTTCCATCCATCATATTTTCTTCCTTCCTCCTTTCTTTCCTCTTTCTCTTTTTCTTTTACCTTAGTAGTGTACCAATTATTCAGAGCTCAGGACAACACACAGAAGAAATAACAGCAATTTGACATTTATTTATTTATTAGTAATTTTTGAGACGGAGTCTCTCTCTGTTGCCCAGGCTGGAGTGCAGTGGCTCAATCTTGGCTCACTGCAACCTCCGCCTCCCAGGTTCAAGCGATTCTTCTGCCTCAGCCTCACGAGTAGCTGGGACTACAGGCATGCGCCATTATGCTTGGCTCATTTTTTTTTTTTTTTTAGTAGAAACAGGGTTTCACCATGTTGACCAGGCTGGTCTCAAACTCCTGACCTCAAGTGATCCACCCGCCTCGGCCTCCCAAAGTGCTGGGACTACAGGTGGAAGCCACCGCGCCCAAACCAGAAATTTGACATTTATGACAGATATTTCCTGAGACTTTTGTAGAACTCAATTTAAAAAAATCTTTAATGTATTATATAATTTTAATTTTTTCCCTCTCCCAAGTAAACCAAAATGCACGCTTGATTGTGAGTAGACAATGAAAAGGAATTTTAGTTATCTGTTGCTGAGAAACAAATTATTCCAACATTTAGCAGCTTAAGACAACAAACGTGTGTGCCTCACACCGTTTCTGAGAATCCGGAATCCAGGAGTAGTCTTGCAGAGTGAGTCTTTCGTGAGGTTGCAGTCAAACTGTCAACCTGGTCTGTAATCTCCAAAGATGTGCCCGGGCTGGAGTGTCTTCTCCGGGGGCACTCACATGTCTGTGGGAAGGAGGCTTCAGTCCCTTGCCACAGGGACCATTCCACAGGGCCACTCATGACACGGCTCACGCCAAAGTGAGGAGTGCAAGAGAGAGAGCACCATGGCTGAAGCCAAAGTCCTTCCTAATTGAATATCAGAAGAACACCACTTCTGCCTGATGCCATTGGCCACCCAGACCAACCATGGCACAGTGTGGAAGGGGACCACACCAGGTGTGAGTGCCAGGAGGTGGAACTCCTTGGGGCCATTTTGGAGGCTGGCTCCTATCCAACAAATCCACATTGAAACCGAATGCCATGAGGTCAGCTGGGCTCATTCGCATCACAAACAATTCAAACTCATGGCGTCATGACCTGTCATGGCTTTTCAGGTTCTGGCTGGATTCTTGGCAAGGTAGGGGCATCGGTTTGCTAGGAATGCCATGTTTTTGGGATTTCCTTCACCTTCCTGGGTGAATTCCCTTTTTCTTATACCAGTGGGATTGGACTCTATAACTAAGGTCCCATCTAACTCAAACTCTATTCAGTTCCAGTAATTCGATCAGTGGATGGCTACAAAAAAGAGAAAGTCTTCAAAGAGGAGATGGCATTTGCACTTGAAAAGCTCCACCGTGTTGAGATGGATGGAATGCGTCCCATCAAATGTACAGAACTTAGAGATGACATCAAGATCTGGTTATGGTAACTACAGAAGGCTCTTGTTAGGAGGCAGAATCCAAACAGTTTGGCTAAGAAAGAGAGCCACTGGGCTGAGCTAAGAGTTTGGATGTGATTCTGCAGGTGGTGAATGTGGAAGAGATGGCTCCACCTAAATCCATACTATACTTCCCCAGTGTGAGTTCCCACTGAGAAGGGGCATCTGTATCCAGCCAGGACTACATTTCCCAGAACTCCTTCTTTTCCGGGCAGGGCCATGTGACCAGTTCTGGACAAAGGAATGTGAGCCGAAGTGATGTGATTCATGTCCACGCTAAGGCCATTAAGAGGCAGTTGTGCTCTCTCTTCTTGGGCAATTGAGAGGCAGTTGTGCCCTCTCCTGCCTGGATGCAGAGGACCCAGTAGATGGAAGAGCCTCAAAAGGAAAAGGGCCCATGTCCCTAAACTTCAAGAGGGGAAACATCTCCTAAAAACCAGGAACACCAGATGAGTGAAAAGTGCACATGTGTTAGGTAAGTCCACTGAGAGTCTGGGTTTGTTTGTTATAGCAGCTACCACTCTCCTAACACACAGTAGGAAACCTTTGTAGTCTTTCAACAGGGATTGCAAAATAAAAATAGTCTTAGGAAGATGAATATGCCATGGACAGGCAGGATGGTGTGATATGGGGAGAGAAACACTGAAGGCTAAGAGGTGAGTTAGGAAGCTGTCACGGGGTTGTGATGTGGTAAAACCTGAAGAAGCCTAGCATACAACAGAATTTATAGAAAAGACAAAAGTAATGATAACCTTATTTTTCTTTGCTTATTACAAGCCAGACATTAGCTATGCACTTTATACACATTACCTCTTTTAATATTTTTAGTTCTTATTTAAATATTTCTCTTGCTATATTGTATGCATTAAAAACAGTTTGGTTTTTTGGGATGGAGTCTCACTCTATTACCCAGGCTGGAGTGCAGTAGCGTGATCATAGCTCACTGCAGTGTTGACCTCCCAGGCTCAGGTGATCCACCTGCCTCAGTCTCCCAAGTAGCTAGGACTACAGGTGTGTGCCATCACACCCAGTTAATTTTTTGACTTTTTGTAGAGATGGGGGTCTCATTTTGTTGCCCAGGCTTGTCTCCAACTCTTAGGCTCAAGTGATCCTCCCGCCTCAGCCTCCCAAAGTGTTGGGATTACAGACATGAGCCACCACGCCCGACCTTAAAAACAGTTTTAAAATGCAAAGTAATTCGTATATATAGTTTTATTTTATCATTATTATTATTATTTGGAGACAGAGTCTTACTCTGTTTCCCAGGCTGGAGTGCAGTGGTACGATCTTGGCTCACTGCAACCTCTGCCTCCCGGGTTCAAGTGATTCTCCTGCCTCAGCCTCCTGAGTAGCTGGGATTAGAGTGTGCACCACCATAACCAGCTATTTTTTTTTTTTTTTTTTTGTATTTTTAGTAGAGATGGGATTTCACCATGTTGGCCAGGCTGGTCTTGAACTCCTGGCCTCAAGCAATCCACCTGCCTCTGCCTCCCAAAGTACTGGGATTACAGGCGTGAGCCACCGCGCCCATGTATATAGTTTTAAAAGACAACTACATATTACTAATTTTGAAATAAAACAAGCAAAACAACAACAACAACAACAACAACGACAACAAAACCCAGTCTTATGCCCTGCAAGCCTCCTCACTCTGAATTTCTACCCCTGGAGTCAACTACTTTCAAATCCTTTTTTGTTTCTTCCGCCATTTACCTTAATGTTTCTAAATAATATGCTCACCCTCTTCCTTCTTGATTTTCCTGTTTTAACATCATGACTTCCTACTCTAGAGAATGAGGATGTGACTCTTGTACACCACCTCCCATCATCCTATATACTTCCCTTCCCTCAGATGGGTAAGATTTCAACATCAGAATTGGGAGTACATTTTCTGGACAGGCAAATCAAACAGATACAGCAATAGTTAGATTAGTATGTAGGTCATCCCTAGAAGGTTAGAAGGAAACAAAACTAGAAAGGGGGTTTGGAACCAGAGCATGGAGAGCCACCAGGCTAGGGAATTAGAACTTAATCTAGTGTGTTGTAGGGAGCCACTGAAGGTTTAAGGCAGGAAGTGGCAAGAGCAAAGCTGTAGTAGGGGATGGCTATCCCAGCAGCATCTGTAGGGTGGATGAGAGCAGGGGTCATGTGACAGTACAAACAACGGGCCATTCATTCATTCATCCATGCGTTTATTCTATCAACTTTCTCATCTCCATTTACACGGGAGCCCTAGTTAATGCCCGTCTCTACCACTGCACAGTGGGTTCTGCACTTGCCCTTTTGGTTGTTACTGTGTCTTAGCACTGGCATAGTGGCTGGCACATGTTAGGTGTTTAATAAATGTTTGTTGAGGCCAGGCGCGGTGGCTCATGCCTGTAATCCCAGCACTTTGGGAGGCCGAGGCAGGCGGATCGTGAGGTCAGGGGATCGAGACCATCCTGGCTAACATGGTGAAACCCCGTCTCTACTAAAAAGACAAAAAAAAATTAGCTGGGCGTGGTGGCGGGCGCCTGTAGTCCCAGCTACTCAGGAGGCTGAGGCAGGAGAATGGCGTGAACCCGGGAGGCGGAGCTTGCAGTGAGCCGAGATTGCGCCACTGCACTCCAGCCTGGTGACAGAGTGAGACTCCGTCTCAAAAAATAAAAATAAATAAATAAATAAATGTTTGTTGAAGGAAGGGATGACAGCTGTTGGTAATGTGGAGATAAATAGGGTATTGGCCATGATGAGAGAGCTGGAGCCATTTTAGAGAGAGACACGAACTTGGCTGCTAACTGAAGGGCAGGAGACTTGGGGTGTCAAAGTGGCTCCACATAGGAGCCCAGGTGAGTGACAGTTTCAAGAGCAGGATTAGGAGGGCTGAGGGGAGTTGGTGAACAGTCAGATGATAGTTTGCCTTTAGGAATGTTTGGTTAAACAAATCTCACACCACTTCAGCCTGTGATTCAAGTCAACCCAAGGGCTCCTCAACCCAGTCTCAACCAAGATATTTCCGCACTCTGTTATCCCAGATGTTGTGACGTTTGGCTCAGCTGCCTGCCGTGCTCCGACAGTGGGGCTGGGTCCCCAGTCATTTCCTTTTGGCCGCTTTATTAAGTGCCCAGCTGATTTGGCCTGAGCAGACTGTATCAGTTGGCTCACTGTCGCATCCCCCAGTGTGCGGCGTGTAACAGGCCTTCAGTAAATACTTACTGGGTGAATGTATGACTTTCTTTTTGTATTATTATTTTTTATTTCCCTAGTTTTTGGGGTACAGGTAGTTTTTGGCGACATGGATGAATTCTATAGTGGTGGATTCTGAGATTTAGTGCACCTGTCACTGGGGCAGTGTGCACTGTACCCAACCTCCCCAACTCCAAGATCCCACAGCCTATTTTATCACTCTGTATGTCTTTGCATCCTCACGGCTTAGCTCCCACTTCTAAGTGAGAACATATGGCATTTGGTTTTCCATTCCTGAGTTACTTCACTTAGAATAGCGGCCTCCAGGCAAGGCTTGGTGGCTCACACCTGTAATCCCAGCACTTCGGGAGGCCAAGGCGGGCAGATCACGAGGTCAGGAGATCGAGACCATCCTGGCTAACACGGCGAAACCCCATCTCTACTAAAAATACAAAAAATTAGCCGGGCATGGTGGCGGGCACCTGTAGTCCCAGCTACTTGGGAGGCTGAGGCAGGAGAATGGCGTGAACCCGGGAGGCGGAGCTTTCAGTGAGCCGAGATCGCGCCACTGCACTCTAGCCTGGGAGACAGAGCGAGACTCCATCTCAAAAAAAAAAAAAAAAAAAAATAGTGGCCTCCAGCTGCATCCAAGTTGCTGCAAAGGACATGATTTTGTTCCTTTTTATGACTGAGTACTTTTCCATGGTGTATTTTCTTTATCTACTCGATGCTCAGTGGGCACTTATATTGGTCCCATAGCTTTGCAATTGCAAATCGTGCTGCTGTAAACATGCATGTGCGTGTGTCTTTTTCATATAATGACTTCTGATCCTTTGGGTAGATACCCAGTAGTGGGATTGCTGGATTGAATGGTAGATCTACTTTAATTCCTCGAGAACTCTCCTTACTGTTTTCCATAGATGTTGTACTAATTTAGAATGCGTGACTTTCTGTACCAGACATTACTGGGTTCCCTCTGCGTGTGGATGTCAGGGGAGGTGCCATGAAGATGGTACTAGAACTGAAGAGGAGGGTGTGTATCAGGGGAACAAGGGAGGGGCCAGCGCTCCAGGCTCAGGGTTCTGTATACACAAGGGTGAAGGAGCCGGTTTGGGCAATGGAAGCAGATTCTTTTTGTTGGTCATTTGGGAACGAGTCTAATCTCAGACACTCAGCTGCAATTCTTGTTAAAAGCAACAGGTTGAGTAATCTGAGGAGCAGGGCCAAGGAGAGAAATTCACTGGCTTAATGCAGCTGCCCAAGCCCCAGATGTCAGTCAGTTGATGCACTGGGAATGAGGGCAGCTTTACCTGGAGCCAGTCACAGTGTTGCCAATCTCCTGGGACCTGAGTGTGCTCCCTTCCACCTGGAGACAGGTTCTGCCCTTGGACTAACAGGAAGAATCTCCTGGGAGGTGCCTTGTACTGATGCTCACAGTCGCCCCTGGAACAAAGACTTTGTTTTGGAAAGCATGACTCGGGGGATTATCACCAAAACCTGTCTCATCAGCAGCTAGGCTTCCAGGGCCAGTGTCCCTTGGAGATTTGAGATTACAGCATCTACCAAGGAGTCCAGCTTCCTTCAAGGGGACTGTGCAAGGTGCCACATGGCCTGTTCCTACAGGGCGCCTCTCGTGTTGAGATGTGTAGATGTGTAGATTCGTGTGTGTGTGTGTGTGTGTGTGTGCGTGTGTGTACCTCCCTAGCCAGAAGTCGGGGGAAAACTCCAAACCCAAACTAGTGAAATTCAGAGGTTGCCAAACCTCTAAACTTGACATCTGGTATAACCTGGAGTTGGCCAAGAGGTCCTGGGTGTTCACCTCTCATAACCTGGGCAGGGTCTCCAGCTGCCAGTTGTCAGACCAGGGGCATAGCCAGCCACTGGAACGAGGGAGAGGCTAGAAAATGAATTCCTGCCCTATCCTGTCATCTCAGCCACCGCTTGTTTGTTTATTCTATTCTTTCCAACTATAAAATAATACACACACTCGCTATGAAACAATGTAGAAAATATAGAAGGATAGTAAGAAAAATATTACATTGCCCCTCAAAGAAGCTTATGTTAACATTTAAAAATGTTTCCTTCCAGACTCATATCGTAGCATAATTTTTAAAAATCTATAGATGTGCTCATGGTTTTACAAGATGTTTTGAATTACTCTGTGAGGAAAAGAGAAACACGTTTAGTCTAGGAGCAAGAAACTTTTTCCCGTTATAATCTTCCATGCTATTTAGTAAGCGCTTTATAGCAATCATTTTCATAGCCGGCATATTGTTTTATCAAATGAATTTGCCATAATTTACTTAAGGAAACTTCTACTAGACATTAGATCCAGGATGCCGGATCCAAGTCCTCCTCTCTGATGGAACTGGGAGTGTGGATGTGGTTTAGTGATGCCAGGGACAGCGATGGAAATGGTGCATTGAAGAGCTCAGCATTGTTTTGCCACAGTGTGTTTAGAAAATTTGCCTCCTCAGGCTGGGCGCGGTGGCTCACAACTGTAATCGCAGCACTCTGGGAGGCCAGTGCGGGCAGATCACCTGAGGTCAGGAGTTCGAGGCCAGCCTGGCCAACATGACAAAACCTTGTCTCTACTAAAAATACAAAAATTAGCCAGGCGTGGTAGCTGGCGCCTGTAATCCCAGCTACATGGGAGGCTGAGGCAGGAGAATCGCTTGAACCCAGGAGGCAGAGGTTGCAGTGAGCCGTGATCATACCACTGCACTCCAGCCTGGATGACAGAGTGAGACTCTTTCTCAAAAATAAAAAGAAAGAAAGAAAATTTGCCTCCCTTTCAGTGAAGTGCCTTCACCCACTTAACAATTGAAATTTGCCCCTGAAGAGCAGGTTGTAGCAACTGTTGCATTTTTTTTTTGGTGGCGGGGGGGAAATCTTATTTCTACTAATCTTTACTTTTAAAACAGGCCAAGTTAGTGGGCTAGCTTTCTTAAGAGAAGTCAAACTAAAGCGGTTTTGATGTTGTATTTGGGGGGCCTCTGCCACTGGGCAGAGCTTCTTTCTGGGGCACAGGGACACTGATTGCATTACTCATGAAGGTCTGTGTTGCCTCTGTGACCAGCCTATGGAGGCAATGGATTCCTGTTGATGGGGAGCATGCAAACATTTCCCTGCCCAGCCAGGAAGCCTTTGACAGGCTCAGTTTACCTGCTGCTTCTTCCAAGCCCAACTTCCTCCTCCAGCTCTGCAGGAGGAGATCTGCATGACCTCAAGGACAGCACACCCCAGGGTGGCAGCCCCTGGAAAGCCCAGCAGGAGAGCCGTCAGCGGAGGGATGTCATGGGAGCCAGTGGCATCCCTAGCAACCTGCACTCTCCCAGGTCCCAGCCAGATCGCCAGCTCAGCCAAGCAGGAGAAAATGGCTCCCTGGAACCCTGTAAGTGACTAGCCTAGGCTCCTCTGCCCAAAGACCTGTGTCGAAAGATCCAAGACACTTCCCTCCGCCGTCTGAACACAACTGGGCCTTTGTGTGTCGGGGCCAAACACGGTTCCTAATTGGCAGCATAAACAATGGGCCTCTGTGTTTGTTCCCAGAAGACAACACAGTTCTGCAGCAATGACACGTGTTTCAATGTACAAAAAAAAAAAAAAAAGTGTCAGAGCCTGACATTTCAGCAAAAATCTCTTTGGAGAATCCTGTGCTCATCACTAAAAGACCTTGTTAGACATCATCCCAATGGCTGCAGCAACCACCCCCCACCACTCGGCAGGCCACAGTCCCTTTGTAGAGATTCTGTGAGCACTGGAGACTGCTGGGTGCAGAGTGTCACACAGTGCAGTGATTAGCAGCATGAAAGGTTTTACTGGGCTTGATTTAAGGGCATTAACTGCCACCAAGTGCCTCCATCCTGGGGTCCAACTCAAACCAAATACAATAGCAGTCAGAAAGAAAGCAGACCTCTCTTTCTGCACTAATGTCCCAGCGGCAGACTTTGGTGAGATGCAGTGTGCAGGGCTTTTACACCACGGGGTCCTTGAAAGAGGCAAATGAGAAGGTACCTGCAGCCAGCCCATGGGCACAAGTAGGGCCAGCTCCCACGGCTACTTGTGGTGGGAACTTGGAGGAGAAGAGTCTTCAGATGCATCCCAGGCTCAGTAGCCCCATCCCCTTGCATCCTGACTCTGACAGCTGGCCCAGGTAGGGAGCAGGGAGGATGGCAGAGCGTGCCTTATACACTGCTGTATCCATCAGGGTTCCGCAGAGAAGCAGAATCAATAGAAGATAGAGAGAGGTAGAGATAGAGGTAGATAGACAGATAGATAGGCAAGCAGGTAGGTAGGTAGACAGATAGACAGGCAGATAGATACGTAGATAGAGAGATAGACGAATGGGGCCAGGCATGGTAGCTCATGCCTTTAATCCCAGCACTTTGGGAGGCGGAGGTGGGTGGATCACCTGAGGTCAGGAGTTTGAGACCAGCCTGGCCAACATGGTGAAACCCCGTCTCTACTAAATACAAAAAATTAGCTGGGCGTGGTGGTACACACCTATAGTCTCAGCTACTCAGGAGACTGAGGTGGGAGAATTGCTTGAACCTGAGAGGCGGAGGTTGTGGTAAGGCAAGATCGTGCCACTGCACTCTAGCCTGAGCAACAGAGGGAGACTCTGTCTCAAAAAAAAAAAAAGTGGGGGAGGAGTTTATTAGGGAGAATTGGCTCACATGATCACAAGGTGAAAAGTCCCATGATAGACCATCTGCAAGCTAGGGAAGAAAGCAGCCAGTAGTGGCTTAGTCCCAGTCCAAAAGCCTCAAAAGCGGGGAAACCGACAGTGCAGCCTTCAGTCTGCGGCCAAAGGCCTGAGAGCCCCCGGCAAACCACTGGTGTAAGTCCCAGAGTCCAAAGGCCGAAGAACCTTTGGACTTTGGTTTGAGGTCCAAGGGCAGGAGGAGCAATGCCAATCTCCTCTGGCAACACCCTCTTAGACACACCCAGAAACAATACATTACCAGCCATCTAGGCATCCTTCAATCCAATCAAGTTGACATCCGCTATCAACTATCACAGGTAATAAAACCCACCAGCAGAACGTTAAACCAAGCAAGAGGTCTCTCTACCTGCGGGCCCTGTGGCATGACACAGGTCACACACCCACACATGAAGTCGGCCCTGCAAGTTGGCCCTGTTAGTTTACATGTCTTTAACAGCAGTTTTATCACTAGGGTTATTGCCAGATCGTAGCTGTTTCCTCCCACAATGAGGCTGTGAGACCCGGGACCATTCCGGTGATGTTGATTTCCCGATGCCTGCACCGTGCTTGGCACAGACCAGCTGGCTCAGAGTATTGCTAAGTGACTGGATGCACTGAGTGACACCTTAATGAATGATTCCTCACCACCCTCTGCATTCTTGATGGCCTCCAAGTTGCCATTTCACCCTTTGCTCTTTATCCCTACCCACAAGGAGCAAATATAATTTGATGGCACCATTCAGCCATTCGGGGAGGCCGAAGTCATCTGGCCACTCCAGAGTCATGTCTAATGCATACTTCTGCCAGTTATACTCCCCCTCCTGAGCCTGGGGGTGAGGCGACCCCCTTAATCAAGTGGTGGGGACCTCTAGTGATTTTGAGGGATTTATAGACACCCATCCACCATTCGCAGAACCTTATAGCAATCCAGATCCATTAGCCAATCATTTAGAGAGAGATTAAAATAATGAAGGTGAGAATAAAGTGAGGACCTTGTCCTATTGGAACTCCATTAATCATCATCTGTGGCTTAAAGAAAGAGTTATCATCCCAGCCCATTACAGAAAGTTGTCAATTAGGCACCACATGAAACCTCAGAGAATTGTTCCCCGAAGAGAATTTTAGGAGGGCAGTCACATCCCCGTGATGAATTCGTCACCAGAGAGCCCCGTACGAGTCCCTAGTTGAAGCTGGAGGCATTCAGAATGCCAGGCGAAATGTCCTCTATTTCTCACAGTTCGAAGGAGAGGCGAGAGAAGCTAGACTCAGGAAGTCTCTGGAAATCAAGATCACAGTGATGGTTGTCTGAGGTCAGATTTGTCATCCACTTCAAAATACATCTTATGCCCAATTCAAACTTTTAAAATACTTCGGGTTGCATTTGTATAATAGCACATATTTAAAAGCAGCCTATTATAAAGTGCTTAAATAGATTAATATATATCATCTCAATGTACTATTACACAGCTATTACATGTTTACAAAAGCTGTAAGTTAACTGATAAAAGTAAAGCATTCAGAGAGGAAAAAGCGAGACATCAAACATACAGATAATATGACCACTGCTACCAAAAATCTGCATCATCTACATCTAGAAAAAGACTGGAAGGGCCGGGCGCAGTGGCTCACACCTGTAATCACAGCACTTCGGGTGGCTGAGGTGGGTGGATCACAAGGTCAGGAGTTTGAGACCAGCGTGGCCAACATGGTGAAATTCCGTATCTACTAAAAATACAAAAATTAGCCAGGCGTGGTGGTGGGCGCCTGTAATCCCAGCTACTCGGGATGCTGAGGCAGAAGAATTGCTTGAACCTGTGAGGCGGAGGTTTCAGTGAGTTGAGATGGCACCGCTACACTCCAGCCTGGGCGACAGAGCAAGACTTTGTCTCAAAAAAAAAAAAAAAAAGAAAGAAAGAAAAGAAAAAGACTGGAAGAAGAAAAGTACCCCCCAAAATGTTATTAGTTGTTGTTTTTGGATGGTGAGATTATTGGTAACTGTTTTTACTTTTTACAATTTCTTTTTATTTTCTAATTTTTAGTTCGAGGTACATGTGCAGGATGTGCAGGTTTGTTACACACGTAAACGTGTGAGTTGCTGCCCCTATCAACCCATCAGCTAGGTATTCAGCCCAGCATGTGTTAGCTATTTTTCCTGATGCTCTCCTTCCATCCTGCCCCCCCCACCCAGACCATGTGTGTTGTTCCCCTCCCTGTGTCTTCATGTTCACATTGTTCAGCTCCCACTTATAAGTGAGAACATGCAGTGTTTGGTTTTCTATTCCTGCGTTAGTTTGCTGAGGATAATGGCTTCTAACTCCATCCATGACCCTGCAAAGGACATGATCTTTTTCCTTTTTATGGGTGCATATTTTTCATAATTTCTTTATTTTTCTTTTCTTTTTCTTTTTTTTTTTTTTTGAATCAGAGTCTCCCTCTGTCGCCCAGCCTGGAGTGCAGTGGCTCCATCACTGCTTACTGCAGTCTCAGCATCGCAGGCTCAGGTGATCCTCCCACTTCAGCCTCCTGAGGAGCTGGTACCACAGGCGTGTGCCACCACACCCAGCTAATTTTTGTATTTTTTGTAGAGACAGAGTTTCACTATGTTGCCCAGGCTGATCTCGAATTCCTGAACTCAAGTGATCCATCTGCCTCGGCCTCCCCAAGTGCTGGGATTACAGGCGTGAGCCACCGTCCCCTGCCATAATTTTTTATATTCTCAATATATTCCATACCAAGCAAGTATTACTTTTACAGTATAGCTGATATGCTGCATCCTGGTTTTCATTTAGTAAAGTATAAACTTTAACAGCAGGCATTTTAATTAGTAGTTGGTAGAGTTGATGAAAGTGGCTAATAACAGTATTGGAGTATCTTCTTCGTTCCAGCTTAAGATTTAATAACTCACTCAGAAAATCCAGGTGGCCTTCAAGGAAGTTGTTCCCAGGGAGTTGGGGGGCCGGGAACGGGGACCAGCTGCCTCCTGCAGCATCTCCCTTGTTTCCTCTTCAGGGAGTGACATGTGTCCCTGACTGCTGGGCAGTTGGGGCTTTCAGCAAAGCTTTCTCTAGACACACAGGAGGATGAGTTACCTGAGGTTATGAAAGGGCGTAGAAGTCTACAGCTGCCTGGCATGCTGCATGGGTGTCAGAGGGCTCCCAGGAATTTGCCTCAGTGGCTGCCTTGCTGCTTCCCTCCTTTCAGCTCAAGTCAGCAAGAGTGCATTGGGTGTGAAGCCTGCATCAGCACCCTAGGCCTGCGCCCCGACAAGATAGTTAAGCGAAGTGCCTCCAGCAGCTGGCTTTGGTGATTTTGTGGCTCAGTTCTACTGCACCTTCTTATGATAATAGTTACCTCAAGTTTTGTTTAAGGACCCACTCTCTACTTTAGATGACTAATAATTAGCTATTATTATTATTATTATTATTATTATTATTATTATTATATGGTTCCAGTGAACTCCTGGATTCAATTAACCCATTGCATCCTCCCAGCCACAGGCTTGGTTTTGAGATAGTTATCTGATGCAAGCCAAGCCACCCAGGCCCAACAAGACTCTCTTCTATTATTTTAGTTGAACTATGAAGAAACTAGACTCTCTTCCCTTCCCTACCGTATATGTTTTTGTTGTTGTTGTCGTTGGTTCTTTTTTTTTTTTTTTTTTGAGAGAGTGTCGCTCTGTTGCCCAGGCTGGAGTACAGTGGTGCAATCTTGGCTCACTGCAACCTCCACCTCCCGGGTTCAAGTGATTCTCTTGCCTCAGCCTCCCGAGTAGCTGGGGCTACAGGTGTGTGCCACCATGCCCGGCTAATTTTTACATTTTTAGTGGAGACAGGGTTTCGCCATGTTGGCCAGGCTGGTTCCCTACTGTATATGAAGCTGAGAGCACCTGCCTGGGAATGACGCTGATGAAGCTAAGCAAAGAGGCGACAGAAACAAGTCCTGAGGATGTGGCTGGAGCCCCAGCATCAAGCCCCATCGGAAGCCAGCCCAACCTTCAGCCTCTGAAGCCAGCACATTTTTCTTGTGCTTAATCCCATTGGGTTGGGTTTATGTCATTTGTAGCTGAAGGAGTCTTTTCCAATACACTACCTTTGGAGAGCCTTCTGTCTTGTCAGGGGCACAGATAGACAAGCAGGTAACTTCCGATGAGTGTGGGGTGGGTACTGGGGTCTCCAGGGGGACCAGGAGCTGAGCGTGGACCCTGGGAGGTTTCCTGGAGGAAGAGATACCTGAGCTAAGCCTTGCACGAGCGGAGTGGGTCAAAGGCAGGAAGCTGTGAGCCTCTCGGTGCACGCAGGGGATTCGGTGTGAAGTAAGGAGCAACTCAGGTGAGGCCGGCATGGCAGGCAGGACCAGGCCGTGGATGGGCAGGTGGGCCAGAGTGAACTCCGCCCACCTGCTCACCTGAAGAGCCATCCTGTCCTGGTGCAGCATGTGTCAGAGCTGTGGGCAGCTAGGCCCTGAATCCTTGATGTGCTTCTTGGTACCCAGGACCGTGTGCCTGCAGAGGTCTGTGTGGGAAATGCTGGCACGTGGGAAGGAGGACGCACTGAAGGCAGGATCGTGGCTATCCAGAAATGCCCAGGCTTCCTGGGGACCGGGGTGGAACATTTTATGGTCCATTGGAAGAGAATTCTGCCAGAAGGAAGATTGCATTTGACGCAGCCGCTCTTGCTGTTCTGGGCTACCAGGAGGTGAAACGTCAAAGAGGGAAATCTGGGGACAAAAAACAAACCTGGAACCCAAAGTACCTGGAGAGAAAACATGCCAGTGCATTTGGGCTGTTTCAGATTCAAAGCATATATCCTGAGTATATCGGAGTTGGGCAGGGGAGGGGAGTTTGGGGTGAGGAGCTGGCATATATATTTTTTTCTACTTCTTCTACTTTCTACTTTTTCTACTTCTACAATCAAATGTATTTCATTGAAGGAAATAATAAACAAACCATCAGATACTGCTTTGGATTCCCACTGACGGTGAGAAAGAGAAGCAAGCTCAAGCAAATCATCAGTGCTAATGATAAGGGTGGTGCCAACCAAAGGAGAAAGAAGCCTCCACACTTGGCTGATAATTGCTGAGGACTAAACTCTGATTTTTTTTTTTTATCTTGCCCAAATTCCTATCTAAGGGGTCTGGGGAGTCATGCCCTACAAACCATAAATTCTCATCAGATGGGTTTTATTTGACCCTGTATATTGTGACTTACTTTCCAATCTGACTGTGGCATAACAAGGAAGAAAATCAAAATGTTTTACCCCAAAATATATTTCCTTGCCATACCTTAAAATTGCCCTGCAAAGTCTCTTGTGGGAAAAATCCACATCCTATAGAGAATCTCGTTTCCCCTTTGTTTCCTTCTCTCCTTTCCAGATCCAGGAGATAATCAACTAGCCTGATAAGAAACATTTTACAACCTGCTCTCTCTCTAAAGTCTGCTGAGACATTCCTCTGCACAATAAAACTTGGTCTCCACAATCCTTTATCTTAACCTGAGCATTTCCTTTACCCCAGGTCTTCAGATAAACTCAACCAATTGTCAACCGGAAAATGTTTACATTTACCGATCGCCTGAACCCCCTCGGCCCCACCCCCCACCACCTCCCCCTCCCCCGCCCTGCCCCACTTTGAGTTGTCCCACCTTTCTGAACCAAACCAATGTATTTCTTAAATGTATTTGATTGATGTCTCATGCCTTCCTAAGTGTATAAAACCAAGCTGCACCCTGACCACCATGGGCAAATGTTCTCAGGACCTCCTGAGGGCTGTGTCACGGGCCATCGTCACTCATATTTGGCTCAGAATAAATCTCTTCAAATATTTTACAGAGTTTGACTGTTTTTTGTCAACATTGCCACCGGGCACGGAGGCCTGGGCCCTGGAAACGTCCCTGGGTAAATACCGAAGCGGGAAGAGGGATGGCTGGTTTGACGCAAACAGATCGGAAGGGAGGACTTTAGACAGAATAACCCCCAGGAAGACTGAGGGATTATGGACTCCCAGGCGATTTCCTAAAGGACAGTGCTGAAGTGTCTCTTTTTATTGAAAATTGGACTGTGTGAAACAGGGTCAAATTAAGGGAGCTTTCTCAGCAGTCACCTGAGGGGCCTCTTCTCTCTAATTACTAGGATCGCACCAGATGACTCCCTTTGTTCTGCCTGGCTTCTGAAATAACAGCTTCCTCTCCGAAGGTGCAGGCATGCAAAACACGGTGTTGATCTGGTATTCTCTGAAGTGGTTAATCTACATGCAGAACGATGAAAAGGTGGTTTATTAGGTTAATTGCTACTGCAAAAAAAATATTTTTTTTTCTGCTGAGAGCATACGTCTGAAAATCAATACATAAGGCTGTGCAAATAGAAATAGAATTGTGGCCCCAGAGCATCTTTCCCCATAAATCAGTGTGGTTAAAAGTATGGTCACCAGATTATGTTGAAACCTTCGTATAGCAAACAAGAAAAATCCACACACACCTTCGAGCCACACTGGGAAGTTCAGGCCACCCCAGTAACTTTCATCTTGGGAGCCACAGGGATGATCTTCAACTACTGTTTTTCCCTCCATTCCAATTCGCCCTGTTGTAAGATGTATCATTAGCTGACAAGTTTCTTTCCACGTTTATTATAAGATGCACTTCAATTTCTGGAAAGTTAGAAAGTGAAAAAATGTTTCTTTTTTTTTTTCTTGAGTCAGAGTCTCTCTTTGTCACCCAGGCTGGAGTGCAATGGTGTGATCTAGACTCACTGCAACCTCCGCCTCCTAAGTTCAAGCAATTCTCGTGCCTCAGCCTCCCAAGCAGCTGGGATTACAGGCATGCACCACCACGCCCGGCTAATTTTTGTATTTTTAGTACAGACGGGGTTTCACCATGTTGGCCAGGCTGGTCTTGAACTCCTGGCCTCAAGAGATCCACCCATTTTGGCCTCCCTAAGTGCTGGGATTACAGGCGTGAGCCACCACACCCAGCCAAAAATGTTTATTTTCAAATGGAGAAAATGTATTAAAAGGTATGACTGTTTTTTCTTTGTCTATTTTTGCCTCTGTCTTACTCTTTTTCTCTTTCTCACCACTTCTCTGCTTTCTTCCCTGCACCGCTTCTTCCTTTCCTTCCTCTCCACCCTTCCCATGTTTGGTTCTAGGGTACACTAAGAACAGTTGGCTTCAGCTTGGAAATTTACAGCTGGGTGGGAGGGATGTGTGGGAAGCTTTGGGAAAGACTGGTTCACGTTCATTTAGCAAAACAATCCCTGTTTGCCTGAAGACCTGTTCTGCCATCTGATCACCCCCCAGGGAAGCATTCTCCCTAACAGAAAAAACTTGACTTTGTTATGCTCAGGCCAAGGCGTAATTCTCCTCACTCTCCACCCAACTCCATGCCATAGATGCCCCTAAGCCTTAGGTAACTCACTTCCCTTTTCTGAGTCGTAATAAGGTCCTGTTTTGTAAAGTTTTGTGTTTTTTTTTTTCCTTTGAGACAGGGTCGCATTTTGTCGCCTAGGCTGAAGTGCAGTGGCATGATCATAGCTTACTGCAGCCTCAGACTCCTGGGCTCAAGTGATCCTCCTGCCTCAGCCTCCCCTGTAGCTGGGGCCACAGGCGTGTGCCACCACGCCCAGCTAATTTTTAAAATTTTTTGTAGAGATAGGAAGTCTCAGTATGTTGCCCAGCCTGGTCTTGAACTCCTGGGCTCAAGCAATCCTCTGGCCTTGGCCTCCCAAAGTGCTGAGATCATAGGCATGAGCCACTATGCCCTGGCTTTCATAAGGTTCTCGAGAGCAGTGAAAAAGATAATGTCCACTAGAACTCCAAGGAGAGTGCTGGGTGTATAGTAACTGCTCAATAAGCACTCAGCTCCTCTCTTTCCTGAAAAACCCTTTCTACAAGTTGAGAGTATGTCTTTGCTGGCTAGAAGTAGGACAGTTGAATGTCAAGTTGAGCTTCAGACATGCAGCTGGATTCTTCATATTGAAAGAAGTTGGATTTCTTTCCTGTGAGCTCTCAAAGTGGTGGAGACTCAGGTCATGTTCTAACGAGGCTTTTCAAGAGTTTCAAAAACTGGAAGGAAACTGCGAGGAAGGAGATGGACTTAGTGGTGCCAGGACAGAAGGTGAGCAGGAGAGGAGACCAGAAGAAAGGATGGCGTGGCAGGTCAAAGCTAAGGTAAGATACTCTCTTCCATGTGTGTTTTGGGTGGTGAGAAAGGAAGGATAAAACCAGCCCTGGAAGGTTTCTTTTTCTTTTCTTCTTCTTCTTCTTTTTTTTTTTTTTTTTTTTTTTTTTGAGACAGTCTTGCTCTTGTCGCTCAGGCTGGAGCTCTTGTTGCACAGGCTGGAGTGCAGTGGCGTGATCCCAGCTCACTGCAACCTCCGCCCCCTGGGTTCAAGTGATTCTCCTGCCTCAGCCTCCCGAGTAGATGGGATTACAGGTGCCCGCCATCACGCCTGGCGAATGTTTGTATTTTTAGTAGAGGCAGGGTTTTACCATGTTGGCCAGGCTGGTCTCAAACTCCTGACCTTAGGTGATCTGCCCCCCTTGGCCTCCCAAAGTGCTGGGATTACAGGCGTGAGCCACCTGGCCCGACCAGTCCTGGAATGTTTCTGAGAGCAGAGCTGGCACCTGGGCCTAGAGAGCTTTCTGAAGCCTGCGTCACAGAAGAGCAGGAGCTGTGTTTTTCAAACTGCTGAAGGACACCCACCAGGTTTCAAAATCCGGGTTGTGGGTTGTGAAAACTAGAATTAGAATAGTATAGAAAAGATAATGTTGGCCAGGTTCGGTGGCTCACACCTGTAATCTCAGCCCTTTGGGAGGCTGAGGTGGAGGATCACTTGAGCCCGGAAGTTCAAGACCAACCTGAGCAACACAGTGAGACCCTGTATCTACAAAAACATTAAAAAATTAGCTAGACGTGGTGATGTGTGCTTGGTGTCCCAGCTACTTGGGAGGCTGAGGTGGGAGGATCACTTGAGGCTGAGAGGTTGAGGCTATATTGACCCATGATCATGCCACTGCACTCCAGCCTGGGTGACAGAGCAAAACTCTGTCTCAAAAAAAAAAAAAAAAAAAAAAAAAAAAAAATATATATATATATATATATATATATATATATATATATATAAAACCTAGGCCGGGCACGGTGGCTCACGCCTGTAATCCCAGCACTTTGGGAGACTGATGTGGGCAGATCACCTGAGGTCAGGAGTTCGAGACCAGCCTGTCCAACAAGGCAAAACCCTGTCTTTACTAAAAATGCAAACCTTAGCTGGGTGTGGTGGCGGGCGCCTGTAATCCCAGCTACTCGGGAGGCTGAGGCAGGGAGAATCGCTTGAACCTGGGAGGCAGAGGTTGCGGTGAGCTGAGATCGTGCCGTTGCACTCCAGCCTGGGCAACAGAGTGAGACTCTGTCTTAAAAAAAAAAAAAAGGAAAGAAAAGAAAAGAAAAATAGAATAGAAAATACTAGTGCACAAGGCTGTGTCAAGGTATGCTCTTTTGTGACCTTCAATGCACACTGCTTGTGCGATTCACTTTCTCTCTGCCACGTGCCGTGCATGGGCTGCAGGCCCTGTCTTCGCTCAAGTATTTTGGGGACAGGCCCCAGAAGAGGTGCAGGTGGAAGTGTTTGGCCAGAGGGGCCCTTCAAAGCCTCTCAGCACCCAGCCCACCCCTCAGGGCCTGGACCCGCCTCTTCCCTGCTGCCTTTGACCTGGGAAAAACAGTGCTTGCCCAAGTAGAACAGTGGCTCCACATTCCACATTCCCGGGGAGAAGCGGGGAGTCTGGCCCACAGGGAGGTGTGTCTATCTCTAGCTTGTTTAGTGAAACAAGGAAGGAGTTGGGGCAGCAAGTCTCCGCGGATATGCCTCTTGTATCTGAGCTTGGGTCTGTGCGTGTGTCCGCTGAGAAGCCGCCGGTGCTTCCTGAAGCCGCTGGGGAAGGACGTCCCCCGGGCCTCCGAGGAAACTTCCCAAGGCGGGGAACTTGATTCTTCCACAGCTGCCTTGGTGGATACCCACTCCTTTGCAGCCAAGACCTATCCAGGCCAGCCCCACTGAGTGTGTGTGTGAGAGAACGGAGGGTGTGTGTGCAGTGTGGATGTGTGTGGATGTGAGAGAGACTCAGAAAGAGAGGAGGGGATGGATGGAGGCGTGTGTGTGCATGGGCACGTGCGTGTTCACCAACGTGTCCGAAGAAAGCCTTTGCCAGGCAAAAGCAAGCAGGAAGAGAGCAAGAACCTCTCCATGTACTATATTCTCTGATGACCCTTTTAAATATATGACAAACAGTTAAAACAAAAGCCCATTTAGCTTTTATGCCTGTGATTCGTGGTATCCATCCCAGTTAATTACAGTGATTTAAAAACATCTGCATTTAATAAAGAACCTTCCTCTCCCCCAGTTCTCAGCCCACCCCGCTCCCAACCCCAGTCTTTCTTCAGGCCACTGGGCTAATGCAGTAATTACATCTCCATGCCAGGCCACAGCTGAGGGATGGCAGAAGGGGAGGCTTCATCAGGCGGGGAAGGCAAAGTAGGGATGGGCGGGGCAGGGAGGTAGGGCTGGGGTGGGAGGGGGAGAGAGTTGGGGAGGGGGAGCTTGTGGGGCAGGGCAGGTTGGAGCTGGGTGGGGAAGGTGGGGCTGGGGGAGGTGGGGTAGGGGCAGAACTGGGGCCTGGGGAGCTGCAGGGGGGAAGCTGGGACGAAGGGAGCTGGAATGGAGGTAGCGGGAGGCTTGAGGCAGAGCTGGGTTGGGGGGAGGTTTTGGGGAGCCGAGTCAGGCCTTCTCTCTAGCAGAGGAATCCTAGGTTGGGAGGATTCAAATCCAGAGACTAGGAAATGGGTATATTCAAAGCCCTTTATTCATTCTGGGTCATAGGATTGTTTATTTCACAAAAAGGGAGACTGAGGCAAGGCAAGGGACTTCACTCTTCACCCTGGGGCCCTCCCTTTGCTTCAGGAAGGAGGCTGGGAGTGGTAGAGAGAAGGGCAGGAGACCGAGAACAGAGAGGCGAGTGGAAAAGCCTCCAGACAGGGGAGCCAGTCCTAGGGCCAGAACGTTCTTTTTAAAAATGTGATGCGCTGGCCTCCGGCTCCCTCCTGCTGCCCTGGTGATGTGTTTGTGGCCCATGCTTGGGGCTGTGCCTGTCACTGGTCACATGGACTCCTCGGTGGACATCAGGAGGCTCAGTGGCCTCCTGGACACACAGCCTTGGGTGAGTCCCAGCCTGCCATGGACAAGCAGAAAGGATCCTGGCCGGGCCCCGGGGAAGGGAGTGTGGGCCACAGCCCTGCAGGGAGTCTGGCCTCGGTCGAGGGGCAGGTGGGCCTGGGGGTCTGGCTGAGGACTGCAAGGTGCCAGCCCTTTGCTCAGGAATCCCCGTTCCCGCAGCTGCTGACCACAGTGCAGCGCACTGCCCACTGCCTCCCCTGGCAGGTCTCTCACCTTGCCCCAAACGCCACCTTCAGTGCAGGAGTAGCTGATGGCTGCCTGATTTCAGTGGAGGAGAAAAACTGAACACCTGATTCTACGGAGCAGTTCGGGGCTTTGGAAGATCTGGGAGATGTGGGGACCCTGGGAGAGGAAGAAGGATGGGCACAGCAAGGAAGAGGGAGGAGAAACCAGCTTTGGGGTCTGGAGAAGGAGGGCAAGGTCCTGGTGGCCCTGTGTGGGGGTCTTGGGGAATGACACATTCCCAAGTTCAAGTGCAAGACCTCCGCTCTCAGAAAGAGGGGTGTGGGGGCCAAGGAGGAAGGAGGGAGACTGGCACTTGGGCATTACCCAGGGCTGGCATCCTTCTGGCCTCAATACCTGCAGCCAGGAAGTGACTCCTCCCTGTAACCCTGCCCGCAGCCCCCATTTCCTGATCCCAGGGGTAGAGACTCCTGGCGCTGGAGGGCAGGCAATAGGCCCCTAAAAAACCCGTAAAGCTGCTTCTGGATGGGAGAAGTCTGTGGGTGGACTCTCACGCAGGAAGGGGGATGTTGATGGACAAGAAAGAAATGACTGCACCCTGCAGTGTTGGAAGCAGGCTTTGGAGGCCAGCAGCCCCTCTGAGGACCAGCTGGGATCATGGTGGTGGTGTCCGACTGGAGAGGACCTGCGTCAGGCTGGGGCCTGCTGTTCCCAGAGGGAGAACTGTGGGGTCTCTGTGCCTCTCCCAGGTTGGAACTGAGAATGAACTTTGCTTCCTGAGGTTGCCTTTTTCCAAAGCTGCAATCTTCCTTCAACTTCTGTTCTCCACAGCCAAGAAAGAGAAGATCAGAGAATGCATTCTCAGTGGGGTTCAGGTGGCCCTGCTGGGCCCCACAGCCACCTGCTGGGACCAGGCTCAGATAAAACCCAGAGGATCAGACCACAGGAACACCATCAAAGCCAGCTACTCCCTTGTGGCCCTTCGACAGCAGCCTGGGGGAGGGGGGATCGGTGGGGTGCACCTGCTGGAGCCCACATTCCCAGGGAGGGTGAAAGGAGACTCAAAAAAGCCAGCCTCTCAGGGGTTACTCCTTCCAGGAGAAAATAAACCTTTTCTCCTTTCTTTTCTTTCTTTTTCTTTTTTCTTTTCTTTTCTTTTCTTTCTTTTTTTCTTTTTTTTTTTGAGACAGGTTTAGTGGTGCCATCACAGCTCACTGTAGCCTCAGCTTCCCAGGCTCAAGCTATCCTCCCACCTTAGCCTACCAAGTGGCTGGGGCTACAGCTGCATGCCACCACGCCTGGCTAATTTTTAAAATATGTTTTATAGAGATGAGGTTTCACCATGTTGCTTAGGCTGGTCTCAAACTCCTGGGCTCAAGCAGTCTGCCCACCTTGGCCTCCCAAAGTGCTGGGATTGCAGGCATGAGCCATCTTGCTCAGCTAGGAGACCTTTCTTCAGTTCCTTGAATGTAGGCTCGTAACCCATCCTCCTCTCTGCGCACCCTTCCCACTACCCTCCCCACACCCTGCTTCCTTTTCTTCATTCAGCATGTCCGTTTGCTTGTTGTTTCTCTCCCCAAGTGGAACATGAGCTCTGAGAGGGCAGGGAATGCACACTGGCTGGGTCTGCAGCAAACGCATGACTGGGGACGTGTCACAGATGCACACATGGGCACATGGCAACAGACGCAGCAAACGCACATTGCCCTCACGCTGCAGGCTCTGCAGAGGCTTTGTGTGACGCCTAGGCAGCAGATGCGGCCCTCTGGTTTTGATTCTGAGATCCCCTTGCCCGCTGTCCATCTTTGTCCTCTTCCACCCTCCCCATCCAGGCCTCCTGTCTGCCCCTTTCTAAGCCCTTTCCTTCTGAGTGGACAGGCGCCTGACACATCCTTCAGTTTCCCCTGCAGAGTGCCATGGATCCTCTTCTTGGAATGAATTTGGATCCCCTGCAATGTCTGCCACACCTCCCTCAGGGGGCAGTCTCCCACGGCTTCACCTGTGTCTCTGCTCCTCTGGCCCATTCACGGATGGGAAGAGATGCCCTGAGCTCCTGCCCATGGGGGATTCCCAACTGACACTGTTCCCTGTCGCCTCCCCAGGTTCCAGCTCCCATTCTTCTTCTTTTTTTTTTGAGACAAAGTTTCACTCTTGTTGCCCTGGCTGGAGTGCGATGGTGTGATCTTGGCTCACTGCAATTTTCGCCTCCCCGGTTCAAGCAGTTCTCCTGCCTTAGCCTCCCGAGTAGCTGGCACTACAGTCACACACCACCACCCCTGGGTAGTTTTTAGTATTTTTACTAGTGACGGGCTTTCACCATGTTGGCCAGGCTGGTCTTGAACTCCTGAACTCAGATGATCCACCTGCCTTGGCCTCCCAAAGTGCTGGGATTACAGGCGTGAGCCACCACGCCCACCCCAGCCCCCTTCTTTTGAGGAAGCTGCCATGCCATTGCTGTCACCTGCTGACCCTGCCTCCCAGCCCCTGAGCAGCCCTGGCTCACCTCTCACCAGCATCGCATCCCCTGTGACCTCATCTCCTTGTGGGCGGCAACCCTTGACCTCCCTCTTACATTATAGCTACTTGTGTTTGTGTCTCTCTTCTCTAGGTCATCAGTACCTGCATAAAAGAGACTGGGTCTTTTTCCTCCTGGTAAGTTTGAACATAATGAGGTAGGAGGTGGGACCTGACTCCAGAGGTGGGGCTCAGACACTGGAACAGATTGAGGACTAGCTAAAACCAGACCAGTGCAGAAGCAGCTTTCCAGTCAGACATGGCCACCAGTGTGCTATGTCAGGTTCCCATTGCCATGGCAACAGCCGGGAATTACCGCCTCTTTCTATGACAATGTTGATGACCCAAAAGTTACTGCTCATTCCCTAGACATTTCTGCATAAACTGCCCCTTAATCTGCATGCAATTAAAAGTGGGTATAAATATGTCTGCTAACCTGCCCTGAGTGGCAGCTCTCAGCACACTGCCTATGGGGCAGCCCTGCTCTGCAGGGGCAGTCATGGAGCTGTCACGCAACTGTAACACTGCTGCTTCAACAAAGCCATTTTCTTCTACCCCCTGCTTGCCTTTGAATTATTTCCTGGGCAAGACCAAGAACCCTCATGGACTAAGCCCCATCTTACAGCTCGCTTGCCCTGCCTTAGTAGGACCTTGCGCGTCGTAGGTATCAAAGAATGTGTTGCTGAAGTGAGTTGAATCAAATCTGCCTTTCAGGAGTTTTCCCAAGTTTTGGTGGTAGGAGGCTGTAGGTGGAGTTGACCTCAGAGTGTTCTGATGGGGACCTCAAGTGAGAGATGGCAGACCTGTCCAGCCCCTCTCCATCAAGAGAAGGAAGAACCCTCCCGAGGAGGCAGCCTGGGTGGTGCTGGGATTTGGCCAAGACACTCCATCTGCTGGAAAGGCAACGGAAAGCTTCGAACCACTTTCTTTTGGCTTGTGAACTCACCGGCTAATTGACAAATGTGCGTCCTGTGCATGAGCTGCGAAGATTTTCCATGATCAGCAGAGCCCAGTGATATCTGGGGTTCACCAAGAGCTGTGGGGCCCTTTGTGTCTAGAAACTTCTGGCCATTGTCAGCAGAGAGGCCCCTGGTCGCTGTTCAGGGTCCTGCTCACTGGCAACCCATGACATACTGAGAGTCATCATTGTCCAATGCTGAGCACATAGTGAGTCCTCAAGAAATAGTTCTTGAATGAATGAGTGAGTGAGTGAGTGAAAGAACAAGAGAATAAAAGAACAAAATGAGACCATATGCTTTTTACACCAAGTTGTAAGTTCAATCCCTAACTGTGCCAAAAAGTTTTAATTCTTTCCAGAATTAAGGCCATGCCATGTGGTCCTATGAGGGCCTTCTCTGATTGTTTGTTTATCAGCGAATATTTATTGGGCTCCTACTAAGGGCAGGTTCTGAGCTCTAGCTGGACGCACCAGCCCAGCCATCGGATGGTGGGAAACCGTCTCTAAGCGCTGGAAGCTTATCAGCGTGGGTGGGGACAGCATCCCTGGCTGTGAGGAAGGGCAGCCCATTTCTTTCTTTCTTTCTTTCTTTCTTCCTTCCTTCCTTCCTTCCTTCCTTCCTTCCTTTCTTTCTTTTTTTTTTTTTTTGAGACAGAGTTTTGCTCTTGTTGCCCAGGCTGGAGTGCAATGGCGCGATCTCGGCTCACTGCAACCTCTGCCTCCCAGGTTCAAGCAATTCTCTCACCTCAGCCTCCCAAGTAGCTGGGATTACAGGCATGCGCCACCATGCCTGGCTAATTTTTTTTGTATTTTTAGTAGAGATGGGGTTTCTCCGTGTTGTTCAAGCTGGTCTTGAACTCCTGACCTCAGGTGATCCGCCCACCTCGGCCTCCCAAAGTGCTGGGATTACAGGCGTGAGCCACCGAGCCCGGCCCGGGCAGCCCATTCCTCTCTTAGTAAATCACTACTGCCTGGCATCTGTTCCCCGACATTCTGAGTCCTTCCTAGTGTGATGTTCTCAAGCGTTTGCTCTCAAGACGAGGAGCCCAAATAGGAAAGGGCGGGATGGTTGGATTGGATTTCTGGCAAATTCAGGATCTCCAGGATTGATTGATTCATCTGTCCCTTCATCAATCATTTACACACGAACCCATGGGGTCCAAACTTGACGCACATTCTTGCTGGAACACAACCTGGCCTGACCCTTCCCTGCTCTGTGCCAGGCCCGCCCTGTGAACCCCAGATATGGTTGGGCTCTGCTGATGTCATGAATAATCTTAGCAACGCACGCCTTGTCAACTAGCCAGGGAGCTGACTGCCAAGAGAGGGAGGTTTGTGGTTTGACATCGTCCTTCCAGGAGACAAAGGGCCCACTCTCTGGCCACCAAGGAGTATTCTCCCATGCTCAGCGCTGGGAGAACCCACGTCCAGGACTGTGCCAGGCAGGCCCCTCTCCAGACTCGGGGAGGTGGAGGTCTGGGAGATGCCTCTTGTCCCGGGCACCTGGGGCTTGGCTGAGCTACCTGTGTCGCGGGGAGGGATGGGGGAGGCTCTCACTCTCTCACTCACACATCAGGAGTAGAAATGACAAATGACTCCCGCTGGGAACCCTGCCTGCCATCCTGCCGGATCATTTATCTCAGCAGCAAGTGATTTGCATACCGACAGGGTGGGAACTGCCTCTCTGCTCACCCTCCATTCCTTCTCCCACCCTGTTCCCACTCCAGCTCAACTCAAAACAGGGCTGCCTGCCCCAGCAGCCACCTTGGGTGTCACCCTAAAGTCCTTGAATGCCTCCTCCACTGAGACTGCTGAAAATGATTGCCATCTCTCCAAAAGGCTCCTATTAAATGGTGGAAGCTAACTCTAGGGAGCAAGTCAGCCCCTTCCTGGTTGTGGGGCCAGGGAAGAGGGGCTCAGGGCAAATGACACTGTGCCCTACTATTTGGATGTGCCCATGAGCATTTGCCCAGAAGGAGGGGAGTGGGAGGTGAAGGCTGACTGCCCACCCTTGCACCAGGTATCCTCACAGGCACCGTTACCCTGCTCAGCCTTCCAGCCTTGTTTTTCTTTCTTTCTTTCTTTCTTTCTTCTTCTTTTTTTTTGAGATGGGGTCTTACTTTGTTGCCCAGGCTGGAGTGCAGTGGTGCGATCATGGCTCACTGTAGCCTTGACTTCGTGGGCTCAAGTGATTCTCCCACCTCAGCTTCCTGAGTAGCCGGGACTACAGGCACGTGCCAGCATGCCTGGCTAATTTTTACATACATTTTTTGTAGAGATGATGTTTCACCATGTCGCCCAGGCTGGTCAAATTCCTGGGATCAAGCAATCCACCCACCTTGTCCTTCCAAAATGCTGGGATTACAGGTGTGAATCACTGTGCCCAGTTCCAGTCTCATTTTCTGGGGGGTGGAATGTTGCCCGAGGGCAAACAGGGGACAGGCAGGGTTTGAATCCCTTTCTCTCGACTCCAAAGTGTATAAGT
This sequence comes from Homo sapiens, assembly GCF_000001405.40. Classification (NCBI taxonomy): domain Eukaryota; kingdom Metazoa; phylum Chordata; class Mammalia; order Primates; family Hominidae; genus Homo; species Homo sapiens. The sequence goes on along the minus strand of NC_000017.11, from coordinate 77,924,011 downwards.
ACCTCTGAGTCTTCTTGTCACCAAGAGGCCACCTGCAACCTGGGGCATTCAGGGGAGAAAGGTCGCATGCTTAGGAAGCAGCAACCAGGTGCAGGTGCAGGGTGGTTGGAGGGTGTGGGCCAGGTGGCCTCTGCTTTCTTGCTTTCTTGTTCCCACTGCCTCTCTGTTTCCTGGTGACTTCATTCCTTCACCAGCCTGGCACCGCCACATGCCAGGAGACATCCAGATCCCCTCCATTTGCAGGGCCAGCCACTCAGGGTGGCACCTGGCTGGTCTCTAGCTGAGCGATGAGTTCCAGGTCGGGGGTGTGTCCCTGGGGATGAGGGGGTAAGGGCAGTGTAGGAAGTTCCAAAGGCTGGGAGGGAGGACAAGTCTCTAGGAGGTCAGGCTCAGGGGGCTGGGGTACCCCAGGGGAGAAGGGCCTGCACAGGCGACCCACTGGGGGTCTGTGCTGGTTTTGTCTAGGCTGGCCCTGCCCTCAAATCCCTTGCAAGCTGCCCTGCCTCAGGATGGAGGGAAGCCTCCTTCGACTTTATACCCAGTTAGAGCTTCAGGGGCCTTTGTGGAGTTCCCTCCTCCCAGGTCCTCTGCCCACCAGCTCTCTGAGCACTGCGCTCAGAGACCAGGCACAGCCCTGGAGGTTTCACTCAGTTTCTAGGCACAGCGGGGCCCGAGGAAGGCTTAGCATCTAAGCCAAGATAACAGTCTTCCTTTCTCCTGCACCACGAGAAATCAGTGTGCCACCCAGGGCAGGCAGTGAGCACATGCAGTATCCGTAGGAAATTTACAAACAATAATAAAACTGGCTAAAAGTTCGTCTGCTTTTTATTAACATCGTGCATCCGCACTTCTAAACAATGTCCCTGAAAATTTTTTTGGTTGGCCTCTGTTCTAAACAAGTTCTGCTTACTGTTGAGTTCTAATAATATATATGTAAGCTTCAAATTAGCACATTTTTATTACTTACTCTGATAAACATTGCATTCTTTGTGACAGTTAATTTGGAAAATGCCAGTTGTACAGTCAGCTCCCAGCACAAGGATGGCCACTGGTTTTCACGTTTCTAAGGTGTGGAATCATTTGAGGCGCCTTGGGTGTAGTCTATGTAACCAACCCCTGCAGAATTACATTCTCCTTCATTAAACAGATTAGAAATGCACAATGACAGCACAGGGATTGCAACGATGAAGCAACAGAGCTGGACTTCTTTCAGCTCCGTCATTCTGTGTGACCACAAATCCTCCTTATCTGCAATTCAAATTTAAAACAGTGAAAGAGGCCATGTGTGGTGGCTCAAGCCTGTAATCCCAGCACTTTGGGAGGCTGAGGCGGGCAGATCACCTGAGGTCAGGAGTTCGAAAGCAGCCTGGGCAACATGGTGAAACCCCCGTTTCTACTAAAAAAACAAACATTAGCCAGGCATGGCGGCACACGCCTGTAATCTCAGCTACTCAGGAGACTGAGGCAGGAGAATCACTTGAACCCAGGAGGTGGAGGTTGCAGTGAGCTGAGATTGCACCACTGTACTCCAGCCTGGACGACAAGAGTAAAACTTCATCACAAAAAAACAAAGAGTGAAACAGTGTGAACTGCAAGGAGAAGTGTTTGGTAAATACAAATTTTAGTTCATACATGAAATATTTTACTGAATTTGAATAATTTTTTAACATGAAAATTTATTCTTCTATGAAAACAGTTTTAAATCATAAACCAAAAAAGAACGTCTATTACTTTATAGCTGTATTAGTATCCTACGGTTGCTGTAACAAATTGTACCACAAACTTGGTGGCTTCAAGCAGCAGAAATGTATTTATGTATTTAAGACAAGGTCTTGCTCTATAGCCCAGGCTGGAGTGCAGGGGTAAGACCTTGGTTCACTGCAGCCTCGAACTCTTGGGCTCAAGCGATCCTCCAGCCTCAGCCTCCCAAGTAGCTGGGACTACATGCGTGCACCACCATGCCTGGCTATTTTTAAATTTTCTGTAGAGTTGGGGTCTTACTATGTTGCCCAGGCTTGTCTTGAGCTCCTGGCCTCAAGCATTGCTCCTACTTCGGCCACAGCATAAATGTCTTATCTTACAATTCTGGAGGCCAGAAGTCTTAAATGGGTTTCATCCGGGTGTTGGCAGGCCTGCGCTCCCTCTGCAGGCTCTTGCTAGGCATTCCTTGCCTTGTCGTTTCCAGCTCGTAGAGGCTGCACTAGGGACTTACTTGGAGTCTGTGCTGGTTTTGAGCCTGCATTCCTTGGCTCAGGGCCCCTTCCTAAATTCTCAGAGCCCTTCACTCCAATCTCTGCCTTCGTGGTTACACAGTCTCCTCTGCTCTCAAGTCTCCCTCTGTCTTCCTCTGACTAGGATCCATTTGATGACTCTTAGGGCCCACCCAGATAAAACAGGATAATCTCCCCATCTCAAGTTGCTTAATTTAATCACATTTGCAAAGTCCCTCTTTCCATATACGGTCACATTGAAAGGTTCTAGGGATTAGGACCTGGATTTTTGGGGCCTCATTATTCAGTCCACCACAATTACCAAAAATCCTTTTGTTGTATGGGGAGTGGGTTAAAAATGACCTACACTGGGTGTGAAAATGAGGCCTGAGGCATGGCACTGCAGAAAATGCCTGTGGACAGCAGGTTCTGTTGTAGATGAGATGACATGTGTGCCTGTGCATGTGGGGTGTGTGTGTGTGTGTGTGTGTGTGGGGTCCATAGGCTTGATTGTGAGGTGTGCAAAGGGTGAGTGTGGGGCTATTTTGAGGGCTATAAAATGCAGTCCTCCTTCAGGGTCAAGGCTATTTACACTCAGCACCTGTAAGGCCTTTATGTTTTGTGCTTATGAAGACTTTTCCCGGCACACACATCACTTGTTACCACCTGACATATGCCATGATACAGACTCAGTCTGGTTCATAATTCACTGAGAGCCTGCACTCTTCTTGGTTTTTTTTCTTCTTGAGATGGAGTTTCGCTCTTGTTACCCAGGCTGGAGTGCAGTGGCACGATCTCGGCTCACTGCAACCTCTGCCTCCCGGGTTCAAGCGATTCTCCTGCCTCAGCCTCCTGAATAGCTGGGATTACAGGTGTGTGCCACCACGCCCAGCTACTTTTTGTATTTTTATTTTTTATTTTTATTTTATTTTATTTTATTTTTTTGAGACGAAGTCTCGCTCTGTCACCCAGGCTGGAGGGCAGTGGCATGATTTCTGCTCACTGCAAACGCCATCTCCTGGGTTCACGCCATTCTGCCTCAGCCTCCCAAGTAGCTAGGACTATAGGTGCCCACCATCACTCCCGGCTAATTTTTTTTTTTTTTGTATATTTAGTAGAGATGGGGTTTCACCATGTTAGCCAGGATGGTCTCGATCTCCTGACCTCGTGATCTGCCCGTCTCAGCCTCCCAAAGTGCTGAGATTACAGGCGTGAGCCACCGCGCCCGGCCTACTTTTTGTATTTTTAGTAGAGACGGGGGTTTCACCATGTTGGCCAGGCTGGTCTTGAACTCCTGACCTCGGGTAATCCACCCGCCTCAGCCTCCCAAAGTGCTATGATTACACACGTGAGCCACTGTGCCTGGCCACATCTGTATTTTTAGTAGAGACAGCGTTTCACCACGTTGGCCGGGCTGGTATCGAAATCCTGACCTCAGTTGATCCACCCTCCTTGGCCTCCCAAGGTGCTGGGCTTACAGGCGTGAGCCACCACGCCCAGCCTCTTCTTTTTTTTAATATTAGAAAAAAAAAAAAAAAACCCACAGGGGAAAGCGCAAACACAGTCCCCCCCACTCCCCCACCGATTATGCAGTTGAATTTCCTGCATTTGGGAAAATTGCAGGGGTCAGCACACCTGGAATGTGAGCCTAACCCTGGGAAAACCACCTTTGTGATCATGGTGTCTCCTCTGCCAGGTAAGTATGCAGGGTACCCTTCTAAACGTGGGGACTCAGCAATGAACATGCAGACAAAATCCTTGCGCTGCGGCATCCATGTCACATCTGTGTCTGTTTCTCTCACTCATAGAATGTATGCGCCTCGAGGGCAGGCACTTTTTCTAATTAATTAGGAGTTATCTCCCTGGAAGATTGTCGACAAGTGGCAGAACTCAGTAATATTTACTAAACAGGTCCCATCGGGTCCCTCTCTGCGAGGTAAGAATTTAGAGTTACGATTCTCCAAGAAAAATGTCCCTACAGGGCACATAGAGGGAGCTTCTTGTTTCTGTCTCACGTGTCTGTGTGAAGAGACCACCAAACAGGCTTTGTGTGAGCAACAAGGCCGTTTATTTCACCTGGGTGCAGGCGGGCTGAGTCCAAAAAAGGAGTCAGCAAAGGGTGGTGGGATTATCATTAGTTCTTTTAGGTTTTGGGATAGGCATTGAAGTTAGGAGCAATGTTTTGCTGGCAGCGGGTGGATCTCACAAAGCACATTCTCAAGGGTGGGGAGAATTACAAAGAACCTTCTTAAGGGTGGGGGAGATTACAAAGAACCTTCTTAAGGGTGGAGAAGAAACAAATCACAATGGTGGAATGTCATCAGCTAAGGCTATTTCCACTTCTTTTGTGGATCGTCAGTTGCTTCAGGCCATCTGGATGCATACGTGGAAGTCACAGGGGATATGATGGCTTAGCTTGGGCTCAGAGGCCTGACAGTTTCCACATTGTTTTTTGTGGCAGTGCTATTGTTCTTCCCTAGAGTTTTCTCAGAGTCTTGCATTCTAGTGTCTATTGTGGATCCAGGTCGAGTTTTGAACGATTAAACGTGAAAGGCTGACAGATAATTTAGTTAAAATGTCTCGACCTAATAATGGAGCTGGGCAGGTGGGGATAACTAAAAAGGAGTGCATAAAAGAATGTTGTCCAAGTTGGCACTAGAGTTGGGGAGTTTTAAGGGGTTTAGAAGCCTGGCCGTCAATACCCACAACAGTTATGGAGGCAAGGGAGACAGGCCCTTGAAAAGAAGGTAATGCTGGCCGGGCGCGGTGGCTCACACCTGTAATCCCAGCACTTTGGGAGGCCGAGGCGGGCGGATCACGAGGTCAGGAGATCGAGACCATCCTGGCTAACACGGTGAAACCCCGTCTCTACTAAAAATACAAAAAATCAGCCGGGCGTGGTGGTGGGCGCCTGTAGTCCCAGCTACTCGGGAGGCTGAGGCAGGAGAATGGCGTGAACCCAGGAGGCGGAGCTTGCAGTGAGCCGAGATCACACCACTGCACTCCAGCCTGGGCGACAGAGCAAGACTCCCTCTCAAAAAAAAAAAAAAAAAAAAAGAAAAGAAAAGAAAAGAAAAGAAGGTAATGCGGATCCTTGGATGGCTCAGTTGCTGTTTTGCCGAGATACATACTAGGTGCCATGAAATCCATTGGGCTGGAAACATGGCCTTGGAAGAAATAATTTTCCCCAAATCATTGGATCAGAAAGACTTCCATTTGCACTTCCTTCTAATGTTCCCCTTTTCTCAAACAACACTTGCAGCCTCAGCACCCTTGGATTGCTCCCCAGTGATGCTACCTGTAGGGAGGCGAAGGAACAAGGGAATGAATGTCTCCACCTTCGGGCACGTGTTGGTCTCCAGGCAAACTCAGCCTGCTGCCTTAGCTTCATTTGGGGGTCTGATTGTATTCTAGCCCTGCAGAAAGGAGGACTTCATATTTCACTCCAGGTTTCAGGATTCAATTCAGAATCTTACTAATTCAGGGTAAAAACAAAACAAAACAAAATGGGGAGAATTTACAGAGAAGTGTTAGAAGCAACTCAAAGCCCAGACACTGCTCCTTTAGTGATGCCCCTTTAGAGATGTAAATAATCTAAATTTTCAGAGGGCAGAACGCTCTGTCCTTCCCTGGGGTGGAGCGGGAAGGAAGAGAGGCCCCCCAGAGGAACACCGGGCCTACCAAAGAACAAGCCCAAGGGGACAAGAGCCAGAACAAAGGAAGTGCGATTCAACAACATCCACCCCCGAAATGGACATCAATTGAGGTTGAGATTCCATCCTGGGGTTCTGACGATGCAAACCATGAGAACGAAGCTAAGGGAGATTTCTAAATGTCATCAATGGGCTTCTCTGTGGAGTTATAGCCTTGTTATTTATCATGCACTGTTGGGAACATTGAAGTCCTGTGTTCGGCAGAGCTGGAGTACTTTCAGGAGGCTTTCCTGCTGGGTTTCTCACCGCATACGTGTGAGCGGTTCTTCGTAGAGTTCCCAGAAATGGGAGGGGAATTTCTACTTTCTTCTTGCAATTCTTGTAGTAATTCTTCTAATAATTCTTTTCTTTTTTTTTTTTTCTCCTGTCTCAGCCTCCCGAGTAGCTGGGACTACAGGCGCCCGCCACCACGCCCGGCTAATTTTTTGTATTTTTAGTAGAGACGGGGTTTCACCGGGTTAGCCAGGATGGCTAATAATTCTTCTAATCCTCCTCCTCCTCCTCCTCCCCCCCCTTCTCCTTCCTCTCCTTCCTTCTTCTCCCTTCTTCATTCTCCTCTCCTCCTCCTCCTTCTCCTTCTCCTTCTTCCTTCTTTTCCCTTCTTCATTCTCCTCTCCTCCTCCTCTCCCTCCTCCCTCCTCCTCCCTCCTCCTCCTCCTCCTCTTCCTTCTCCTTCTTCTCTTTCTTCTTCATGCCTGTCTTCCAGGATCATACCAAACCAGGAGGAACACGGCAACAGGAGGGAAGCACAGTGAATCAGGGATGGTGTCAGCCCCTGCTGGCTCAGGACTGTGATTTGGGGCACTGCAGCACGCCTGCAAGGGTCACTCTGCATAAACCTGGCACTGTGGGAAATGGCTTACCTACCTGTGACCTGAAAAGCTCCATGTGTGTGGCCCATGGGCCTGGGGTTCAGGCCAAAGCCCCTCCCCACCACTGTTCCGAAGCCTGAACCCCACGTCTCAGCTCCTGCAGCTACTCCTCTACAGCTTAGAAAAGAAAGCCGCGTGTACGCCACGGCAAATCTGGACAGCCACAGCCTGGCTGTATTTCACCTTTATGCCTGCTGAGCTTCCTTCTGCTTTCAGAATGGGGAAATTCAGACGTCAATCTGAGCTTTCCAAGAAGTTTCAGTTCCGTTTTTTAGACTGAGAGGAGGCACACGGATAGGTTTTGCCCATATGATGATATGTAGGCAATAGGCAGGTCAGGTGCCCCACACCACTGCTCTCCAGCAAGGCTGCGGCTGCGATGCTCTCTGCTTTCCCTGGAGAGTCGGTCCTGTCTCCCTCCCTCTAATCTGACCCATTCGTATTGCTATGCGTGAACTTTTAACCAAGGGTTTGCCACCTCTTCATTATAACGTGGCTCTTACAGAGAAACTGCATTAAAAATGTGAAGCTGCACACCAACGACACGGCTGTGCAAACTCAATTCTGTAAAAAATATTCTGTTTAATTGATTTTCTAAAAAAATCTATTATGTTTCTGTGAGCCTATTGATCTGCAGCTCCACAGAAGTAATGAAGAAGCTTTGTAATCAATAAGCCCAAAGCATATCTTACCCAGTATCTCTTCTGCCGTCCGCCAAGGGCGTGACTGGCCGATTCCCCAGACAGCATCGTGAGTGTGAGCAGCCTTCTCTGTGTCTGTGGAGATTGATTTCTCTTGGCATAAACATAACAAATGAAACCCTGATGACTTTTCTTGCTCTGAAAGCCAAGGATATATCATATCAGTCATCATGAAACACACAAGAACACAATTTGCAAAAAGAAAAAAAAAAGAAAAGAAAAACGATGCATTTTTAACCTCAGTGCATTAACTCCTCCCCCATACTTAATCAGGATAATATGTTACTCCTGAGCTCTTACGATGGTCTTCTTTCTTTTATATCCACGCCTACCCCCCAATTCAGGTTGATTTCACAAGTCTTAGGATGTTTTTCTGTTTTGGCGGTGAATATAAAGTACAGGTAGCTGCAATCATGGGTTGATAATACTGAGTTGAGCAAACATTGCTATCTTATCCTCTAGAAAATAATAATGTCGAATGAGATAAGATGCCTGCAACACACACAAGCGGCGGTCGGGAAATATGGCAGACCCCATAGGGCAGCATTTGCTGGGGAAAGAAGAGCTCCTTGCCCCAGATAAGTAATCTTGGTTGCTGATTATTTCCAAATGTATCATTTGCATTTTGCCCTTAAACCAGAGGACACCGCCTAGGGTGGATAGTGATCTGATGCTGTGCAAACTCACCCTGCCGCATTAACAGATTTAAAGCAAACCTTTTTCAGGGCTAACCCTGTGCTGACCAATCACCACCTGGTCCAGAGAAGTTGGTTGCTGCAGCTGACTGGGTTGGGCGTGTGTGGTGCAAAATGAGATTGCCAGATCAGCAGGGACCAGATCCTGAAGGACTTTGCCTGAGGGCACCGGGGAGCCATGGAGGGATTTTTATGAGGGGAGGGAAGTGACCAACTGAGCAACTTTGTAGCCATCACTTGCTACCGTGTAGAACTGCAGTCCTCAGGCCCTTTTTCTGCACACCTAAAAATAATAATGATGGTGATAATAATAATGTTAACACACTGGACCAGGCTGCGCTCCAAGTTTTGCATGTAGCAACTCATTTAATCTTCACAACAACTCTGCAGGGAGCTCCTGTAATTCTCCCATTTTACAGATGAGGAAACTGAGGCACACAGAGAGGTCCCATGAGACAGGTGCCCGTCCCAGGAACCACACTCCCTTGGTCTGGCATGGGATTATACCCCTCTGTTCTCAGCTCTCAGGAATGTGTGCTGAATCGGAAGCACCCAGTGAAGATGTCTTTCATGGAGGAAAAATGACCTCGACTCAGTTCAAGTTTGTGTTCTAAAAAGCAAATCACTTGGGTAAAGTGGAATGGTTAGTAAGTAATTTCATGTGTATATCTTCCAGTGGACAAAGACCAACCTGATTTGGAGAGTGGAGTGGAAGTGGGGCAGCTGCAGAGAAAAGGGCAGGAGGATGGTGCAGTCTTAGGATGGTGGGGCGGGGGGTTTGGTGCCAGGCTCAGGATGGTGAGGGGGAGTGGGGAGTGAGGGGCTGGGCCCAGGTGTCCACCTGGAGTGGCCGGCGGATGGTGGTGCCGTTCAGATATACCTGCCGCTCGGGGCTAACCTGTATTTATCCCATCATTTCAGCCATTCACTGAGCGCCACCTCTGGGCAGCACTCTGCTGCGCCAGGTGCTGGGCTGAGGCAGTGACGCTGGGGATATTCGGGGAGCAGAGAAAGAGGAATTGAAGATGGATTGAAGAGCTGAACAGTTGAAATGGGTGCAAAAGAGAAATTCTGAGAGCTGCGTACGTGGTTCTATGAAGCATGTGTATACGCCATGCGCGTGTAAAAAAAAGTAAAACATTTTACATTTAATATCTCACTTCATCCTTACAACTAGCACAGAGGGAGGTCCTACTGGAAGATGGCCAGTCCCCACTTGCCTGCTAAGACAACTCCCTGAGTTGGCCCCCTTCGGAGAGTTGGGTTTCAGAGAATTGGCGTTGAGCCTGGAGCCCAGCTTGGAATCTGAGAGGGGGAGAGGGAGGACCCAGGGAATGGGAGTGGGAAGTAGAAGGGCACATTTCTTGTGTTGGGTCAGTGCCTGTCTTGGGGTGTTGGGATGGCTTCTCAAGTTGGAGCCCCCACCCCCAAGTGTCATGTGGTTCTGCTCTAAATCACTCAAAGCCCTGGAGCTTCATTCTGTCCAGATGACAAGACTGGGAGGCAATTTATTAACACAGTGGTCCCACGGGGGTGCCTCTTTGGCCTTTGGCACCAGAGGTTCTCAATTGAACGGCACACTAGAATTTTCGGGGGACCTTTTAAAACCTTCGATGGCTGGGCCGCACCTCGACCTGTTGGATCAGGGTCTCTGGGGTGAGGCCTGGGCACCCCCAATTTTTTTTTTTCTTTTGAGTTTCGCTCTTGTTGCCCAGGCTGGAGTGCAATGGCGCGATATCAGCTCACTGCAACCTCTGCCTCCTGGGTTCAAGTGATTCTCCTGCCTCAGCCTCCCAAGTAGCTGGGATTACAGGCGTGCACAACCGTGCCTGGCTACTTTTTGTATTTCTAGTAGAGACAGGGTTTCACTATGTTGGTCAGGCTGGTCTCGAACTCCTGACCTCAGGTGACCTGCCCACCTCGGCCTCCCAAAATTCTGGGATTACAGACGTAAGCCACCATGCCTGGCCTTTTTTTAAATTACGAATTTTGTTTATTTATATTATTATTATTTTTATTATTACACTTTAAGTTCTAGGGTACATGTGCACAGTGTGCAGGTTTGATACAAAGGTATACATGTACCATGTTGGTTTGCTGCACCCATCAACTCGTCATTTACATTAGGTATTTCTCCTAATGCTATCCCTCCCCCAGCCCCCCACCCCCTGACAGGTCCCGGTGTGTGATGTTCCCCGCCCTGTGTCCAAGTGATCTCATTGTTCAGTTCCCTCCTATGAGTGAGAACATGTGGTGTTTGGTTTTCTGTCCTTGTGATAGTTTGCTGAGAATGATGGTTTCCAGCTTCATCCATTCATCCATGTCCCTGCAAAGGACATGAACTCATCTTTTTTTCTTTTTCTTTTTCTTTTTTTTTTTCTTTTTTGAGATGGAGTCTCGCTCTGTCACCCAGGCTGGAGTGCAGTGGCACGATCTCAGCTCACTGCAAGCCCCGCCTCCCGGGTTCATGCCTTTCTCCTGCCTCAGCCTCCCGAATAGCTGGGACTACAGGTGCCCGCCACCGCGCCCGGCTAATTTTTTGTATTTTTAGTAGAGACAGGGTTTCACTGTGTTAGCCAGGATGGTCTCGATCTCCTGACCTCGTGATCCGCCCGCCTCAGCCTCCCAAAGTGCTGGGATTACAGGCGTGAGCCACCGCACCCGGCAAACTCATCCTTTTTTTAATGGCTGCCTAGTATTCCATGGTGTATATGTGTCACGTTTTCTTAATCCAGTCTATCATTGATGGACATTTGGGTTGGTTCCAAGTCTTTGCTATTGTGAATAGTGCCACAATAAACATACGTGTGCATGTGTCTTTATAGTAGCATGATTTAGAATCCTTTGGGCATATACCCAGTAATGGGATTGCTGGGTCAAATGGTATTTCTAGTTCTAGATCCTTGAGGGATCGCCTCACTGTCTTCCACAATGGTTGAACTAATTTACACTCCCACCAACAGTGTAAAAGTGTTCCTATTTCTACACTTCCTCTCCAGCATATGTTGTTTCCTGACTTTTTAATGATTGCCATTCTAACTGGCGTGAGATGGTATCTCATTATGGTTTTGATTTGCATTTCTCTGATGACCAGTGACGATGAGCATTTCTTCATGTGTCTGTTGGCTGCATAGATGTCTTCTTTTGAGAAGCATCTGTTCATATCCTTTGCCCACTTTTTGATGGGGTTGTTTGTTTTTTTCTTGTACATTTGTTTGAGTTCTTTATAGATTCTGGATATTAGCCCTTTGTCAGATGGGTAGATTGCAAAAATTTTCTCCCATTCTGTAGGCTGCCCGTTCACTCTGATGGTAGTTTCTTTTGCCATGCGGAAGCTCTTTAGTTTAATTAGATCCCATTTGTCTATTTTGGCTTTTGTTGCTGTTACTTTTGGTGTTTTAGCCATGAAGTCCTTGCCCATGCCTATGTCCTGACTGGTATTGCCTAGGTTTTCTTCTAGGGTTTTTATGGTTTTAGGTCTAACATTTAAGTCTTTAATCCATCTTGAATTAATTTTTGTATAAGGTGTAAGGAAGGGATCCAGTTTCAGCTTTCTACATATGGCTAGCCAGTTTTCCCAGCAACATTTATTAAATAGGGAATCCTTTCCCCATTTCTTGTTTTTGTCAGGTTTGTCAAAGATCAGGTGGTTGTAGATGTATGGTGTTATTTCTGAGGCTTCTGTTCTGTTCCATTAGTCTACATATATGTTTTGGTACTAATTCCATGCTGTTTTGGCTACTGTAGTCTTATAGTATAGTTTGAAGTCAGGTAGCATGATGCCTCTAGCTTTGTTCTTTTTGCTTAGGATTGTCTTGGCAATGCGGGCTCTTTTTTGGTTCCATATGAACTTTAAAGTAATTTTTTCCAATTCTGTGAGGAAAGTCATGGTAGCTTGATGGAGATGGCATTGACTGTATAAATTACCTTGGGCAGTATGGCCACATTCATGATATTGATTCTTCCTATCCATGAGCATGTAATGTTCTTCCATTTGTTTGTGTCCTCTTTTATTTCGTTGAGCAGTGGTTTGTAGTTCTCCTTGAAGAGGTCCTTCATATCCCTTGTAAGTTGGATTCCTAGGTATTTTATTCTCTTGTGAATTGTGAATGGGAGTTCATTCATGATTTGGCTCTCTGTTATTGGTGTATAGGAATGCTTGTGATTTTTGCAAATTGATTTTGTATCCTGAGACTTTGCTGAAGTTGCTTATCAGCTTAAGGAGATTTTGGGCTGAGATTATGGGGTTTTCTAAATATACAATCACGTCATTTGCAAACAGGGACAATATGACTTCCTCTTTTCCTAACTGAATACCCTTTATTTCTTTCTCTTGCCTGATTGCCCTGGCCAGAACTTCCAACACTATGTTGAATAGGAGTGGTGAGAGAGGGCATCCTTGTCTTGTGCTGGTTTTCAAAGGGAAGGCTTCCAGTTTTTGCCCATTCAGTATGATATTGGCTGTGGGTTTGTCAGAAATAGCTCTTATTATTTTGAGATAAGTTCCATCAATACCTAGTTTATTGAGAGTTTTTAGCATGAAGGGCTGTTGAATTTTGTCGAAGGCCTTTTCTGCATCTATTGAGATAATCATGTGGTTTTTGTCATTGGTTCTGTTTATGTGATGGATTATGTTTATTGATTTGCATATGTTGAACCATCCTTGCATCCCAGGGATGAAGCCAACTTGATTGTGGTGGATAAGCTTTTCGATATGCTGCTGGATTTGGTTTGCCAGTACTTTATTGAGGATTTTTGCATCGATGTTCATCATGGATATTGGTCTAAAATTTTCTTTTTTTGTTGTGTCTCTGCCAGGCTTTGGTATCAGGATGGTGTTGGCCTCATAAAATGAGTTAAGGAGGATTCCCTCTTTTTCTATTGATTGGAATAGTTTCAGAAGGAATGGTACAAGCTCCTTTTTGTGCCTCTGGTGGAATTCGGCTGTGAATCCATCTGGTCCTGGACTCTTTTTGGTTGGTAGGCTCTTAATTATTGCCTCAATTTCAGAGCCGTTATTGGTCTATTCAGAGATTCAACTTCTTCCTGGTTTAGTCTTGGAGGGTGTATGTGTCCAGGAATTTATCCATTTCATCTGGATTTTCTAGTTTATTTGCTTAGAGGTGTTTATAGAATTCTCTGAAGGTAGTTTGTATTTCTGTGGGATCGGTGGTGATATCCCCTTTATCATTTTTTATTGCATCTATTTGATTCTCCTCTCTTTTCTTCTTTATCAGTCTTGCTAGCAGTCTATCAATTTTGTTGATCTTTTCCAAAAACCAGCTCCTGGATTCATTGATTTTTTGAAGGGTTTTTGTGTCTCTATCTCTTTCAGTTCCACTCTGATCTTAGTTATTTCTTGCCTTCAGCTAGCTTTTCAATTTGTTTCCTCTTGCTTCTCTAGTTCTTTTAATGTGATGTTAGGGTATCGATTTTAGATCTTTCCTGCTTTCTCTCGTGGGCATTTAGTGCTATAAATTTCCCTCTACACACTGCTTTAAATGTGTCCCAGAGATGCTGGTACATTGAGGCACCCCCAATTTGTATAGCCCCCCTCAGTGATTCTCACCAGGTTGCAGCCAGATCCAAGGCCCCCTGGGATTAGCCATCGATCACACTTAAACATTAACACCCCAGATAGAACCACCCAGGAGATGCAGCGTGAGGACAGGGAGAGGGGGCCTGGCGGAGAAGGGGAAGGGGCAGGAAAGCCTCCAAGACCAATCCCCGTTTCCTCCCACGTGGCCCAGTGAGGGAAGGCCCACAGGCCGGTCGCTTTGGTGGAGGAGAATTGCGTGTGTGCCTGGCATGGAAAAGGCACTCCCCTCTTGTGTGCCAGGTGTGTGGCTGGATGGGGTGTGGGACGTAGGGGTGGAGCGGAGGATGGGGGTGGCTCTGGGGTGGCGGGCTGGCTGCCCAGGCTTTCTAGCTGATGTTTGCAGGGCCCCCTCCACAGGCTGCGGGTGCGGCAGGTGGGATGGGGAGGTGGCCAAGGAAGTTAGGGGGTCTCCCGTTAGCCTTGAGAGGGCAGGTAGCCCTCCTCACCCTTGTTTCCTGCTTATCATCCTGACCACTACATTCTTGAATTTCACAGGGAACGACGGTGGAAAATGAGAACCACGTTCGTGTAAAATTAGAGACTGGATGGAGATCCAGCCTGGAACACAGTTTGCCACCCGCTCTCGAACTGAGAAGCTGAAAGGCTCTCGGGGTCCAGAGGGAGTCGTTAGGACTTGCAGTTCTTCGCTCAGCTCTCCAGAAGAATCCCTGCTCCAGCCTGGCTGGCGTCCCAGCTCTGGACTCCAGTTCTCTGGTGGGGCGGGAGTTCTTGGTCAGGACCCCGGGCACCTCCTCTACATCTGCACTCCTCTGACTGGGAGCCGCCTCCCTCTCACGCTGCTTCTGGCTTCCTGGCCTGGCTCCTTTCCCCGTTGGCACCACTGGCTGTCCTCCCGGACGGCGCTTCCTAAACGCGGCTCCGGCATCTGATGCGGGTCTGTGGTTGGAGACAAGATGAAAAGAACCAGGACAGAGTGGCGAGTTTCTCACAAAGCTGGGCGCGGTCCTTTCAAGGACAGCTCTGTCTGCTGAGAGTACATCCCTTCTACCTTTTGGTGTTAGAAAGTGCTTTATTTTGTAAAACAATAGTGATGTGGGACGGCAAATGCTTTGAAAATGATACTTACTCAGAAAACGAGGGGGTCATCCGTGTTCATTCCCTATGTTTCTGTTTTGAAATTTATCGCCTAGAGGAAGCCAGGTGATGTCTGAGTTGGGCGTTTCATCTTGGGGTGAGGTGTGGGGAGGGCAGGGCTTCCAGGCAGGTGGGACAGTGTTGAAGTGGGAGCGGGGAAAGGGCGGTGCTGTGGGGACCCCAAGTTACCCTTTCTATGCCTTGATTCCTACCAACCTATGCTTTGTGGAGATTTCATCCAATAGGTGCTACATGGGCACCTACTGTATGAAAGGCACCAGGCTAGGTCCTAGGGACAGACACCAAGGTATAGGAGCCATGGTCCCTGCTCTCAGGTAAGTGAGCCAGGACAAAAGGCAGGCCAAAAGTGTCACTTGTCAGGAAACAAAGTGCCAGGAGGCTTCAGAGAGTGGGAGCACTGCCAGCATCTCCGGGCCCTCCAGCTTAGTCACGGTGTTCCCTGGGGTGAGTGACGGGGCCTCAAACCCCTTTCTGTTAAATGGGATAAAAATCTCTATACTTCAAGGGCAACATGTGGGTAATTTCATTGCCTGAGGCAGATACATGCATATGGGTGTGTGTGTATGCGTGTGTGTGCATGTTTTACATGTAAAACCCACATCACCCACATTTGACAACTGTTTTGTTGGGTTTGTATGTTAGCTTGTTTTTTTAAAAAATCACTCTTTGGTGGTGAAGACCATAGTAGGTTAATGTTGCACAGGTGTGGAAATAGCTGTGTTATTGTGAATCTTTAGAGTTCGCTGTAGCCCTTGTTTTGACTTATGGCTGGCGTGTGTGTGTGTGTGTGTGTGTGTGTGTGTAAGGAGAGAGAGAGAGAGAGGCAGAGAGAGAGAGGATATGAATGGTCTGGAATAGAATATGGTTCCTAGCTTCTTGTATGATGTGTTTTCTCTTGGCCTGAGTTTCTAGTGAGATCAGCCAAAAGAGAAATCAGAATAAAATAGGATTCCCTGGTAGAAGGGAAAACAGCGTTCAGGGCATGTGATATTGTTTACGATTTAGTGCCCGGGTCCTAGGGTGGGATGGGATCTGAGTACATTTGTGGGTTCTCTGCGCCCGGCCATTCCTGGGCTCCATATGTAGATTTGTCAGTGGAAAGCTTCCTCGGGGCAGGAGACGAAGCTCTCTTGGGAAGCCCTCCTGATGGGAAGGGGCGTGGTCATGGGCAGGTACCCTTGCTGCAGGGCCTGCCACCCCACAGTGATGGAGCACGAGCCCTGTGCCTGCGTGGCTCACCCTGCTCACCACTGTCCGAGCCCACTGACCACTTTCAGTTCTTTCAACACACCGAGCCCTTCCCCACTCAGGGCCGACACACCCCCTTCTGCCTGGGTCTCCCATCCTCAGCTGGCTGGCTCCTCTCATCCCTTAGCCCTTGGCCCAAGCACCAGGCCTGCACTGACCCCCGGCCGGTCCCTGCTGTTTTCATGATGGCACCTCCTCCTTCTCCTCCGCAGCACTCCCTGCCATCGATCCTGTCGTGCTTGTTGTCTTCCCGGTGTATTATCTGTCTCCTCAGCTAGCTCATGTGCCGTGTGGGGCCAGGGACTTGTATTCCCAGTGTAGCTGCTCAAGAAATACTTGTGGAATGAGGCTGGGCGCAGTGGCTCACACCTGTAATCCCAGCACTTTGGGAGGCCGAGGTGGGTGGATCACGAGGTCAGGAGATTGAGACCATCCTGACTAACACAATGAAACCCCGTCTCTACTAAAAATACAAAAAATCAGCCGGGCGTGGTGGCGGGAGCCTGTAGTCCCAGCTACTCGGGAGGCTGAGGCAGGAGAATGGTGTGAACCCGGGAGGCGGAGCTTGCAGTGAGTCGAGATCTCGCTACTGCACTCCAGCCTGGGTGACAGAGCGAGACTCCATCTCAAAAAAAAAAAAAAAAAAAAAAAAGAAATACTTCTGGAATGACTGGCCCTATTTGATCTTTATTTAAGTGTCATTTAATCTCATTTAATCCTGTAGCAATCCTAGAAGTAGTGACAATCTTAGCTGCATTTTGCAAGGGAAGAAACAGGTTTCTGGAGGGTGTGTCACTTGCTCAAGGCCACCCATGTAGAATGTGGCAGAGCCAACACTTGGACCCGTGTCTACCTGAGTGCAAAACCCAAGCTGCAAATGATACTCCTGTCTGTCTCTCAGGTTCCTATGCCAGCAACTTCCCGACCCCATTTGCTGCCATCCTCCCTCTGTAAGACATGGGGACACAGACAGTTCCTACAGAACAAACCGGAAGCCCGTCTGCTTATCCCCCAATCTTGCCAATGCAGCAGAGAAGCCAGAGATTCCCAGGCATCAGACCCACTGTAGCCAACACCCCCCACCCAATCCCCCGCATGGCTGGTGGAAGGGCAGCGTCCAGCTTGCTGGGCATGGTGCACACGGTTTGGGCTTCCTGGGGAGCAGGCCACAGGCAGGAGGGAACCAGCTGGGTCTTGCCCTGGAGACTCTTGTGGCCACCTGCTGTCCCCTTCCTCCTTGGGCAGACCAGGTGACCCTTGCCTGGTAGCCTGGGGTGGAGGGATCTCCTTATTTTGTGATTAATAAAGACTCAGATGGTCCTTGGGCAGTGCTGGCCCAGAGACCCTGTGTTCCCAGCTCGGGGGGCCTGCACATTTCCGGAGGCTGTCATTGTGTGAACACAGAGCCTCTTCGCCAATCGCTGAGCCCTTCCTGGGCCCTGTCAGTGCCTAAAACCCTCCCCAGTTGCAGCCGGCATGCCCCAGGTGGCAATCTCAGGGACCAGAGGCCACAGTCGGAGGGGGTCTCTCAGTCATCTCTTTCTGCTGCCCCGAAGCCCAGCTCCGTCATTCCTGTGCTTGCATGGAGCATCAGAGATGGAGAGTGAGTAGGTGGGGAGGGGGTAGGAGGGAAGGCATGTCGGGGAGCTCTGCTTGAAAAGTGGCTGCTGGGTCCCAGACACTTGTGTTAGAAGAAAAAAGACTCTGGAGACCAGAAATGGAGCAGGAGGGGTAAAAGTGTCAATGCCCAGCCGGGAACCCGACCCAACACAGTGTCTATTTAGACTCCAGGGGTGAGGTTCGGGAGAGGAGAAACCGGGTAAGTCTTTTCAAGCCAGAAGATGGGACTGTCCCCATCCCGTCTCTGAGTGGTGCCGGCTGGCAGGACCCAGATTTGTGTGTTGGCCGGGGTCTCCTGAGGATGTGGGGTGCCTGCCCTGGTTTTATGGGGTTCAGCTGTCTTGCGATGCCTCCAGTCAGGGCTGCAGGGCTGCACCTGTGTGAGCAGCTAGTGGACGGACCAGGGTTTATTGCTTTACACATTTTATCTCATTTCATCTTCTTTTTTTTTTTTTTTTTTTTTTGAGATGGAGTCCCGCCCTGTCGCCAGGCTGGAGTGCAGTGGCACAATCCCGGCTCACTGCAACCTCTGCCTCCCGGGTTCAAGCGATTCTCCTGCCTCAGCCTCCCGAGTAGCTGAGATTACAGGCATGCGCCACTACGCCCAGCTAATTTTTGTACTTTTAATAGAGACGGGGTTTCATCATGTTGGCCAGGATGGTCTTGATCTCTTGACCTTGTGATCCGCCCGCCTCGGCTCATTTCATCTTCTTATCTCCAAAGGGTGGACATCATCACTTCATCGACGGGAGACTCAGCGGGGCCAAGATGCTTGTGTGGAGGCACGGAGCTGGCTTGGACCCAGGTCCGTCACCTCCTAGACTCCTGACTCCCAGGCAGAATATTACCAACCAAACACGGATGCTGGCGACCCCCTTGGCCTTGCTTCAAGTTTCGACTCTAACACTTGTGGGTTCTGTGACTTATGAACTCTGAGAATCCATTTCCCTCTTTGCAAAATGACAGAAATAGTAGTTAACTCTTCACAAGGTTGTAGAGAGGATTAAATGAGATAATGTCTGTGAGGCTTCTGGAAGGGTGTTCAGCTGCTTAGGTTTGGAAATTAGTTTTCCATTGAAATTTTCTTTAAAGAGAGGGGAGAATCCAGATAAAATATAAGCATCATCACTTACTACATATGTGACACACATATGTAGTCATTATCTACATATATACATCTATGCATATATTCAGATATACACACACATCATCTATACACATACACACATCTATTCATATCTATTTATATATTCATATGTGCATATTCATATCCATCTCCACATATATACATATATTCATATCTAGGTATATATATACATATATTCATATCTATCTACAGATAAATACATATACTCATATATTCATATTTGTCTACACACATATACATATATTTATATCAGTTTACACACATATACATATATTCATATCTACACACACATATACAGATATTCATTTCTATGCATATACATTATATTTATATATCTCTAAACACACATTTGTACATCTATATTCATGTCTATCTATCTATACACAAACACGCACATGCACACACACAGTCCTTTTGTGTTTCTTTTCTTGGCTGGAAAGCTGGAGGTTTATTTTTTCTCCCTAGGAGTGGTGACACCACAATGACTTTTGAAGCTAAATTTTCCTTGAGAAAGCAACACGCTGGTGTGAACGGTGGCCTCTCTCCTCAACGGTTGGATCTCTGACATGTCAAACCTGCAGATTCGTGGGAGAATTGGGAGAACGATGAATCTGACCCGAACCCGTGAGGCTTAAAAATATGGTAATGCAATTAGCAGCTTTCGGCAGCCTAATGAAGCTTCTCTAAAATGCTGATAAAATACCACTAAAGGAAAATGCTGAAGAGCCTCTTCAAACTTCCCAAAATGTGAAGTGCGTCCTTACGGAGAAAATGGCAATCTAGTCGCCTTTCTCCGAGGTTCAAGATTAATTAGGGGCTTATTTAGTGCATGAATGAGGAAACAAATGAACTCTTGGATGGCAAAGCATTGAAACCAATTTTTTAATCTTTTTTTTTTTTTTTTTTTTTTTTTTTACAATTACATCCCTATCATAAAAGTCTTCATTAGACGTTGTCACCAGCACGCATTGTGTTAGGGAAGTGTTACCACTGGGCTTTTGACGAGACTGCATTTCTTTCCTTTTAAAGAGGACTCTCATCAAAAAGCCTTTTCTTTCCTCCTAAAGGTGAAGGGCTGTGGCTTGGAAGGGTAGTCCCGGCTCTAGGGGGAAAATCATCTCCCTACTTGCCCTATGCAACCCGAGGTTACCTGTGTTTTCTGTAGATACATGATCCCCTTTGAAACTAGCACAGGCCGACCAGGTGGTTGGAAGATTTCTCTGGCTCCTTGGATAGGTTATTTCTTTATTCACCATTTTTGTTTGTTTGTTTGTTTTTGTTTTTTTGAGACAGTGTCTCGTTCTGTTGCCCAGGCTGGAGTGTAGTGGCGCGATCTTGGCTCACTGCAACTTCTGCCTCCTGGGTTCAAGTGATTCTTGTGCCTCAACCTCCTGAGTAGCTGTGATTACAGGCGTGTGCCAGGACACCTGGCTAATTTTTGTATTTTTAGCAGAGACGGGGTTTCACCTTGTTGGCCAGGCTGGCCTCGAACTCCTGACCTCAGGTGATCCACCTGCTTCGGCCTCCCAAAGTGCTGGGATTACAGGCGTGAGGCACTGTGTTTATTCACCATTTATGATGAGAAGACAGGCATGGAGGAGGAGTAAGTGCTGCGTGCTCCCCGTCCCATGCCTGGCTATCTACCCCACACCTCCTCTCCTGCTTTCTCCCCCTCTTCACAAATGATCCTCTGGGTGGAAGCCAGTCCTGATTGCTGCCATCAACGGAACCATTCATTTCACCCAGCAGCTATTGGCTGGGCAGGAAGTAGTCCTATGCACTCCTAGGTGCTGGGATGCAGCAGTGAGTAAAATGTATATTCTCCTGGCTCGTGGGGCTCACAGTCTAGGGTTGATTGCCTTGATATTTGCAAATTACCTTGATCATTTCTGGCCCTGGTCTACCTATGCCAGGACTCCATAGCAACATCATCTTTATCTATTTGATGTGTCTATGTGGCTGGGCAACATCACAGAAGTTGGTGGGAATCTGAAATGTGAACACCGACGCTAAGCTGGCCTCGGGCAAGTCCTTCACTTGCCCTTGCCTCTCCGCCTGCATTCTGTGAATCCGGGACATGATCCTTCCCCAGGCAGGCTTCAGATGATGTTGCAGCCCCAACCTCGATGGCAGTTTTGTGAGAGCCTGAGCTGGGGAAGCCAGCCAAGTTGTGCTCAGAACCCTGAGCCATGAAACTGTGCAATAATAAATGTGTGTTGTCTTAAGCCACTACGTTTTGGCATAATTTGTTATGCAGCCCTAACTAATAAGCTAATTAACAAAACCATGCAGAGACCTATGTGGGAGCTTAGGTTGGTTGACTTACACAAGAGGCCATGCTACAATAGTAACGACAGGGTGAGAGGGTAGCCACCATTTACTGACAGCCTTCCATGCACTGGCTGTTGTTCCAGGTGTTGTCACAGCAAGGATGGCCTCAGCAGACAGTGATGAAGATGCAGGGTCTGGAGTCAGAACATCTGGGTGTGAATCCAGCTTGACTGCTTCTTAGTTGCATGGTGCTGGATGTGTTATCTCACCTCCATGAGCCTGAGTTTTCTCATATATAAAATGGAGGTAGAGATAGTGTATTCGTTCATTTTCACACTGCTAGAAAGAAATACTCAAGACTGGGTAATTTATAAAGGAAAGAGGTTTAATGGACTCACAGTTCCACACGGTTTGGGAGGCCTCAGGAAACTTACAGTCATGGCGGAAGGTGAAAGGGAAGCAAGCACCTTCATCACATGGTGGCAGGAGTGACAAGAACAAAGGAAGAACTTCTAAACACTTACAAAGCCATCAGATCTCATGAGAACTCACTTATTATCATAAGAACAGCATGGGGGAAACTGCCCCCATGATCCAATCACCTCCCTCCCTCCATATGGGGGATTACAGGTCCCTCCCTGGACATGTGGGGATTACAATTCGAGATGAGATTTGGGTGGGTACACAGAGCCAAACCATATCAGATAGTATCTCCCCTTTCCTCACAGAATAAATAAATGAAATATTGTATGTGAGTATTTAACCAAATGCTTGTTCTGTAGAAATTTCTCAATAAAGCACAATATTAGTTAGATAACTAGGAGTGTTACCTACATAATAAAGCTGTAAGGGATGATTTTAATCAGAGGACCAGCTGGATAAAACCCCACTTCTCCATCACTAACAGGTATGTGCCCCCCAGCCCACTCCTGCACCCAGGATGTTTATAATGGCAGCAATTGTGGTGTTCCCTCAACCAACATGTAGAGTTGGTGTGATTTCCAAGAGCTGCCCAGGTGGAGTGTGCACTTGGGACATGGTGACTGTAGCTCAAACTTCCTCTGTTGGTTCTTCATCCCACTCATACAGCTCAGAGCTGGCCAGGGCTGGAAAGCCCCACAAGGCAGGCCAAGGACATGCGTCTGGGGTTGTGCACCCAGCGGGCTGGCTGGCAGCTGCTGGTCCAGTAGATCACAGCAAAGCCAGCTGTGGACACACAGGAGGGTGGCAGGGAAAGTGTGTAATCCAGGCAGCATCCAGATGGCTCCCATCCTGGCATCTGGGGCAGAGAAGACTCTTGTTTCCATGTTTTGTTTCTAGAGAGTTATTTGTGGTCTCTAAAGCAAACCTTATTGCATGCCTGTTAATCAGCTCTAAAAAGTACACTTAGGAATGCAATACCATAAACTTGGGGGCTTAAATAACAGAAATTTATTTTCTTGCAGTTCTGGAGGGTGGAAGGCCGAGATCAGTGAGCAGCATGGTTGATTCTGATGAGGGCTCTCTTCCTGGCTTGCAGACGGCCGCCTTCTTGCTGTGTGCTCACATGGCAGAGAGGGAATGATCCTTCTGGTATCTCCTCATTAAGGCACTAATCCCATCAGGGGGTCCCACCCTCATTACCTCATCTAATGTTAATCACGTCCCCAAAAGCCCCATCTCCAAATACCACCACGTTGTTAGGTTTGGGGGTTAGGGCTTTAACATATGAATTTGGAGGGGACACAATTCAGTCTATAGCACTCTGCTGCCACCAACATTACCCAGAGGGCCTGCCTAATGATCAGGGGAGATGCCAGCACCCTCTCAGTATGGGGGAGTACCTTCAGTGTCAGGATTTGGCTTTCCATTTAGTTTGGTGAATTATCTTGTTCTTTCTCAGGGCTTTGTTGTACCCTGGGTCATGTTCACCATGGAGGAGCAATGGGGAGCCTCAGTTTTGAAATTAATTGCAGAAGGCACAGAGCCAGTGTGGGCATGGATGGGAAGGGAAAAGGGGATGTGCCAGAGAGAATTTCCCCTGCCAGCTATCCCTGAACCCTGGGGCCAGCACAGAGCCTAGCGTGCAGCTGAAGCTCAGCACGTGCCCATGGTCCGAAGAAGCACATCATATTCTCGTATACAGCTCTGTGGGCATAAAGAGTGTTCATATCCACGACCGGAGGATGATTTATGAAACAGCTCACTCTGCCAGGCGTGGTGGCTCACGCCTGTAATCCCAGCACTTTGGGAGGCTGAGGCGGGCAGATCATGAGGTCAGGAGATTGAGAGCATCCTGGCTAACATGGTGAAACCCCGTCTCTAATAAAAATACAAAAAAATTAGCCAGGCGTGACGGCGTGTGCCTGTAGTCCCAGCTGCTGGGGAGACTGAGGCAGGAGAATGGCGTGAACGTGGGAGGTGGAGCTTGCAGTGAGCCGAGATTGCACCACTGCACTCCAGCCTGGGTGACAGAGCAAGACTCCATCTCAAAAAAAAAAAAAAAAAAAAGAAATAGCTCACTCTTCCTCTGGAGAGTGGGGCAGAGGACAGGACCAACAGGGCTTCGTTCAGGCTGCACAGGGCAAGAAGGTGCCTGCCTTTGATGGCACCTCCCACCCCAGGCACTAGCCCAGTAGCATAGGGTTCAGAAGGCCATGCCCTGACTGAGATATAAAGGGGGACGCCACCTGTGCTTCCACCTTTTCACCTCCACCCCGAATGTTCTTCTCATCTCAGATGCGGAGGTATTGGAGGGGCAAGGGAGAGTAGAGAAAAGCCAGAGGCCTTGACCAGGTATCTGGGCCTGCTGAGGGCCGCAGCCCTGCAGAGAAATCTTGGGCCCTCATGAGGTCCGTGGGCATGGCGGCTAGACCTCAGGCAGGGCTGGAGGGTGGGGCTGGGGGGTGTTTGTCTTTGGGCCCCACCCTTACTCCTTCGACCCTTTTTGAAGTTTTCTTGCACTGTCTGCTTTTCCTTTGCCTCCAGAGCCCCTTCCCTTCTCAGCTCTCACCTTCCTAGTCCTCTAATTGGCTGCTCCAAGGCCAGCCCCTCTGCTGTTGGCCTCTTTGTCACCATGGTTATGAATTTTGGCTCCTTCTCTAGTTCAGAGCCCTGCAGCTCTTACACGCCGCAGGGAGCACTTTCTAAGAAGGTTCTAAGTGCTCCCAGCCTGGGAACAGGTGCCAGATGGGGGCTGAGAGGGAGCCCTGAGCTCTTGAACTCCTGGGCACACTGAAGTGTGTTTTCGGAGGCACGATCCTGGCTGAGCAGGCAGGGCGCACTCCCCCGCTCGGCTTTCTTCCTTCATCTGGAAAGCAGCCCAAGATGGCTCTAAGCTTGAAAATCCTGGTGGAGAATCCCACTCTCAGTGGTTCCAAAGTTTAACAACTACCTCTTGCAGCCCAATAGGTGAGGGATGTGTGTGGCATCTGCATTCCCGAAGTCGCTGAGCATTCAACCTGGAGGTGCCCTGGGTTGGGGCATTCCCTTGGGGCTTTGAGGTGCATGTCTTGGGGCACCTCTCTGGAGCCAAAAAGGAAGGCTGCAAAGAAGGAAGTGGCAACCACTGAGCCCCAGGAAACTCGGCACTGGGTCGGGTATGCCGAGGGATTGTCAGGTCTGCAGGGGGGTCGGCAACCATCCTGCCCCTGCCATCTACAAAACTCTGCTTGCCTTCCCCAATCGCCCCATCACCCCATCGTCAGAGCTCCCTGTCCTTGATATGCACGAGGCTGGAAGGAGACAGCGGCCTTCAGAGCACTAGGAGGGCTCAGCCACCAGATGACAACTTGAGATTCAGAAAGGGAAGCTTGGATTTGCATATCACTTTGCATCTCATTTGCATGGACTCACAGCCTGGCAGAACCTGCATCTCTCTCTAGCATCCCCTAGGCGCCTGGGGCTCCTGGTGCTTTCTTGGTTGCAGAAGCTTGGCTCTGTGCTGGGCGAGGAGGGAGACAGGACTCATGCCCGGGGCTGGGGTGGCACACTGGCTTCTCTGGAAGCGTGGGATCTCCAGAGGTCCAACTTTCCCTGGAAAACCCATCAGTGGGCAGGGAGAGTCTTCCTTGGGAGTAATTTTCTCTGTTATGCCAAGAGCTCACTGTGATTTCAAAGTGCCCGTGTGGCTTCATTTGGGTCACTTGGTTCTCTGTGGCTGCCAGTAGCACAGTGATCCCTGAGTGCGGTCCGGGGGCTCTAGAAGGGGGAGAATGCATCATTGTGTGTTTGAATGAACCACAAAACTTCTTTCATCAAGCTCACTTCAAGTGACCAGAGGCTTGGCTGGCCCCTTCCTGTCCTGAACTGGCCGGCTGCAGAGTCCCCTTCCCTATGGCAGGCCAGGTCAATCTCAGGTGCTAGGGCTTCCAGTGAGCCCCCGAAGGACCTACCCTGGCCCTTCTGATGAAGGTAATTCATCTCTTTACCAAGGAGGGGTTGGGGTGTAACTGAGAGAGGATTTGGGGTGTGCAGGATTGCAGGTGTGGCTTGACTCTGCCACTCCTGGGGCTCTCCTTCAGAAAGCAGACAATGACCATGGAGGTAATAGCCACAAGCTTTCCTCTCCTCTTTCCTCCTTTGAAAATGGGCAATAATTGGCCAGGCTCACTGGCTTTTACATCCAGCACACAGGAATCCAGACTTGGGAGCTTCTTGGAGGCAGCCGGGCCTGTGTCAGGTGCCTGAGATCCAATTCCAGCTCTGACACTTATAGCTGTGTGACCCTGGGCAAGTTCCAAACCTCTCTGAGCCTTAGCTTCCTGCTGCGTCTTAACCACAATGCTGTCTTGGAATTGGCGATCATTGGCAAATCTGAGGTGCAGGGCTCAGCGGCATCTGTCCTTTGTGAAGGGGATTCTTAGTGCAGACATCTCCCTACTCCCCTGCATCACCCTCTGCCCAGTTTTGGCGGCTTTGCTTTTAGGGCAAGAATCAAGCCTCACTCCCCAGGATCTAGCAGAGGTGGGTCCTGGATCAGTCAGTAGCAGCATCATTCTGCCCCTGCTCTGACAAAGGGAGGCCAGCCTGGGGCCTCAGGGATGCCAGGCATAGGATCCTCTCCTGGAAAGAGCAGGAAGCTGTGTTTGCCACCGAGGTACTGACAATTTCAGAGAAACCCGTGACACCCAGCCTCCTCCTCAGGCTCAGAAAAAGGGAAGGGGGGTGGTGGGGGGAGGGGAGCGGAGGCGAAAGAGAGACTGGGATCTGAGAAATACTAAGCAATAAAGGGCTTTAAAATAGATTTACTTTAATTATATACTTCGGTAACTTGCTGTAGTTTCCCATCCCATTATTAAATTACAACAGTAACTCATCTAATGGATTTTCGCGGAGAAAACATTCATTTTATTTTATTGTGTTTTTGTGCTATAGTCTATAATGAAGGCAACCAAGTCGCCCTTGTACCCGGAATGGGCCAGGGTGTGGGGAGGGGTCTGAGGAGCAAGGCGGGAGTCAGGATGCCGCCCGATAATTCCCGGAGCTGCCAGGGGCTCTCAGCCGTGAGGACCTGAAGGTGGAGGACCAGGGAGGGAGGAGATGTCTCAGCGAGAAGGAGAGGCCGAGGTAGGGTCTCATGGGGTGAGAGGGGTACAGACAGGGTCTACTGGGGACAGATAAGCCGCCCTCTACCTGTAGACAAGACAGACAGATCCGGGCCATGACATCCCCCCGGGTCTGAGCAGGTCCTGGGAGCAGGGGGGAGCTGGAGCGGTTCTTTTGAGCTTCTGCTTGGCTGCTCTTCGGAGATGAGATGGGAAACATTAGAGGTGAAGAGGCAGCAGGAGTTGTCTGGGCACGCGGTGGCTCACGCCTGTAATCCCAGCACTTTGGGAGGCCGAGACGGGTGGATCACATGAGGTCAGGAGTTCCAGACCAGCCTGGTCAACATGGCGAAACGCTGGCTGTACTGAAAATAGAAAAAATTAGCCAGGTGTGGTGGCAGGCACCTGTAATCCCGGCTACTAGGGAGGCTGAGGCAGGAGAATCACTTGAACCCAGGAGGTGGAGGCTGCAGTGAGTTGAGATTGTGCCATTGCACTCCAGCCTGGGCAACAAGAGCGAAACTCCATCTCAAAAAAAAAAAAAAAAAAAGAGGCAGCGAGAGCATCAGAAGATGGCCCTGAACAGTTTTCATTTTCTTTTTTCTTTTTTTTTTTTTTGAGACAGGGTCTCACTCCATCGCCCAGGCTGGAGTGCAGTGGTGCAATCTTGGCTCACTGCAATCTCCACCTCCCAGGTTCAAGCAATTCTCCTGCCTCAGTTTCCTGAGTAGCTGGGATCACAGGTGCGTGCCACCACGCCCAGCTTATTTTTAGGTTGTGGGCTTGGTGGAATGATTCCTGTTTCTTCATCTATTTTTTTCCACAGCTCTTTTAAGCTGGAGTCATCGGCCACCTCTAAACCTCCAAATGTCACTTTGCCAGAGGATCAGACAAATATATAGAGAAAAAGAATGTACTGGGGTAGTCCCTACAGCCCTCTGTGGCGGGGACTGAAGTTGTCACTGGTAATAATAATAATAATAATAATAATAATAATAATAATAATAATAAGTTTTAAAAAGTGTGTTTTGAGCATTTAGGGTTTGCTTGGCCTTGTGCTAAGCATCTTTTAAGTATATTGTTTAAAAAGTTATCATAGGACCGGGCGCACAGGCTCAGGCCTGTATTCCCAGCACTTTGGGAGGCCGAGGTGGGCGGATCACTTGAGGCAAGGAGTTCAAGACCAGCCTGGCCAACACGGCAAAACCCAATCTCTATTAAAAATACAAAAATTAGCCAGGTGTGGTGGTGCGTGCCTGTAATGCCAGATACTCAGTACGCTGAGGCAGGAGGATCGCTTGAACCTGGGAGGCGGAGGTTGCAGTGAGCCGAGATGGCGACACTGCACTCCAGCCTGGGTGACAGAGCAAGACTCCATCTCAAAAAAAAAAAAAAAAGTTATCACACCAAAGATCAAAACAATTGAACTCATGGACCTAGAGAGTGAAAGGATGGTTACCAGAGACTAGGAAGGGTAGTTGGAAGCTGGAGGGGCGGTGGGGATGGTTAAAGGGTACAAAACATAGTTAAAAAAAGAATAAGATCTACTATTTGATAGCACAATATGGTGACTATAGTCAATAATAACTTAATTGTACATTTTAAAATAACTTAAAGAGTGTCATTGGATTGTTTGTAACTCAAAGGATAAATGCTTGAGGGGATGGATACCCCACTCTCCATGATGAGCTTATTTCACATTGCATGCCTGTATCAAACATCTCATGTACCCCAGAAATAAATATATATATATATATATATATATATATATATATTTGTACACCTACCGTGTACCCACAGAAATTTTAAAAATTTAAAAACAGTACAAAAAATAAAATTATCACATCAATCTTATGAGGTAGCTATTAATAATTGTTATTTGTCATTTACATACGAGGAAACTGAGGCTCAGGTTCGCTTATAAGATGGACCCCTACTAAGTGCCTGATGGAGATCTTGAACCCAGACAACACGACCTGAAGCTCACGCCAGTCCCCATGGGTTCTCTCTTTTTGTTTTTTGAGACAGTGTCTCACTCTGTCGCCCAGGCTGGAGTGCAGTGGCATAATCATGGCTCACTGTAGCCTTGACTTCCCGGGCTCAGGTGATCCTCCCACCTCAGCGTCCCCAGCTAATTTTTGTATTTTTAGTAGAGACAGACTTTTGCCTTGTTGCCCAGGCTGGTTTCAAATTCCTGGGCTCAAGCGATCCTCCTGCCTCAGCCTCCCAAAGTGCTGGGATTACAGGCGTGAGCTACCATGCCCAGTCCGCATGGGTTCTCAGAGGTTAGTGGGCAGGCCCACCTGGGCAGACCCCATTCCCGGAGTTTAGGGGGGACAGGGGCAGGGGTGCCCGGGAAGGGCCCTTTATGAAGCATCTCAGATAAGAAGCTGTGCTGAGCTGCAGGCCTCAGAGACCTGAGCTGCAGTGGAGGTAGCTGAGCTCCAGGGTTGCTCCCCAGAGAGGCTTGCGGAGGCCCCGTCCTGCTCTTCCTCCCTCCTGCTCCTGGCGCAGCGCTGCTCCCTGGAATGGAAGTCACCTGGCTCCTGCTCTCCCTGTCTGGCCTTCTGTTGGCCCTGCCTGACCCTGAGTCCTCAGGGATGGAGCCTGGCCCGTTGGGGCTGATGGGTGGGCCTGGAAGCTCAGTGCCTGGCTGAGGCCCCATTGCCAGGGCCCTGCCCTGGTTCTGCTTGTTGTTCTATTGCTCTTGCCTGCCCACTCCTGCGTGTGTCCTTTCTGGCCCTGCCCACACCTGCAGCTCACACGAAGGGCCTCAGGGGCTGCTATCCCTGTCCTATCCCACACTGTGCTTCCTTGCAACCCCAGGCCCAGCCCTTTTGCCTTGTCCCCAGCAACTCCTCAGGCTTCTACCTGGCGTTGCTCTCGGGATTCAAGGTGACCAGCTTGCTACTTGAGGCCACGTATGGTAAGACCCCTTCAGCACCCTCTGGCTCAGGGCTGTCCCCGGAGGGGCTCACACCTGCCTCACCCCAGCCACAAGGGCCACTGTGTACTGCATACTCCAAGCCCACTCTGTGCCCAGGTCACTTCCTCCATCTCACCTGTGGGGCGAGTCTCCACCTGGTCCTAGTTCAGGCCTCCTCCATCCTCCACCCTGAGACTCCTCATGCTCCCAGCCTTTAACCCCCTGAGGCCTGACGAGGAGGAGGAGAGAGGGGAAAATGCCTGCTCACCTGCACATTGTCACGGGAACAAACCATCCCCACAGGGACTGGCATTTGTAAGCCATTGTCATACATGCTTGGCACGTTAGAAATCCAGAGGGCAGAATGCCTCCCTCTCTCCACTACAAATAAAGGTAGCCAGGCAGGTCAGAGTTAATGAACAACATACCATGATGTCTTCTTTAACAAATCCCTGGCAACTAAGCTTCCTCACCACAAACAAATGAACAAGTGCCATTCAGCAGCCACTCCAAGCTGGTGTTAGGTCAGTGCCCGGCCAGAGGTTCACGATATCTATGGAAAGCAGGTTGCAATGGCTCGGGCGGGAGAGTGTAATTGATGGACAAACTCAAGCACTCAAAGGCCACCCATTTGCTTCCCACCTCAAACCTCTTAGCCAGTGATACAGAGAGAAGAAGAGGAGGAAGAGGTGAGTTCTGTCTGTTACCTCTGATTTCCCTCTCTGAGAGCCGAGGTTTCTTCATCTGCTGCCCCGGAAACTCAGCCGGCCCCTTTTGCTGGGGCAGGCCATGCACGGTGGGTAAGAAAGCCATCTGTGTGCACTCTGTGGCTTCCAGCGTCTCTGGGGTGATGCAGGTGTGTCTCTGAGATATTCTGAGCATCGGTGTCTGGGTGCCCTTACTCCGCATCCTGGGACACTGGCTTTTGCATCTTCGGTGTCACTTAAGCTGTGGTGCATTCTTTTGCGCCAGGCCATCCCATGTCTGACGTGACAGTGTTTCTTTAGGACAAACCCCCTCTATCCTACGGTGGCGTCCCGGGTGTGCGGTGTCCTGGTTTAGGGGTTTAGGAACCTCAAGAACATGGGAGACAGAATCTCGAACGGCTCCCCGGGAAGCCTCGATCTCTGTGGTCCTCCATAGTGGGCATTTGGAGGGAGTGAGCCTTGGTTGTGAGATTGGAATGAGTTTGGGTTTCCAGCTGATGGGGAGCTTTTATTTCTGATCTGGTTTACTGCCCATTGGTTTCTAAATTACAGCTTTACCGTCACCCTCTGTGTGTTGCGGGTTTGGTTTCC
Source organism: Homo sapiens (assembly GCF_000001405.40). NCBI lineage: Eukaryota > Metazoa > Chordata > Mammalia > Primates > Hominidae > Homo > Homo sapiens. The sequence continues at coordinate 77,893,070 of NC_000017.11, read as the reverse complement.
CAGGCAGCAGGCTGAGTCTGCAGGATGGTTATTGAGGAACAATGGAGGCGGACGCTGGAGCGGCTGCGGGAGAGCCTGGCCAGGGCAGCCCTCAGAGCTGTCCTGAGTGGGCTGAGGCAGCCAGCCCTGCTCTCCAGCACAGGCCTTTGGCTGTGGCCCCTCAGGGGAGGGCGTCGCCGTGGGCAGGTCTCTGTAGCTGAGGGGTCCTGGGGCGAGCTGCCAGCAGCAGGTAACGCATCCACCATGAGAGCCCTGCGTCCACTGCGTGGTCTTGGTGCTCGGGGCTGGCCTCACTGACGCTCCAGGGTGGCTGAGACCTGAGCCTTGGCCTCCACGTCCTCACCGCCCAGGTCCTAGCCAGTACATTCAAGTTCCCTCTGTCTGTTCAGAGAACTCTTACTCATACTGTAAGACCGAGGTCAAATGTCACCTTTGCTGAGCTGCCCGTCTCTGACAGCCACCTCTCCAGCACTGGAGCTCCGTTCCCCTCTCAGGGCTCCACAGCGCCTCCTTCCTACCCATCCTGGAATTTACATTCATCCTATGGAAATAGTGTCTCGCAAGCCTGCTCCCCACCCTGCACCCACCAGGAGTCCCCTGGGGTCAGACACTGTCTTTTCTTTCTCCTTTCATCGTTGGTTCCCAGGTTCCATGCCTGGAACCTGGAAGCGGCTCCTGATTTTGCTGAATGAATGTGGGAGGGAGAAAAAGGGAAGGGGTGGCGGAGGCCCCCCTCCAGCCAAGCAGACCCCCAGGTGTCAGGCCCCAGGCAGAGCCCCTTCCCCCAGCCTGGGACCCTCACTGCTTCTTGCTCCTGTGGACAGGAAAGGCCCCATCCTCAGGGGCCACAGTGGCAGAGGCCCCTGGGGAAGCGATGACAGACAGGCGCAGCCACTCCTGCTGACATCTCTCCTAGACCCTCGTCCTCCTTGGAGAACCTCCCCTGGATTCTCAGTAGCCGGAGCTCTGTCAGCTTGACGGGTGGAGTGAGGGTCACCAAGAGCCCTTCCTTCTTGTTTTAAACTCCCTCCTCTTCCTTGACCAGGAGAGTCTGAGAGCAGAGGAGGGAGGGGGGCTTACCCCAGGGGTGAGGATGTTGAGCTTTCCCTCCCTGGGGCTGCCACCCGACCCTTTAAAGGTTAAATGTGTTTATGCAGCATCTTCAGGAGGCTGCTGGGTCTGACAAAACGGAGAGAAGAGTGATTAATGGCTGGTGTCCTTGCTGCCGCCACCACAGGGAAGGAGGCTTCCATGGCTGCCCAGGAGCCACTCCTGTGACTCCAGGCTTCAGCCTTTCAGCAGGCTTCGGGACGAGTACTTCTGGACCAAGAGGAGGCTGCGATTCTGGAATGGGGCCTGGAGGGAGGCTGGGGCGCTGCTCTCTTGGGAAAATGAGAGTTTGCTCCAGGCCAGAGCGGATCCTGTGGGATTGCAGGCAGAAGGGAACAGAAGTTTCTGAACCACTGAGGCTTGTTGTAGAAATTCATGACTTTTACATTGTGCCCTGTAATATGGTCCTATGTGTCTTAGTAGAACAATTATGCTTTAGGTTGTGCAACAATCAAATTACTTAAGTTAACACCGGCCAGGCGCAGTGGCTCATCTCTAAAATCCCAGCATTTTGGGAGGCCAGGCCAGGAGGAACACTTGAGCCCAGGAGTTGGAGACCAGCCTGAGCAACATAAGGAGACTCCATCTCTACAAAATATTTTAAAGTTATCTGAGTGTGGTGGCACCCAAGACTTGGGAGGCTGAGGTGGGAGGATCGCTTGAGCCCAGGGTTTAGAGGCTATAGTGCATCATTGCACTGCAGCCCCGGGAGACAGAGCAAGACCCTGTCTCAAAACAACAATGACAACAACAACATTTACTCCTCCCATCCCAATCTACTTAAGTAAAATGATTACTCCAGCAAGCTGTGCTGATGAGTGTGTCCTGAGCCCCTCACCCAGAGCTCCTGAGGACCCCAGTTGGAGAAACCTGGGCTTACAGGCATCCCTGGGAGGTGGCAGGGGAGGAGGTGGGGATGGGGAGCTGGGGGGAAGCCAGCATGGCCTCAGGTTTCTGCCACTGCCCCAAGGCCTGGACCTCTGTTGGAGGTGTGCTGGGCTTGCATCTTCAAGTAAGGGCTCCGTTTTGCAGCATGGCATCGGGCACAGCCTGGGTGCTCAGAGTGGGCTTTTTGAGTGAATGACGAATGCATGAAAGGTGACTCTCAGAGCAGAGTTCAGAGGAAGCCAGGTGTCAGGGGGATGACCAGACCCTTGCCCAGGAGGGAGGAGTCTCAACTGTGGGGGGTGGGTGGGGGAGAGTGGATGGGAGGGTGGGGGGCACGCAGCCCTGACACCTGGCACTCCAGCCAGCCTTGGGCCTCTGCTGCCCTGTTTGGGGTCTTTGATACAAGCATTCCTGCAAGAGCTCCTTGCACGCCGACACCTTCCCATCGGGAGAGGCTGGAAGCATGGTGGTTGCCTGCCGTGTCCCAGCTGTTGTGGGTGCTTCTTCACGGCCAGTTCCTCTGACCTGGAATGGCCAGACTCGTCTTGAAGGGTGAGAAGTCATATCTCCGAATGCCCAGCAGGGTGCCTGGCAAGGGCTGCTGCTCTCTTATTATTATCATTAACGTTGGGAGATCGGCATTGAACTCACCTCTTGAGAGTTGAGGAGCCCCTGGTGGGGGACACTAAGCACCTGCCCCCACCGAGGGGACAAGCTGGGGTTGGCACAGAGCTCTCTCCCGCTCCAAGTCCTGCCTTCCCCGCCGGGCCACAGCTGCTCCAATCACGATGCTTCCCAAAGGACTTTCTGCAAGTGACCCTGGCCTCATCTCTTTCTGAGGACTGTAGACACCTCAGGGAGAGGGACACTGTGTCGGTTTCCTGTGGCTGCTGTAACAAATTCGCACAGACTGAGAGCCTTCGAACAGCAGGCATGGATCCTCTCACGGCTCTGGAGGCCAGAAGCCCAGGATCAAGGTGTCAGCGAGGTGGGTTCCTTCTGACGGCTCCAGGGAAGAAGCCACCCTGTGCCTCTCTTCTTGCTTCCGGCGCTTGCCTGCAGGCCTCAGCGTTCCTTGGCTTGTAGACTCCAGTCTCTGCCTTGGTGGTCTCATGCGTGTGTCTCTGTGTCCAAATTTCCCTTTCTGGCCAGACGTGGCGACTCACTCCTGTAATCCCAGCACTTTGGGAGGCTGAGGAGGGCGGATCACCTGAGGTCAGGAGTTGGAGACCAGCCTGGCCAACATGGTGAAACCCCATCTCTACTAAAAATACAAAAATTAGCTGGGCGTGGTGGCAGGTGCCTGTAATCCCAGCTACTCGGGAGGCTGAGGCATGAGAATCACTTGAACCGGAAAGATGGAGATTTCAGTGAGCTGAGATTGAGTCACTGCACTCCAGCCTGGGCAACAGAGCGAGACACTGTCTCAAAAATAAAAAATAAAAAAAAATTCTCTTTATTTTAAGGATGCCAGCCTTTGGACTGAAGTCCCACCCTATGACCTCGCCTTAATTTGATTACGTCTGCAAAGATGCTATTCCAGAATAAGGTCACATTTACAGTTGCTGGGGGTATGATCGCTTGGAGAACACAGTTCAAACCCCTGCAGACACAAATTCATGCCTGCCCACCAGCTCGAGCCCCAGACACTGCTTTCAGGGGAGCCCATGCCAAGGCAGCAGGTGGGTGTCTGTCTGTCTGGAGGATCTGTGGGGAGAGTAGGTTACTTTGGGGTTTGTATAGGGAGGCAGGACGGTGGCTGTGCAGAGGGAGAGAAGGGAGATGCAAAAAGACCCCAGGGAAATGAGGAACAAATGGGGACGGGACACAGGCCTCTGGAGGGAGGTGGGATCCTTAAGTCTCAGGGGTTGGGGAAAGAAAGCTGAAGGCATTTTGAGGGAAGCAGTGCATAGCCCAGTGATCTGGCAGTGGTGAGGGTTCTAGGGGGAAGAAGAGCAGGCTGTGGGGTCTGATTCCTCCATGCGCTATCCCCCAGTAGGCGAGTGGCCTGATCCTTTTTGACCTCTGCTTTCCCTTCCCTTCCCCTTTCTTCCCTTCCTCTTCACTTTCCCCTTCCTCTTCCCTTTCTTTCTTTCTTTCTTCTTTTTCTTTTTTTTTCTTTCTTTCTCTCTCTCTCTCTTTCTTCTCTCTCTCTCTCTTTCTTGCTTCTTTCTTTCTCTCAGAGTCTTGCTCTGTCACCCAGGCTGGAGTGCAGTGGTGCCATCTCGGCTCACTGCAACCTCCCCCTCTCGGGTTCAAGCAATTCTCCTGCCTCAGCCTCCTGAGTAGCTGGGATTACAGGTGCATGCCACCATACCCAACCTTTTTTTTTTTTTTTTTTTTTTTTTTTTTTTTAGTAGATATGGGGTTTCATCATGTTGACCAGGCTGGTCTCAAATTCCTGATTTCAGGTGATCCTCCTGCCCCGGCCCCCCAAAGTGTTGGGATTACAGGCATGAGCCGTCGTGCCTGGCCTTGATCCCTGTTTTCTGATTGCCCTAATTGGGAGAATAACTCCTCCCCTATGAGACAACAGATGAGAAAGTGCTTGGAAAGTAAAAGCAATGTTCACCATTAAAGATTGTAACATGTGGAGTGCTGCATGACTGAATTGTCAAACATGAATAACTCAGCTCTTTTCAGATTCACAATCATGATCAATGCCTCCGGGACTATGAAAACGCCATCATGAATGTTTACATTATTCTCTTGGGTGAGCGGAGCTTTGGAAAGGAAAAAAAGGAAAGTCTAAACTGACAAACTTCTGAAAACACTCGGGTCTGGCAGGAGTTCTCTTCTCTCCCCGAGAGCAGAATTGGGGTTGAGCGGCACTTGGTAGGCGTGGAGCGCGCTTCAGTCTCGGGCCACTACCCCAGGCGTTTTCTCATCTGACACTCACAGCAGCCCTCGGGTAGGCAGACACGGTGTATTTACGCCTTTCATTCGAGTCCCTTTGGGGGAGCAGGAGGGAGGGAGGGTGTGAGTGTGTGCGCGCACCCGTGCATGGGGGAGGCGGGGCCTTTCGATTCCGATGCCAGTTACGCAGACACCCTCACATCCTCGGATATACCGCCACCGAGCCTGAAGTGCTGACAATATCCCCATTTTTCTCTGTCCTGACAGCTTTTGAGATGCCAGGCCAGCCTCCCTTCCTAATCGGTCATTTTCTGAGGAGGGGCAGCTCGGGCGGTTGTTAGAGCAGAACGCACGGCTTCAATCCCTCTGTGTGGTGGACCTTGTTGCGCAAGGGTCCCTGTGTCCGGCACGTCATCGCCCTCTGTGAGAATGAGCTCTCCTTCCGGTCACTGCGCGGTGATCGCAGCAGAGGGGACGTGGCATTAACAGCACGCGGTTGCTCCACTCACCCCTGGCTTTGTAGCCTACAGCAGCTTGAAACACATGACGCTGTAACAACCTCTACCACGCCACGGAGGCATTCTTTTTTATTGTTTCCATTTTCTAGTTTGTGGCAGATTGGATTCCTGTTTCTAATTCTTCCCTCCCTCCCTGGTGTAGAATTTCACATTTGCCTCTTTCGCCAGGTGGCTTTGCAGTGCGTTCCCGCCCTCCCCCGCCAAGAGTGGGTGCAGAATTTTTCCCTGCTCCGCGTCAATGCTGGGTGTGGCCATGAGCCCTGAAATTACACATGGAGCCCAGCCTCTGCTGATCTGTACCCATTAAGAAGAAAAAATGTTGATCTTTGTTGCTGTAGGTCATTGAGATTTCTGGGGTTGTCTGTTATGTAGCATTATTCTAGCGACTAGTTCCCAGGTCATTCATTCACTCAACAAACACTGTGTGGCTGCCTTGGGTTAGGAATGCTGCTAGGAGCTGGAGATAAAAAGACAGGACTTAGTCCCTAGCCTCGGGGGTCTTACTGTATAATAGAGTTGTGGCTGTCAGGCTGTGAGGAGACAAGACAAAGCCAGTTCCCTGTCGCACAGGGGTTTTCAGAGTTCGGGGTGGAGAGGGTGGAAATGGGAGCCCCAACAGGCAGGGTGTCAGGTAGGGCAGCCCACGTCCCACCCAGAACGACATGCCTCCTTTTTAATCTGTGTCATATTTTGGGGTCTTGAGTAAGGTGCTATTTCCCAGAAGGATCCTAATGCCAAAACAGTTTGCAAAGCTCTGTGGGAGGAAGCTGCAGGTCACAGGAGGGGAAACTTAGATCACACAGACTCAATAAGGAAGACCGGGGCTGCTCCCAAACCTCAGGCATGATCCACTGGGATCCATCAGCAATGTCTTTTTCCTCTTTATTATTTCTTCCAAATACCAGCCCTGGGAGACACGTTAGAACCCATCTAGCTACACATAACAGCTCTCCACATCTCTGTGGGAATATAGACAGGCCCGAGGCAGGGGGCTGGCTCAGGGTTCCACAGTGGCAGAGGAAGAGCCTCCACAGATCCCGCCTTGCCCTCTGTCGCCAGCTTCTCCTCTCTGCCTCCATGATCTGGAACCTTCAGCTGGTCAACTGAGCCACGCCCGGTGCTGTGGTGCTTCCCCAAGCTGCACACGCCGATGGCAGTGAGGAATGACTGCGCCCATTGCATCACCTCCTCGCTGTCAGTGAGCCAGTGAGCACCTGCGGCTGCTTCGAGGGGAACTACAATAAAACTTCCAAGACAGTCCACTTTTTAGGAGGTATAAGCAAAGAGCAAACACAACCTGTCAATCGTGCCGAATGCTGCTGATGCTGTTCTCTCATCCTAAAACAGACGATGAAAATGCTAAGCTCTGTAAAGAAGGACTTAGTCATATTCAAAATTCTCCAATAAACACCTCACTGTTGTGTTTCGCCAGCTCCGCATTACACGCAAGTCTCAATGGCCCGTGGCTCAGTGTCCTGCTCCGTGAAATGACGGAATTGGACACAGCTCACAGCTCACTCTGGAGTTAACTGAAGCCCTTGAAGGAAAACCACCAGGTTTTCTAAGAGTTTATGGCATTATTTATTTTTATTATCCTCACCAAAAATTTATGTTCAGCCACTTTTTTTTTCCTCTAAATTTTCTGGAACGTTTCTCCTTAGTGTTCTTCATTCATGAAGCACATAAAAGTCTCTTTGACCTTATCTCTCTCTCTCTTTTTGTAAAGCTCTTCTTGGTATTATTGAATTTTATTCATAGCAAGACCCATCTGAGGCAATCCTGGTGCAATCTTCCTCACTTTGTCTGTCTTCCTTCCTTCCTTCTTTCCTTTCTCCCTTCCTTCTCTCTCTCTTTGTGTCTTTCTTTCTTTCTTTTTCTTTCTCTCTCTCTCTTTCTCTCTCCTTCCTTCCTTCTTTCCTTCCTTCCTCTCTCCCTCCCTCCCTCCCTTCCTTCCTTCCTCCCTTCCTTCTCTCTCTCTTTCTTTTCTTTCTCTCTCTCTTTCTGTCTCTCTCCTTCCTTCCTTCCTTCCTTCCTTCCTTCCTTCCTTCCTTCCTTCCTTCCCTTCTTTCTTTCCTCCCTCCCTCCCTCCTTCCCTCCCTCCCTCCCTTTCTCTCTCTCTCTCTCTCTTTCTTTCCTGTCTCCAATCATCCACCCACCCACCTATCCATCCACCCACCCGCCCATCCATCCATCCACCCACTCACCCATCCATCCATCCACCTACCCACCCACCCATCCATTCATCCACCCACCCATCCATTCATCCATTCTTTCACCTAGTCATCCACCGATTCAACCACCCATCCACCCATCCAGTTATCTACCCACCCACCCATTCACCACCCACCCACCCACCCATCCATCCACCCATCCATCCAATCATCCACCCATCCATCCAACCACCTATCCACCCACCCTTTCACCCATCCACCCATCTATCTATCTATCCATCCATCCTCCATCCATCCATCCATTCATTTAACAAAAGAGACAATCTCCTGTCCCCTTTGGGAACACTGCCAAGTTTTCTCTGCCTTGCAGCTGGGTCGAGTTGACATTTGGCAGAAGGAGGTGGGTGGTACATTTTGCATCAGGGCCTAGGCCTGCCTCAGACACAGGTGTTCAGCTCCATGCCAGGACTAATGCTGGGCATGGAAAGCTGGAGAGGTGGCTTTGTGCCCAGGGCCGGTTGTAGCATCTTGGCATGTTTCTGTTCCCAAAGTCCCCAGTGGGCACAGGGACATTCAGCCATCTTCAGAGATAGCTACCATTTAAAGCAACAAGGAGATAGGACAACCATCACTTTCCCTGACTCCAGTGAGACCTGGAGGCTGTCCTGCAAGTGAGATGCCACCTTAAGCTCTTCATGAGCAGAGTTGCCCATAGCCCTTAGCTCACTGCAGGAAGCAACCAATGTGGCCCCCACATTAGTAGCCCTCAGAGCCAGACCAAGTTCAAAATTTGGTTAACAAACCTGTAGGCTTCTTCTTGTTTTCAAATGTCACAGAAAATCTTTTTGTGCTATTGTAGGAATGGAATCTCTCCTTCCTTCAGCCTCATCTGAGTTGAGGTGGGGAGAGTTGGACACAAAGTTCAAGGGGAGAGAACACTCAAAACAGCCCCCAGAAAGCCAAGGCAGGGGTTGGCACACCAAAATGACACAGAGACAGCTCCATGCCCTAATGGGTCGATCCCATCCTTCAATAACAGTGGGTGGCTGGGATCTTCTGCATTTCACGGGAGGCTCAGGGAGATGAAGCAACTTGCCTGAGGTGTCACAGGTGTAGGAAGGAGAGTAGGGGCAGATGGGGCCCAACTCCAGGTTTGCCTGGATGCAGAGCCACGCGTTCCCCCCGCCTCCTCCTTGATGGGTTCTCTCTGCACGCTTCAGGGTGCCCCCATGCTCTGCTCGGCCCCTGCAGCAGGAGGGCACAGAGCTCACTGCTGGCTGGTCTCCATGGCAACAGCTGACGAGTCTGCATCAGATGATGGCAGAGCTGCCTTGGAGCGCGAGCTTGGCTGTGACGGCAGGGACTTGGGAGGAGAGGAGCTGGAGGAGTGGGGGATGGGGCATGAGCTGGGGTGCCGGATGGGCTGCTCTCCCAGCAGCCATTTGGAAGATGCTTCCAGTCAAGTCTCAATCTCAGTCGGTCACTGGTCCATGTATATTTCATGGACATCTACCCTGTGCTGGGCACTGGGCAGACAACAGTCTACTGGACCCAGTCTCACTCTCAAGGGGACTGTAGTCCAAGAGAGAGGCAGGTAGATTATCAGGTAATTCCAGCTCACCACGATTGATGGGAAGGTAGGGAAAGTTTGGGATACATGCAAGGCCGTAGGAGAGGCACCCCACCGGGGCTTGGGGGCAGGAAAGTTTTCCAGGAGAGAGGGATATCTACGTGGCTTTCTGGCGGGGGGGGGGGGGTCGGGGAGAGAGAGAGAGGGAGAGAGGGAGAGAGAGAGAGATGAATGAGATCTGCCAGGAGTCCTCAGTGCCTGGAGCTCCAAGGGAGGAAGGCTAGGGAGGGAAGCCATGCTTGTCCTGGGGCCGAGATGAGGAGGAAGGGGAGGGTCTGCTCCAGGCCAGCCCTGGACAAGGGGATAAATTTTGTCTTCACCAGACACTGAATTGGTCATCCTCACCTCCCACCTTACAGATGAAGAAACTGAGGCTCAAAGAGCCACAGCGGGACGGAGGAGGTGGACCCGGCTCTGATGCAGGTGGCTGGTTCGATGGCAGACTCCCCTGTGCCGAGACTCCCAGACCAAATCCGGAGGTCCTGGAGTAGAGTGGGTGGGTCCGCCAGGGCATGGCCAGGCTGCCTGTCTCTGGAGACTCCCCCAAGGAAGTTTCTTGACCTTGAGGATGATAACGCAGGGCAGGCTCTTGAGGGCTGTGCAGGGACTCCCTGGAGAGCCCTGGGAAAAGCAGGTCCCCGCCTGCCTGGGCCTCTGCCTCTGCTGCAGGGGCCAGCACAGGTGTCAGGTCCCCACACATTTCATGTCCAGGCCATTTTCCCACTCTAGGGCCAAGGCTGGGCACTTCCCAGTCAGTGGCACAGCTGGTACTGTGGGGTCTCTCGCTCTGCAAAGGTTGGTTTCAATCCCAAGTGTCACTGCTGGAAACACTGGCCACCCCGGGACATGTGGTCTTGCCAGTCCTTCTGCAGGGCTCTGTTTCTTAGGTCCCAATCATCTGCAGGGAGCACTAGTCCGAGATCTTCCAAGATGCTGGGCAGGAACAAGCCTGCTATGCTCATTCCCAAAGGACTCCACATCTAGATAAATGAAGGCCTGGAAGGCTCTTTGGCTCTACACTAGCAAAACAGCTTACGTCACCCTGCCTAAAGAGACAGTCAGGAAATCCCCTTGTTCCTGGGCGAGGAGAAGCTGGCCCACACGGAGTGACGGCATTGAGCAGATACTACCCTTGGCTCGCTCATGGATGGGGCGGGGCCTGCTGACCTTGACAGCAATCAGGGGAGGGGGTTTGGAGGGAAGGGGTTAGCTGGTGAAGGTGAGGGAAAGGACTGGAGTTAGGACAGGGTGCAGCGACCACATCCTGTGACGAGGAGGCATCTGTGACCTGTGTGATCTGCCAGGCAGGCAGCACAAGTCATTGTACTGCTACTATGCCCGCTACTGAGACAGGAACAAAGAGAGGCTGTTTCTGCCTCTTGGTGCTCTCCATTGGACATGTCTGCTGGGCAGTGCTGGCTTTTACCATAGGTATTTTTCTGCTCTTCCTTCCCTCCTCCTCTCCCTCTCTCTTTTCCAGGGCACTCACACACACACACTTGCACACATGTGCACAGTTGCACACACATGCATTGAACACATGTGCACATATATGCGTTTGCATCCACTTGCACACCCACACACCTGTGCACTAGCACCCATTTGCACGCATGTCCACACACTTGCACACATGTGCATTTGCAGAAATGCACCCTTGCACTTGTGTGACACACCTGCACACTTGCATACACCCATTTGCATACAGGCACAGACACACTCGCATACATTTGCACACACAGCCACAAACTTGCACAAGCAGCACTTGTACACTGACACATATCCGTTTGTGCCTATACAGTGCACACTTACACATTTGCACACAGCTGTGCTTGCTCACACATTTGCACACACCCACCTACACACTTGCACACATACTACACACTTGAGCGTGCAGCACACATACCTATGTGCATACATGCACATTTGCACATGCACACAGCAGTGGCACACACTTCTCTATCACTCTCCCTAGTCACTGTTCTCCCCTGTGATTCCCACCCCTCTGACCGCCCCTGCTCACTTGCTGCCCCCTCCACTGGAAGGGGCCTGGCCTGGTGCCCTGTCTCTGTCTGTCTCCACCGTGCAGGGAGGTTTCACAAGGACTGGCTGATGTCTCGCCTCGAGCTGGCCTGGCCGCAGCTGCTGCTGAGCGGAAGTCTCTGAGGGGCGAGGCTGAGAGGAAACCACACTCTCACTGGGGTTCCCGCAGCTCTGGCCTCTGGGGAGGGGTGTGGAGATGTGTGGGCGTGAGATGGCTTTGAGGGAGGGACAGCATGAAGCTTTTCGCTGGGTCTGTCTTTTCAGTCTCCAGGACAAAACTAGGCCACTGTGCTCCAGGAGAAGGGAAAACCCACGTCCCCCCAGGCTGGGCCCACCGGCAAATCGGGCTCCCAGGCCCTTCTCAGCCCATGCTTCTGTCTCTGCCTTGTCAGGCTTATTCTTTGGGGCTTTGAAGCAGCCTTTGGTGGGCAAACGGCATCTCAGGGAACCCTGGCCTGTCTCCTCCAGAGCTTGTGCCTTGGCCCTGGGCAGGGGCCACCATGGGCTGTTGATGTAAATGGCATCCCCAGAGTTGTGCAGTGTGGGGGCAACCCTGAGGTATCAGCCCAGCCCCCTGTCTGCAGCTTTTGCTACCCAGCCCAGCTCCAGCTCTGTCTTTGTCACTGGGGGTGGTGGGGGAGGCTGGAGCTCAGGGACGGGGCACTCCTGGCAGATTCTCCCTGCCCCAGGTGGAAGGGGAGGGGGGAAGTACCCATCCTCCATCCTCCTATCCTGCCAGCGGGGTGGGCGCTACTATGCTGGGGAGGGTCTGGCTGAATAATGATGCTGAGCTCGGGACACCAGCCTTCTCCGTGCACCTACTGTGTGCCAAGTACCATCCCAAGAGCATTATGGGTGGTAACTTATACAATGACTCAGAGAGGCACCGCTATAATCACCCCCAGTTTCTGTCTGGTTCCAGTCCTGGCCACACAGCTAATAAGCAGCAAATGGATTTGATCTGATTTTATCTGAACCCAGGCAGGCTGGCCCAGAGCCCACTGTCTAATCATTGGGCCGTCCAGCCTGTCAAGACTCCAGGCTCGCTGGCGTCGTACCCCTCTGTCATTTCCCAGGGAAACAAGCTCTAGCAGCACCTGCCCTGTGGGTACTTTGGCCCTGCCTCCCTGCCTCCCTGCCTCCCTGCCTCCCTGCCTCTCATGATAGGAGCCAAAGAATGGTCTCCTTTGCAGGAAAGGAGCTCGACGGGGGTCTTCTCTTGCAGGCTCTGTCTTGCATGTGGGTCCTGAGCTTTCTCATTGAGTAAGGGGAGGGGGCAGCTGGTTCAGTCCAGCGCAGAGTGGATGGAGGCCAGTTGAGGCTTTCTTGAAACCCTAAGCCCAGCTGGGATCCTCGGGGAAGGATCCTTCGCTGGGATCTGACTGGCTCTTCCAGAGGTCAGTGGGGCATGTGGCTGGAGCCCAAGTAGGAGGGAGGAAGAAATGGTGGTCTGAGTCCTGGGGTGACCAGGCCCTGAACCTGCCCTGCTGGGACCCCATTCCCTGACTCTAGGCCCCCTTTCCCCACCACACAGGACACCAGGCTCTTGCCTTAAGACAGGAAAGGAAATGCCTTATGGTGAACAATTCTCCAGGTCCCTATTGTGGCTCCAACAGATGCCAGAGGGACATGGCAGGTGACCCTGGTCTCCTACGACCCTGACTTTACTTGCTGTCATGAGGCCAATCTCTTACCTTGACCCACCTCCTGCCTCTGCTTTCAGAAGGGCAGAAGAGCGGGCCTCCTCTAGCTTCCCAGCCGCCTCCCGCCTCCTGCCGCCCGGCAGCGCTGGGCCCCCCAGCAGCGAGGTTCAGGAGGGGAAGAACCTCTCGCAGGTGAACAAATTGCTGCACATCAGACACATTCTTTTCAAGCCTCATTTTCTCTCCTTTTCATGCTAACTTTCCCACTATTAAAGAGCATTTTTAAAAAGAAGATGAAAAAAGGCAGAGAGAAAAGAAGGATGAAAGTGTGAGCGGGTATCCGGAAGTCCTTTTCAATTGCCTGCTGCTGTGCAGGGTCTGAACTAAGAGCAAGAAATTGGAGGATGCTGGAGGGGCGAGGTTTCGTTTCAGTCCTGCCTATTGGGCCAAGTCTGGGGCGGGGAAGGAGAGGTGATGGAGGTGGGCCTGGCTGGGCCCTGCGGCCCTGGAGGCTGCCCCTCTGCCTGCCACCCAGCCCCTGGCCTGTGCCTGGCACAGGAAGCCCGTCAATAATTTCTTGTTGAATGAATGAAAGAAAAGAAATCAGTGGATGGAGAAGGGCTGGATTCTTTTGTGGGGACCTTCCACGCCACCTTCTCTGTGGGGCTCTAGGGCTGAGAAAGAAAGGACAGATTTGGCAAAGGTCAGGCAGGGGCTGGGAAAGCATTAGGTGGACCAGGCATGCTACAGCAAGGCCACGCCTGCACTGTTGTCCCACTGGTGACACCCATGGGTGCAGCCATGGCGGGTGGGCGCAGTTTCACATGGGATTGGGGGTGAGCCTGGGTTGGGTGGGCGACCCCCACCCCTTCCCTACCCCTCTCCCCACCAGCAGGTACTACTGGGTCTGCGTGAAGATAAAAGCTCAGGAACATGCCAGGAAGGTGTGACCATGATGATACCTCTGAGATGAACCCAAGAAGAAACAGCAGAGTATTACAAAGGGGAACAGGACTCAGGGTGGACTTCAAGTATCATTAAACATAATCAAATATTTAAAAAGTTATTATTGACTGGGTGCAGTGGCTCACGGCTTTAATCCCAGCACTTAGAGAGGCCAAGGTAGGAAGATTGCTTTAGCCTAGGAGTTTGAGACCAGCATGGGCAACATAGTGAGACCCCATCTCTAAAAAAAAAAAAAAAAAAAAAACAAGAAAAAAACAGGAAATAAAATACAATAAATAAAAAAATTTAGCTGGGCATGGTGGTGCACACCTGCAGTCCCAGCTACTCGGGAGGCTGATGCAACAGGATTGCTTGAGTCTAGGAGGCCGAGGCTGCAGTGAGCTATGATCAGGCCACTACACTCCAGTCTGGGCAACAGAGCAAGACCCAGTCTCATACACATACACACACACACACGCAAGAAAGTTTCTGTTTAATCCAAAGGATGGAATGCTATCCAGCAGGGAAAAGGAAGGAGCTACTGGTACATGCAGCAATGTGGGTGAGCCTTGAAAGCATTGTGCGAAGTGAAGGAAGCCAGACACAGAGGCCTCTGTATATATGACATTCTGGAAAAGGCAGAGCTTTAGGGACAGAAAATCCATCAGTGGTTGCTTGGGGCCAAGATGGGGGGAGAAGATTGACTGCAGAGGGCCAGGAGGGACTTTTCTGCATCATAGAGACATTCTCTATCTCGATTGGGTGGTGGCTCCATGACTACATATACATGTTGAAATCCATCAAATGGTATACTTAAAATTAGTGAGTTTTATTGCATGTGAATTGTACTTCAACGAAATGGGTATATTAAAAATCTGCAGCTGTCTGCAATCCTTCTATGTCCTAGGCATGAGCTGGGAACATCTAAATATAGGATTTTCAATATTCAGGACAACCCAGTATTTTTTCAGAGAGATGAGCACAGGCTTTGCGAGGTCACACGGTGAATGCAGGCCACACAGCTTATATGCCAGCGTGGAGATAAAGGCTGAACTTTCTGCCAGGGGCCTGGAGGGGAGTGAGCACAATAAGACCTGACCGTGGTGGCCATGGAGCCTGGTGCCCCAGGGTTCTGTGTTCCCAGGGACCTGCTGTGTAAGGCCCGACCATCTGCCCACAGGAGCTCAGATCACCTTTCTCTCCAAACTGTTTGGGTATTTGAGTCCCTGGATTTTTCTAAATCAGAGTTTGGTTAGGCCTGGTCCCCCAGAAATGCCCTCAGAGCCCCAGGCAGGGACCCCAGCCACTTGCCCTGGAGGAAGCCCCTGGGCTTGCCTCCCTCCTTCCCCCACCTTCTCTTTCTCTCTGGATATCAGCATATTTGTCACACTTACTTCATTTCTCCTCCAGCTTGGTGACGCAAGGTGAGCTGAAGGAGAGCCGCTTGGGTGAGGATTATGAAGGCACGGGTGCCATGGAAACCACTCTGAAGGCCCCCTAAAGCTGCAGCTGTCAGGAGGGGCTGTCTGCTGCCATTGGTCGGCCACGTGGACCCTCTCCCTAACACGATGCGTGACTTTTATTTATTTTACTCTGTTTTGCATCTTATGCCTGCTCTCGGCTTCTCTTGGCTTCCTCACAGTCCTGGTGCAGGATGCTGCCTGCAGGTCAGTAGGATAAAGGTGCTAATGTTTTCTGTTTCTCTTTTTTGAACTTCTGACTTTTTAGGCTCATTTTCTGGTGCTCTCTCCTCCATGCCATAAGGCAGCACAGATTTCAAGCCATAGATGTTGGAGGCAGAAAATGGGATTATGTTAGACAGAGAGGGAAGCCAGCTCTTCTAGCAGGTGCTGTAGAAATGGCTTCTGATTTTGGTCACAGAAGCAGTCCCTAACTTTCCCTGCAAATCCAAGAAGCCCTCAAAGGGGCCAAAGGCAGGCTCTTTAGCACAATGTCAATCTGAGCAGAATGGAAGGGTTGCCAGAGGTTGCTAGTGAGATTCAAAGCCCTGTGGGTGCCTTGATCTTCCTAAGCTTGCTTTTAGAGAAGTGTGCTGTCGAAACTTCAGGAGGCCGCCAGCTTCTGGTTGGACCTCAACCTCCTCCTCCCTCAACCTCCTCCTCCCTTTGAGTAGGAATCAGAAGAATCTTTTACATTAGCCTTTGCCTTGATAGTTTTTATATCCTTCATTTTATTTCTTTCCAGCAATGGCCCTGAGAAATTGGCAGGCGAAGTGCCATTAACCCTGCATTGGAGAGGAGGAAATTGAGACCCAATTTTTTTTTTTTTTTTTTGAGACAGAGTCTCGCTTTGTCACCCAGGCTGGAGTGCAGTGGTGCGATCTCAGCTCGCTGAAATCTCCACCTTTCTGGTTCAAGTGATTCTCATGCCTCAACCTTCCGAGTAGCTGGGATTACAGGCGTGTGCCACCATGCCTGGCTAATTTTTGTATTTTTAGTAGAGACAGGGTTTCACCATGTTGACCAGGCTGGACTTGAACTCCTGACCTCAAGCGATCCACCTGCCTTAGCCTCCCAAAGTGCTGGGATTATAGTCGTGAGCCACTGTTTCCAACTGAGACCCAATAATTTAAGTAGAAGGGCTGGGACTGGGGCCTGAGGCTGCTGCTCCCTGCCTAAGGCTCTGAGACTGCTTGATCACAGGGTCAAGATCTTTGATGAAGCCGCTTTCTCAAGCTGTGGGTGGGCTTTTCCTGGTAGGAAATTTGCCTGAGACCTGGCAAAGATGGGACCTTTTAAATAGTGAAGGGAAATGAGCAATCCTTCCAAAGTCAAGTTCCTCAACGAAGCCCTTCTAAACACTGTCTCTCCTCCCTGCACACATGCCTATGTGCACACAATACACATGCTTGTTCATGCTTTATCCCTCTTGGTTAGGGGTCTATCCCCATCAAGCCATTAAAGTTGTTCTGGTGGAATCTCTGATGACACATTTTTTTTTTGGCTTGTGAAAACCAACCATTTTGTTATTTCATGAGTTTATGAGTTGACTGGGCTCAGCTGGGAGGTTCTTCTGGATGGGGCTTCAGTCATAAACAAACATGACTAAGTCAGAGTCCCCAAGATGTATCACTCACATCTGGCATTTGATGCTGACTCACTCTGGGCTGGCCACTCCACCAGGGCTGTTGACTGGAGAGGCTACACGTATCCTAGGCTGGGATTCTCACAGCATGGGTGCCTGGGTCTGAGAGGGAGGGCCCCAAGAGAGCACATTTTAAGAAAGAGGAAGTGAAATGTGCCAGTCTTCAAGACTGGACCCAGAACTGGCATAATGTCACTTTTGCTGTGTTCTCCTGGTTGCCTGCTGACATGTCAAGTACCACATCAAGTGGGCCATTTGGGGCCTCATCTGAACTGAGCTCTCTGGCCACATGATGTAGCTGACCTGCCCCTTCTTGAAGCCCCCTCCTCCCCGGCTTCACTGCATCCCTCTGTCTTGGTCTCGTCCCCCTCTGTGTTCCTGCCACACTTTGATGATTTCTGTTCTCCAGGTTTTCTCTTCCTTGTTTCATTCTTGGCCTTTTCCTCTCTCAACTCCACACACTGTCCCAGAGACCCCATCCAAGCCCATGATGTGATGTCGTATCTGTGCCAAGGAACTCCAAGTCTGCCACTCCAGCCCACACCTGAGAGCCAGCCTTGGGCATCCAACTCTCCCAGACATTCCTGCCCAGAGGCAGATTCAAGAATTCTAAAGTGCCTCTTGCTCAACCCATCCAGAGAGGAGCTTGCCATCCTTCTCCCAAACTTGTCTCTCCTTATGAGGTCCCCAACTTGGTCCCCCGGACTTCTGACCCCAATCAGCCCCTCTACCATGTTCCTGGGTAACAGAAAAGGCACTACTTGGGTCATCAGAAAAAATAACTGGAAGTGATTTAGAAAAATAAAAAGGAGTGCCTACTGCTCTAGGATTTTTCTTACTTTAGAAGGAAAGCAGATAGAGATCTGGGAGCAGCCCCAGCTTAATTGGAAAGCCACATTTGTACAGGCTGGAGGGGCCTCAGGAATGGCAAACAGCTTCTCTTTGCTCAAAGGAATTTTCTGGAAACCATAATAGCTGCCCTTGCTAACCACAGGCTGGTCTTTCTGGCGGAATTAGCACGAGTATGTGGTCAGAATGGCCGGGCTGGAGCCAGCCTGGATGTTTCTGCAGTCTGAGCTCCCTCAGTGCCCACAAGTGGGGGCTGAGATTCAGGGGAGCACGTAGGTGCCCCAAGGAGCTGGGGGTCACATGGGAACCTGGAGATTGGTGAAATGCAGTTTGGCCTGAATGGGGAGTAGGGCCCTCCATCCCCTCTCCCTGCACCCTCCCTTCTCCTGGCGCCCTCCCCTCTCCCTGCACCCTTCCTCTCTCCGCTGAGCAGCCTTCTCTTTCTAAGGAGCCGAGGGGCACAGGAGTAAGCAGAGGAGCTAGTGTGTGCCGAGTGCCCGCTCTGTGCCAGGCATTTTCACACCATCTATCACATCACACTCACTCCGAGGGCAGGTTCCATGATCACCTCCATTCTTCCTAAGAGGAAACAGGCTCAGGATGGTTCAGAAGTTGCCCAAAGTTGCAAAGAGGAGACGCTGGGGTTTAGTCCAGCTCTGTCTGACTCCACACCCAGCTTCTGGGCACTGCTTGTCTTGCACTGAGGGTCCACACTCTGCTGCGGGGAGGCGGGGCAGTGCAGAAACCCGGCTTCTGAGGGGGTGTAGACATACTGGGTGCAGGCAGCTGCTGGATACTATAGGCACCACCAGTGTGACTGAACCGGGCCTCCCCGAACATCTCGCCCCACCCCCCAATCATGTAACAGGACACTGCTTTGCTGTTGAGACCACAGTGGGACAAGAAAGAAGATACAGGCTCTGATCTGTGTTTGGTGATGGTGCAGGGAGGGAGGGGGGTGGCTGTCCCTCTGTGGGGACCAGGGAGGGTTTCAGAGGCAGGTTGAGTCTTTCTGGGCATGCCACCTGCATTTAAGGGGCAGCCATCAGACAGGTGACCTACTGGGCTAGACCCTTCCCTGGATATCAAAACAGGTGCAAGCTTCAGTCCAGCCATGTGGCTGGGGAGGGATGGGGGGAGCAGGGGCCCCTCGAGAATGAGAACATATTATTTGAAAATGGGCTTTGCAGGCTTGGTCTGCAAGGCTGGACTCTGCAGGCTTGGCCTGGGGCAAGGGGCACAGAGACCTTGAAGGGGACCCCAGTTTCGGGTTTGAGCAGGGTGGAGGGGCTACTGGTGCAGGAAGGGGCTGCTTCGAGTGGAGTCAACCAGCTGACGCTGAGGCAAAGGGCTACCCACGTGAGCATCTTTTCCAGGATGGCTTTTTAAAACAGCCAGGATGAAATGGACACATCCTTGGACGTATTCAGCGAGGAGACGGGGCTCCTGTGAGGCCATGGCCGTGGGAGGTGTGGGACGAGAAGATGGGCTCATTTTTATTGCTTGGTGCCCTTTGTTTCTGGCTCAAACAGACCGGGTCCTGATGTCTGCTTCAGTTGCAGGAGCAGAGCCAGTATGCTTGGCACCTCCGCACGCATCCTCTCCCCTCCTCTCCCCCCCGTCACTATCTCAGATCTCTTTCATCCACCTGCAAAATGATTAAGGCTTGGGGCAGCCTGAGCCAGGACTGACAAATCAGGTGCAGGCTTTCAGAGACTAAATCCTGTTTTGAAGTCTGTTTACTCTAAAAAAAAAAAATAATCTCTTTGATGCCTGGAGAAGAAAGATGCATATTAAACAAAGACCCAACTCTGAATTCCAAATGCATGGTCGTCGTTATCAATCTCTCCAGGTCCAAACTCGGGAAAGCATGCATCCTCCGTGTGCGTCCTTTTCACCAGGCGTGTGGACACGTAATTCATTAGAGTTAATTAGTTAGTCACATGCATCCCCCAGATGCTGGATCAGAGCCTTCGTGGGGGCCTGTGCAGCTGTTGGATTGAGAGGGAGACACAGTGGAGATGGCAAGGGCAAGGGAGCTGAGGCTGAACAGTCTTGATCTCTGAAACAGATGGTGTGCACGTGTGTGTGTGCATGTTTGTGTAAGTGTGTGCATGTTTGTGTAAGTGTGTGCATATGTGCGTGTGCGTGTTTGTGTGCGCATGTGTGTGCATGTGTTTGTGTCTGCATGTGTGTTTGTGTGTGCGTGTGTGCGTGTGTGTGCTTGTGTGCGTGTGCGTGCATGTGTTTGTGTGTGCATGTGTTTGTGTGTGTGCATGTGTGTGCGTGTGTGTGTTTGTGTGTGCGTGTGTTTGTGTGTGCGTGTGTGTTTGTGGGCGTGTGTGGGTCTGTGTGTGTGTGCACGCGTGTGTGTGTGTGTATGGTCATTCACACCCCTGGGTGCAGCAGCAGGTGTGGAGGAGCATATATGGGGGGAGCTCTGAGCACACGGGCTCTTGGCCGGTGCTGCTCCCACCAACTCTGTGGCTTGAGCTGCCTTCTGCATGTCCCTCATCAAGTCAGCTGGGACATCGTTGGGGGCCAGATCGTGTCCTCTCTCGACGAAATTTATGTGCTAAAGCCCAAGCCCCCAGTGCCCCAGAATGTGACTGTACAGTATTTGGAGATGAGGCCTTTCAAAGGTGATTAAGTTGAAATGAGGCCGTTAGGGTGGCTCCTCATCCAACCCAACTGGTGTCCTCACAAGAATTTGGACACAGAGACACCAGGGATGTGTGAGCGCCCAGAGACCATGTGAGGACACAGTGGGAAGACAGACACCTGCAAGCCAAGGAGAGAGGCCCGAGGAGAAGCCAAACCTGCTGACACCTTGATCTTGAGCTTCTAACCTCCAGCACTGTGAGACGATACATTTCTGATGTTGAGGCCACCCCCAGTCTGTGGTTCTTCGTGATGGCAGCCCCAGGAAACGAATGCAGATACCATCACCTTCCCGTCGGCAGTCCAAGGTCACCGAGCAGACCCAAGGAGACACTGCAGGCGAAAGTACCGTGGAGATTAGCAGGCAATATGCCATTCTCGTTCATTCTTCTCTTACAGCATTAAGGAGAAAATCTCATTTGGTGAAGGTATGTCTCTAACACCTTGCTAACACTTGGAAATCTCCCATTTGAAAAAAAATTTAGATAAAATTCACTGAACATAAAATTCACCACTAGCCACTTTAAAGTGCGCACTTCTGTGACATTTATTGTGTTCACAATGTTGTGGAACTGTCGCTTCTATCTAGTTCTAGGACACTTTTCATCACCCCAAAAGGAAACCCCATACTCATTAAGCAACCACTCCTTCCTCCTTCCCCCACCCCATCTCCACACCCGCCCCCCACCCCCTGGCATTCAGCACCTTGCTTTTTGTCTCTGTGGAGTTACCTATTCTGGATATTTCATAGCAATGTAATTATTTTACATGTGACCTTTTGTGTGTGGCATCTTTCACTGAGCGTGATGTTTCGGAGGTTCCTTCGTGCTGCAGCCTGAATTGGTGCTTCCCTCTTTTTGTGGGCCTTCTTTTTTTTTTTTTTTTTTTTTTTTGAGACGAAGTCTCACTGTCACTCAAACTGCTGGAATACAGTGAGTGGTGCAATCTCGGCTCACCGCCACCTCCTCCTCCTGGGGTTCAAGCAATTCTCCTGCCTCAGCCTCCCGAGTAGCTGGGATTACAGGTGCCCACCACCCCACCTGGCTAATTTTTGTATTTTTAGTAAAGATGGGGTTTCACCATGTCGCCTAGGCTGGTCTCGAACTCCTGACCTCAGGTGATCTGCTCACCTCGGGCTCCCAAAGTGCTGGGATTAGAGGAATGAGTCACCGCGCCCAGCCATGGGCCCTCCTTTTGTGACACTCCACTGCGTGGGTCAACCACACTTTGTGTATTCATTCAGCCCTGGGTGGACATTTGGGTTGTTTCTACCTTTCTGCTTCTGTGAGATGAACTGTGCTTCTGTGAACGTTCATGTGCAAGTATTTGGATATCTGTTTTCAATTCTTTTGGGTGTATACTAAGAGTGGAATTCCTGGGTCATAGGATAATTCCATGTTTAAACATTTTTGAAGATTGGAAATCTCCTTTTTAAGCAAATAAGAGCGTTCTTCAGGATTCAAGCCTTCAGCAGACAAGAACACTCAGCTAGACTTTGCTGACCTTGATTTCTAATGTTATTTATGTTTACAGGATCAGAAAATCCAATGCTGGATTTTCATTTGTAGTAGCGACATGAACTTGTCTTTTAAAAATCAATGTTATTATTATTATTTTTTTCTTTTGAGACAGAGTCTCCCTTTGTCACCTAGGCTGGAGGGCAGTGGCAGGATCTCAGCTCACTTCAACCTCCACCTCCCAGGTTCAAGTGATTCTTGTGGCTCAGCCTCCCAAGTAGCTGGGACTACAGGCGAGCACCACCACACCTGGCTAATTTTTGTATTTTTGGTAGAGACGGGGTTTGGCCGTATTAACCAGGCTGGTCTTGAACCCCTGACCTCAAGTGATCCACCTGCCTTGGCCTCCCAAAGTGCTGGGATTATAGGCCACCATACCCAGACTGAAAATAAACGTTACTTCAAAAGTGAGTAGGTTCATGGTCAGGAGGGGTGGCTCATACCTGTAATCCCAGCACTTTGGGAGACTGAGGTAGGCGGATTGCTTTTGAGCCCAGGAGTTTGAGACCAGCCTGGGGAACATGGTGAAACTTGTCTCTACAAAAAAAACAAAACAAAACAAAACAAAAACTAGGTGGGCATGGCGGTATGCACCTGTAGTCCCAGGTACTTTGGAGGCTGAGGTGGGAGGATCACTTGAGCTCAGAGGCAGAGGCTGCAGTGAGCCGTGATTGCACCACTGCACTCCAGCCTGGGTGACACAGCAAGACCCTGTCTCAAAAAATAAAAAGCCCTACATGGGTAGGTATTTTTGTCCATTTGGTTTACTACCTATGTCTAACGCCAGAGTGATGCCTGGCACATATATTAGGTCCTCAATAAAAATGTGTTGAATAAATGACTATACCTAATACATACACACACAATATTATACATCATAGTCCAGGGTGGGCACAACGCTGGCAAAAATCACCAAGCTGGAGGGCCAATGCCTGAGAAACCCAGCCCAGGGGCTGCCGGACAGATCCGAGGCGGACACCCAGCCTCACTGCTCGTTCACTCTGACTTTGGCCAATTTCTTACCTTCTCTACACCTCAGCTTCCTCATCTGAAAAACGGGGTTGCTGGGAGAGTGCAATGCGCTGTTGTGCAACACACTCAACGAAGCTCAGCTACTGTCATTATTACCATCCTCAGCCACTGCAGGGAGGACCACAGAGGGGAGCTAAATGCAAATAAGGGCTTGGGAGAGCCCTGTGATGCAGCTTTTTGGGGGAGGCTGGGCACCCCGGCCTGAGGCTGGCAGGGGTGTGGCTCTGTGTTCAGCACCCATGATGGGAAGTGACAGTGTCCTGCCTTTGCTCCGTGCTGTGCCGTTCACAAACTTGCTTTCACATCCCTTTTTCTCACCTGATCTGCCCACAGCCTGGCGGGGCCGGCAGAGCTAAAACTGTGAATTGCATTTGACGGGGGAGAACACCTGAGGTGGAGGAGAGGTTAAGGGGCTCGTCTGAGTTCACACAGCAGGTCAGTGCCGGAGCATGGATTGGTGAGTTGGGAATCACCATGGCCTCGTGGTCTCAAATAAAACATCCCTTTGCTTGTGTGTGGGTTTGTGAAGCTGCCTGCCCGGTAACCTCCCCTGGGCTAGGTCTGCAGAATGAGGTTCCACTGGGGCACTTCAGCTGCCTCATTCTGCAGAGTTCTTGCTCCGGATTCTGAAGCATCTGCAAAGGAGACACGTCGCCTGGGTCTTGAGAAGACAGAACTGTTTGCCCCACGCTGGGAACTACTGGGGAAGGGGAAGGGCACATGAGGCTTGGCCAGAGTGCCTGGAGGCTGGCTTAGGGCCAGCTGCATGATCCTTGCATGAAGGAGGAGGAACGGCCCTCTTCATATGCCATCACCTAAGGCCACCTCCCATCCTCTGCCTGGGACACTGGCTCCTGGAAAATGCTCTTTCCTCCTGGTGCCACAGCCCCAGCGAGCTCGACGCAGCTCCCCTTCCACAGACACAGAACTCTCCAAACTCCCAGTGGTTTGGGAAGAACAGCCACCACATCCCAAGCCCAGCACCACCTTTTGGGATGTGATATGTCAAAGTAGTAAGATGATGAAGTGTCCTGTGCCGGCCCATCAGAGCCTTAGCGACAGATATGGGCCCAGAGTGCCTTGGAGAGCCAGAGCCTCTGCAGTGACGTGGAATTTATTATACTTTCCATCCATCGCTTGGCAGCCTTCTCCCAGCTCTTTTCTCTTGAAAAATGGTTCCTGCCAATCTTGCTGTTTACTTAAGTGGTTATTAAGTATTTTTCCCGCTGCTGGTCTGGGTACTTCTTGATAAACATTATCTATTTAAGAAGAACTTTTAGGGAGAGCTCCACTCTGCCCCTACACACACACACACACACACACACACACACACACACACACACACACGTGTATGCACACACACGTATGTGCATACAGACGCACATGCGCGTGTACACACACACACACACACACACACACACACAGAGTCTGGGCATGAGAGTCCGGGTCCCAAAGCTTCCTCCCCAAGCCGGCTGGGGTCAGGCCACCACCGAATGTATCACTTGACCTGACGTGACAGCCTGGTTTCCTCTTCGCCCCTCTGGCCAGCCTCCTCTGGGCATTGGAGGTGGCTCCAGCTTTGAGCTGCACGCAGCTACCAGTTGTGCCTCCCAAGGCATCCCAGGGCCACTCTGCTAAGAGCATCTGCTTGGCTTTGCCCCGCAGCAGCGGTGAGGGAGGGGAGGTGGCTCGTGTGCATCGGGGGACCCTCTGACGTGTCAGTGCTAAGATCCTATCTGCAGGTCTCGAGCCCTCCTGAACTGGAGGGCTGGGGCCCTGGGTGGCACTGAGGTCAGGTGAGGCCCGGATAGGAGGACAGGATACCGAGGAACAGGAAGAAAGGCAACTTGGCTGGAACGTCCTTGCCATGGGTAGGCTGGGGGTCTGGGGGCTTGACTGAAATTGGGTGTCTGTGTCGGCAGTGGGTGTCTGAGCCTCACCCCTCCAGGGATGGCAGAGGGTATGAGACACTGAGCTGTGCCCAGCTTCTCTGGCTTCCCACACGTGCCAAGTGCAAGATGGGCTGCTAGTGAGCTTGGCTACTTCGGGCAAATCCTCCCCTCTCTGGACCTCAGTTCATTCACCTGGGGAGTAAACGGGGTGGGCTCCATCCCTACTCCCACAGTCCAGGACTCCCAGAGAGCATGGGTCTCATGGCTACTCCACAGGCTGAAAATCCTTCAATTTAGGAGCTGCTGCTGCTGCCCTGAAAACCAAGCTAAGCTCACCTTCAAAACGAGAGTCCCGGGTGGATAACTTGTCCAGCGCCTCACCCTGTGTCGGTCCTAGGTCAGTGCTGTTTAAAATGTAGGTGCTGTTGTTATTTAGGTCTGATATGGCTAATGGACCAGGCAATGGACAAGACAGTTTATTACTCACAGCCTCGAGAAAGGCCCAGACCACACCATGCAGGCCACACGGGGAAGCACCAGGGCTGGCCAGAGGCAGAGGGAAGTAGAGCCCGGCAGGAGCCTTTCCTGTGGTTTCCATGGGAAGGACTGGGTGGGGTAACCAGGTTTAGGATTGCTAGTTTGAATAGTTTCAGAGGGCTCTGGGGATAGGGGTTGTCCCAAGATGTCTGGCACTTGGCCCTGGGGTGATCAGGGCAGGTGCATAGTGGCCCAGAGTGACAGAGCCTGATAAAGGAGGTGGCTGGGGTGTCGGCTCTGGACTGGTTGGTTTGCATATGAAAGGCCCTTTAGAAGGTGAGCTGTTTGCTACATTTAGAAATTACCTAACCCTGGGAGGGGGCAGTCCCACCAGGGTCCGGAAGGCCCCAAGATGTCAAAGCATCAGAATGCAGAAAATAAAAGGCATGGTTAATAGACACACAATGAAATGTGCACTGTGTGTAATTTACTGTTACTATTTTTTGAGATGGAGTTTTGCTCTTGTTGCCCAGGCTGGAGTGCAATGGCGTGATCCTGGCTCACCACAACCTTCGCCTCCAGGGTTCAAGTAATTCTCCTGCCTCAGCCTCCCGAGTAGCTGGGATTACAGGCATGCGTCACCACGCCCGGCTAATTTTGTATTTTTAGTAGAGACAGGGTTTCTCCATGTTGGTCAGGCTGGTCTCCAACTCCAGACCTCAGGTGATCCGCCCACCTCGGCCTCCCAAAGTGCTGGGATTACAGGCGTGAGCCACTGCGCCCGGCCTGTTATTATTATTTAATTTAGAGTCTACTAAAAATATTTTTTAACAGATGGGGATCTCACTATGTTGCCCAGACTAGAGTTAATTGACTACTTTTTAGAGAAGTTTTAGGTCTACAGAAAAATTGAGTGGAAAATACAGTGTTCCTGTATTACCCTCCCCACTGCCAACATACACACTTTCCCTGTTGCTGAGGTCTTGCATTAGTGTGGCACATTTGTTCCAATTGAACCAATGCCGATACATTGTCATTAACTAGGGTCCACAGTCAACATTAGAGTTCACGCTTTGTGTTGTATACTCTGTGGGTTTCAGCAAACGCACAATGCCCTGTATCCACCGTTCCAGTAAGTTATAGAATCATTTCACTAACCAAAACCCCCTGCGCTCCACACAGTCGTCCTCCGTTCCCCTCCAAACCCCGGTGGCCACTGATCTGTTTACTGTCTTCATGAGAGGGAGTCTCGCTCTGTTGCCCAGGCTGGTGTACAGTGGCACGATCTCAGCTCACTGCAACCTCTGCCTCCGGGGTTCAAGCAATTCTGCCTCAGTCTCCTGAGTAGCTGGGACCACAGGCCCATGTTGCTACGCCCAGCTAATTTTTGTATATACATTTTTTCAGTAGAGATGGCGTTTCGTCATGTTGGTCAGGCTGGTCTTGAACTCCTGACCTCAAATAATCCGCCTGCCTCAGCCTCCCAAAGTGCTGGGATTACAGGTGTGAGCCGCTGCGCCCGGCCCACGGTTTTACCATTTCCAGAATGTCACATAGTCAGAATCATACAGGCTGCAGCCTTTGGAACTGGCTTCTTTCACCTAGCAATATGTGTTTACATTTCCTTCCATGTCTTTATGTAGCTTGATAGCCCATTTCTCTTTCTCTCTGAGTAATATTCCATTGTCTAGATGTATCACAATTTAAATGTAATGTTTATCCATTATTACTATTTTTAAAAAATGACAATGGCCTCTGTGGTGAGGGCTGGGCTGCAGAAGTATTCAGACAGTCTAGGGTGGAGGCCCGATGAGACAATTATCCGGGCCCTGAGGCCCGAGGTCAGACAGTGAAGGTGGGAGTCATCCCTGGGCTTGGAGAATCTGGGCAACTGTTTCTATCCTGCTCTTCACCTGGCTCCTGCAGGCAGTGCTGTCTATATCTGGCTTTTTTTTTTTTATTTTAAAGAAATGCCTTTTAGCTGGTGGTGACCCAGGGATACCCCCCTTCATCAACAGACCCACGGGCAGGAAAATCCCATGCAGGAGAGGCAAGAGGGCTCTTCAAGTCGGCCAGAGTCGAAGCACCCTCTGCTTGCCTGATCAACCACCAACAGCTTTGGGAGGTTAAACATCCAAGAGAAAGGCGCCGCTGAGCCAGGCGCTCCAAAGCTGTCCCCGGGGAACCCTGGCAGCCAGGGCTGGCCTGCTGAGCCTCCTGGCCCATATGGTGGGCTGCGGGCTGCGGTGAATGGGGGTGAGCTCCCTGCCCTGCAGCCGGCTGCCTGCCCCAGCCCTCCTCAGAATCCCTTTTCTTTCCAGACATAAACGAGGCCCACCCAGAGTCTCGGACATGGTTTGCTGCTCCTACGCAGGCTGCTGGCTCATGTGGCTCTCAGACAGGGCGTCTGCTCTCCCCTCGTTTCACAGCGAGACACTGCATTGACCCAGCCTGGCCTGTTCAGATATGTGTGTGTGTGTGTGTGCATGTGTGTGTTTGCGTGTGCGCCCGCGCGTGTGCGTGGGTGTGTGCGTGCGTGTGTGTGTGTGTGTGTGTGTGTGTCTGCAGAGGGGGTGGTGCTGTGGACAACCTCTCCTCCCTCTCCAGAGCCACGCAATCAGGACCCAGATGTCTACGGGGGAATCCTACTGCTGTGAGGACCAAAAGGGAGGGGGTGCTCAGGCCTCGGGCACACCTGATTTTCTGCCACGCCCAGCTTGCTTCAACGTGTCTGCCCCACTCACTGGCAGTGTCTGATACAACCCCAGCTCCTGGAGTCTCAGAACTGCTTGAAGCTACACGAAGGTCACAATGAGCCAGTGAGAGTGATCAGGAAATACCAGCCGTTTCATCTTCTCTCCCGCGACACTCAGAAATAGCCCCAAACACACGCCCCAGCTGTAATACTTCCCGGCTGGTGTTGGACAGACACCTCAAAGGTTTCAGCCATTCTCGGAGGTCACAGGAGCGGCTGGCAGGTGGCTGCCCTGCCCAGCAAGCAGGCGGGTAGAACTGTGCAGACATTTTAACACCAGAAGTTAGGTACATGCTTCAGTCCTGGGGCCTTCTCAACCTGGTTCACAGTCCTCTTCTTCCAGGGAGGCAGCCCTGATTCTATGCAAACCTCAGCACTCCTTTATTGCCTAATCTTAGCCGGTGAGGGCAGTCTGGCTCTCCTTGGTTATAAATGCATTCTTCCATCACATCCTCGCCCCCATGCTCTGTTGGCTGACCTTGTCCTTGAGGGAAGGTGAGGAAAGAATCAGATGTCCTGTTCTCGGCCCCTGCTGGCCCAGGCCATGGTGCTGCCGGCTGCATGGACGTCCACATGCTTCTGGCTAATGAATGCTTCTGTTTCCTCATGGGTCAAAAAAGTGAAGAAACGAGGGGGCTGGCCTGCCTCGAAGTCAGGGGCCCATCCTGGAGTCATCTGGGCTTTTCCTGCAGGACTTGTTGGCATGGAAGGTGCCTGTGAGCAGGAGGGATCGTGCTGTTACTGTTTTTTGCTGACGGTTGCCTGAAGCCGAGTGGGCTCCCGAGCCTGCTCTGCTGACAGGAGCTGTGCACCCAGAACACCCAGCTGCCTCTGTGAAAGTGAGGGCAGGGAGTCCCGGGGTCCTGGAGTGGCCCACGCCGGCCTGGAAGGGAGGCAGCTTGCCCGAGGCCCCGGACTCCAGGCTGGGTGCGGCCTGGGCTCCACACTGAAGGCGGGAGTGGCTGCTTTCTGTCACTGCACTCAGCGAGGCTGGCGGCTCTGCCGGCTCCCCGTCCCCAGGGCCCTCCCCTCTCTCACATGCTTTAATGTCTTCTCTTCCTGAAGGGCGGAGAAGAGAGGTCAGCCTTGACCACAGCATGAAGATAGCAGGAAGTGTATGAGCAGCTGTTGGTGGTGGAGACTTCAGGAGGGAGGAGGTGGCTTTTCATATTTACCAAGGGCTCATTCTCCCTTCCATGTCATTGGGGCGTGAGCTAGTTCCATTGTAAACTTGTCTGGTGGTGGAGTGAGAGGCTGGAGCTCAGAGCCTTGGGAGCCTCCTGCCGCTGCCTTGCTGTGTGTCTCGGGGCAGGTTGCTTCCCCTCTCTGGGCTCACCAGCAACCAGATTCAGACGGTCTAGAGGACTGATGAGTGTTCCCCTGGTTCTTCCAGGGGACAGCCCATTCTTGGGGGACATGGGCAGCCCCAGAAGGAAACTTGTTCCTTGAGCTTTGATACATATCCTGAGATCTGAACCTGGGAACTGCAGGTGGAGGCCAAGGGAAAAACCCAGTGAGCCCAGGGTGGGGTGTGCAACGGCATCCAAGGACGTGGAGCAAGAAGACAAGGCATAGACCAGGCCTGAGCCAGGGCCTCGAGTTCCCTTAGCCTTACCTCAAGGCGGGCTGAACTGCAGCCTAGTGACTGGGGCTGGAAGCTGGCATTGAGCCCATGCCATCCATTCGTCACGGTTTGCTGTAAATAGAATCATATTGTTCACTATTTAGTACACTGTAAATAAAATGGCAGCAATATCTTCATTATTAACAACTTGGGCACGGTGCTAGTGACTGTATGTGTCTTCCCATTCACTCTTCACAATAATGCAATGAGGTGGTATTGACATTATCGTCATTCTATAGACTGAAGATATCAGGGCACAGAGAGGTTAAGTGACTTGTCCAAAGTCACACAGCTACTAAGTGGCAGAACAGGATTTGAACCCAGGCCTATACTGTCTTTTAATAAAAATAGTGAAAAAAAGACCTGAAGGAATATTCACTAGATAGCTCTCCATTAGGACGCTGTCGGGGAGGCTGAGCTGGTAAGCCCAGCTGGCTACAGCTAGTTGTCCCCAAAGAGATCACTTGAGCTTCACACCTGGAGAAAGGAGAAATCTGCCCACCTAGCCCTGGCTCTTCCCTCTCCAGCATCTGGCCTGGGCCTGGCCGGCAGGCTTCCAAAAAGAATGTTTAACTTTACCCAAGGACTCGCTCCAGGGTTTCCTTTGCAGAAGGACCTGGACCTTCAGTCATTAAAGGGATTTAATTTTCAAGCTGAGACATGAGTGTGAACATTTCAGATACAAGCTTTCGTGTGTGTGAAGAAAGAGATGCATGGATCAGTAGAGGTGAGTGGGGTGCCAGAGGATGGGCCAGACAGCAGGGACAGGCTCCAGAGAGGAGAGAGGAGAGTTGTGACTAGAGAGTGGGCGCCTCTTTGTGTTTGTGTGTGTGTGTGTGTGTGCTTGCAGGCACGTGTGTGTGTTCATGTCTGCAGGTGCATGTGCACATTGGTGTGCATATGTGCATGCACTGGTGTGTGTGTGTGTGTGTATGTGCACATGTGTGGTGGCTTTCTGTTGTCGATGCGGAGGAGGTTGGGGGGTTGCAAGGTTGCAGCACTGTCCAAGGCCATGTGGCCGTGTAGTGGCAGAACAAAGCACACGGGGTCTGTGGCACATGGGAGCCAAAAGCACAAATAAATAAAGCAAGCAGTCCAGGCTGCAAATAGATGCAAGCCCGAGGAGCCCCCAGGTGGCTGCCAGCTCCCTCCCCGAGTGGAGCCCTGGCCCTGGACTCGGGGAGGAAGAGGCCCACCCCAACCTTCATGCAGGGCCAGGGCCTGGGCCGGGACCTGGAGCCCTTCTCGGAGAAAATCCTTTCTTAGCTAGCTGCTGCCTACTGCATTGATTCCACCACCATTCAACTCTCTTCTACTTTCTGTGGCCGGTAGGCCTGGCCTCTAAGCCTTTCCACGGCTTAGGGCAGAAGGTGGTTTGCTCTGGCGACTGCTGAGGTTTTCTGGGTTCCTCCTATTCCCCAGTTGGCCTCCACTTCCCATCTCCAAGGTGTGGGCAGAGACACTAGGGTAAGCAGGGACACCAGGACTCTGGACAGCTGCTGGGTGGTTTTAGTGCCTGTGGAAATTTCATGTGGAGCCTTCCTGAAGTATTGAACCAGTCTTTCCTCACCCTCTTGCTTAACCCCTTTCTCTGCAGTTCCAGGGAGTATCTTGAGCAAAGGGTCCATCCACCCATCCATATGCCCTTCCTTGCTTCTATCCGTCCACCCATTCATTCATCTGTCCATCCATCCATCCATCCATCCATCCATCCATCCATCTTTCCTTCCTTCCTTCTATCCATTAACCCACTCATCCATCCATCTGTCCTTTTATTCATTTACAAATGGACATCCTTCCATGTTTTCTTCCATCCTTCCTTCCATCCAGCCACCCATCTCCACCCATTTACCCACCGATCCATCTATTCATCCATATTTCCTTCCTTCCTTCTACTCACACACCCATTCATTCATCCACCCATTGACCCATCTACCCACCCATCTATCAATCCATATTTTCTTCCTCCCTTCCTTCTATCCACTCATCCATTCATTAACCTGTTCATCCATCCACCCATCCACTCTTTCTTCTCTTCCTTCCTTCTGTCCATCCACCCACTCATCAATCTGTCCATTTATCCATCTACTCATCTATCTGTATTTCCTTCCTTTCTTTCATCTACCCACCCACCCATCCTCCACTCATTCACCCATCCATCCATTCACCCACCCATCCTCCATCCATTCATCCATCCATCCATCCATTCATCCATCCATCCATCCATCCATCCATCCATCCACCTTTCACCCATTTATTCATTCATCTGCCCGTCCATCCACCCATTGACCAATTGATTGATTGTTCTGTAAAGCATTGATGCTACCTGGTGAAGTGTTCACCTGGTTCCCATCCCCACTTTGCTTGCTCTTTGATGTAGGACACAGATCCAGGCAAAGACAATTCTGAGAGAGCAGAGCTGTAGGAGGAAAAGTGCCAGCTCTGTGGGAGCTCAGTGCAAGGGCTCCATGCTGAGGGGCATTTGCTTCTCAACTCCTGCGTGCTGGTCACGGTGGGATAGCGCTAAAGGGGACTGTGCTATCTGACCGCGTTGCCTACCCAACTCCATTGTATGTGTGTGGGCAAGTACTTCACCAGTGTGAGTTGCCTTAGAAGCAAACGGAGAATGCATGAGGCAACAGGACATAATCGCGATAATGAGAAAAATAATGGGATGGTCATCACTTACTGAGTGCCTACCGTGTGCTGGCATCACACCAAACACCAGGCCCAGATTCTTTCGTTTAATTCTCTCAACAATCCCATTTTACAGAAGAGGAAGTGGAAATTCAGAGGAATTAAGGTAATTGCTCTGATCTGAGGTCAGAGCCTGGGAGAGTTCGGGTTCTACCACTGTCACAAGCTGTGTGACCTTGGCCAAGGCTTTTAACTGCTCTGAACAGCAATTTCTTTATCAAAAAAGAAGGATTTGCCATGGAATTGTGGCTCTTCATCGTTTCAAGCCCGTGAACTGCATTTTAATGCCAACCCTTCGAGGATCTCTTCACGTGCCGGCACTTTTATTTTTAGGTTCCATTGGTTGAGAAAACTCACAATGACAAAAAGCTACTTTGAATTCAGTAGTGGTTTAAAATCAATTTGTATTTGATTATTTGCAACTGCATGCATATACATTTGAAAAATAACCCTGAGATGGGCATTATTTATTCAGGCTACACATGCAGGATGGGTGTGTGGATCCTGGTCTGTGCATTAAGACTCTGTAGCCTCCCAGGGGTCAGGCCCACATGCCCTTGTCCCTTCCAGATCTACATTCTATATTCAATAATGTGGCCAGCTCCTGCTTCCCCATCCCCTTGGATATCAATGAGAGAAGACAGAAACAGATAGGACAACGAACAGAGAGACTCTGATGGAGGTTGACTGTGATGCCAACAAGACAGAAGGAGGAAGGGAGAGGGTCTGCAGTAACCCCCCGCCCCCCCCGCCACCTCAATGGGCTCCACAATGAGGCTAGTTCCTCAAGAGTCCATTGCCCAGAAGCAGATGGCACAGCCAAGCAGAACACGGCGTCAGATGCTGGCCACCCCTGTTTCAGGTGAAGGTCTCCATCATGAGTATCTTTTGCTCATCAAAGATTGTAATTAGTCCAGGCTGAGAACTGGAGGTGCCAATGTGGGGTGGGGTGGGAGAGATTGCTGGGGGGATCCCACCAGCCATTCTGAGGGGAGATGGCTGCAGCTGGTGCTGGGCTAGGGGAAAGAACAGGACAGTGCTGACCAGGCATTGGGGGTGACAGGGGCCCTGGGGAGTCTGACCGATTCTGCCCAGGGCTGACTGGTACCACTGATCCAGCAAGCTAAGTTCTTGAGGGGCTCTTTCTGGATGGAGGTACCCAAGAGGAAGGCGTGGTGGTGGTGCTGGGGCTTTGTACCACGGGACCACTCTGGCATTTGCCAGTTTCCTCCTAGATTCCAAAACAGAAAACACAGAAGGCTGGGAATCACGACAGACTTTCAATTTGTCATTCCCTTCTGGGCTTAGATTTGGGTTAAGTGCAGACATTAGCATTCTGGCCTCCCTGGGGAATGGGAAGCAGAGCTTGTCCTGCCTCCCTCTCCCTCTCTTCCAAGGTCTCCTTTTCCTGCCTCCCTGCTGGCACAGGGGGCTCAGCTCATGACGCAACTGCAGGCAAAGGAGGCTCTGGTGGGGTCTCGACTGCTGGCTCTCCCTTGAGCCCGGGGAGGCTGCCTGTGGCCAGCAGCATGGCTGCTTGCCCAGGGGAGACAGACTGGGCTTGCACTGCTGGTTTCAGCCTTTTGAAAGTTGCTAGTGAGCTGGAGTTGGACTTTGGGTCTTGCAGACCATTTGTTGAATGATTTCAGGATCATACAAACACTCCAATAAAGGAGGTTACAGTTTGGATTTTACTGTGTGCCGTGTTAGCATCCAGATACTTCCAAGCAGCTGGCCGTTCCTCCCACCCCATCTAGATGAGCTCCCGTAATGTTTTCCCTCACAGCTCCTGGTTCTTTTTCTTCAAGCATGTCTCACAGTTTGCAGTTACTTGGCCCGTGTATTTGTGTGTCACTCTCCCCACTGGGGGTGAGTGCCATCAGGAAAGGATTCATACCCATGGCTCTCCAAAGTCACAGCTTATGGACTGGATGGATGTATGGTTGGTTGGATGGAAGGATGGATGGATGGAAGGATGGATGGATGGATGGATGGGTGGATGGATGGATGGGTGGATGGGTGGATGGATGGATGGGTGGATGGGTGGATGGAAGGATGGATGGATGGGTGGAAGGATGGATGGATGGATGGGTGGATGGATGGATGGATGGGTGGATGGGTGGATGGGTGGATGGATGGGTGGATGGATAGATAGATGGGTGAGTGGGTGTGTGGATAGGTGTTTGGATTGATGGGTGGTTGGTGAGTGGGTAGATGGGTGGGTTGATGTTTGAATGGATAGATGGATGAATGGATGGGTGGAAGGATGGGTGAATGGATAGTTGCATGGATAGATGAGTGGGTGGGTGAACGGAAGATGTAGTGGAAAAATGAATGAATGGTTGGATGACTGGATAGTTGGATGAGGGGTGGGTGGGTGGGTGGATGGGTGGACAGGTGGTTGGATGGATAAATGAGTGGGTGGGCAGATGGGAGGGGTGATGGAAGAATGGAGGGATGGTTGAATGAGTGGATGAATGGATGAGGGGTAAGTGATTTGCTTGAGTGATAGAAAGCAGTGGAAGTGATACTTTGCGACTGCTGAGGTGAGGGTGGAAAAGCCTTCTGGCTTCTGCCTGTGTCCGCTGCCTGGAAGACAATTAGACATCACCTCTCAATAAGAGGAGAGTCCAAGACTTGGCAGCCATTTTTAACCCACCACACCAAGTAGCTATTCATCCAGATTGGCTTGAAAAAGATGGAGTCCTTGGGAATCTATTGGACCTTGAAATCTATCAGACCTTGAAATCTATCCTCCACATGTAATTCCCTTCCTTCACATGTCAGCCCACTGAAATTATGTTTATGTTAGGCAAGTTATGTTATGCAGATCAAACGCCCCCAGTCTTCCAAGCCTTTGGGGATGAGTCACAGTCACGTGTACAGCCAACTGTGCAGGTGTGTTTATCTTTATCTGTGTTAGCGCAGAACCTGGGCCTCAGTCAGTTTGTGTTCTCTCCCCTTCCACCATCCACTGGGGGCCCTCACATGCCCTTGATGGTCAGCCCTGACCTCTTCCCATCACTCCTGGCTGCCACCTTGGTGTCATAATGGGTGGCCTGGACCTCAATCCTTGCCTGATTTCTTTGGAGGGATGGGGAAACCATCCACCCCTCGCTGTTCTGTGGTCTTGGGGGCCCCATCCTAGGCTGCCTGAGCTCTGGAGGACAGCAGGGAGGAGTGCAGGAGGCTCACCTGGCCCCACACTCATCACTTTTCTTTCCAGGACAGGCCGAGAGGGTGCAGGTACTTGTCCTTGAGCCCTGTGACTCCATTATCTCAGGGAACCAGAATCCTCCCCTCAGGGGCCCCATCCCTCCCTGGCATCGTGTTCTCCAGTCTTCACAGATGTGCCCGTGGGTGCCCCTAGCCAGGTCCAGACGTGGCCCACGTTCTCCTCCTGGAAGTCTACTCAGCCTCCTTGTAAACAGGACCTAAGAAAACAGATGCAGGAAGACTTTTGCACCTCAGCTCAGCCCAGCTGGGACCCAGGGACCTCAAAAGCCCCTTCTCTGCAAAGCTCCCGTCCATCCCCCACCATCACCAACACCCCCTCCCCAGCCCCCAACAAGGCTTCCTCAGAGTTTGCCAGGTCCTCTGGTGATGTGTGCACACGTCAGTCACCCCACGAAAGGAAGTGAGGTCGTAGGGGTGAGGAGATGCATCTTAGTCTCAGCACAGTGCCCTCCAAAGTGACCCAAGAAAGGTGGCCCCACAAGGAGGAAGGAGGTGGGAGATGCGTTTTGCAATTCAAGATATGGGTAAAACTCATTACAAATCAAAAGTCTGGTGTGCACACACGCTGTGCGGCTTGTAGAACAGCCAGGTTCAGTTCTCCCTGCCGTCTGCTGCATGGGAGTAGCCTGGTCTCCTGGAGACCGTTTCTAAGACCTTGCATGCAAGACACGGCATCAGCCCCACACCCGCAGGGCTAATACACAGCAGAGGTGGGAGTCAGGCCCCGGGGGCCTGGCACGAGCAACTGCACCAAACCACTGGGTCGCACTGCCTGTGATGGAGGAAAGCGGGGGCTCCAGCAAGCCCACCCACACCCACACTCCACCCTGGAGCCAGGCGCCTGCAGTGCTGCGTTTCTCACCTTCCTGACTCTGGGGAGGAGGGGCAGCTGGGGAGCCATGCTGACCTCCTGGACATGAACTGGGAAAAGGTTATTTGTTTTTGTTTTTTTAATTTTTTTTTTCTTTTTTGAGACGGAGTCTCGCTCTGTTGCCCAGACTGGAGTACAGTGGCGTGATCTTGGCTCACAGCAACCTCTGCCTCCTGGCTTCAAGCAATTCTCCTGCCTCAGCCTCCCAAGTAGCTGGGATTACAGGTAAGTGCCACCACGCCTGGCTAAGTTTTTTGTATTTTTAGTAGAGACGGGGTTTTCCCATGTTGGTCAGGCTGGTCTTGAACTCCTGACCTCAAGTGATCTGCCTGTGTCAGCCTCCCACAGTGCTGGGATTATAGGCAGGATCCACCGCACCTGGATGAAGAGGCCTCTTTTTCTGGTGGCTTCTGTCCCACTGGCTGGGTGGCCATGGGGAAACCAGAAGTCCGATTCAGACTTAGGCTCTGGGAGTGCTCACCCGGCCTTCGGACCCCAGGACATATGCCAGCCACGGATATAAGGTTGAGAAATTATCCGGCCCAAGTGGTGAAGTTCAAAGTTGAGAAAATTGAGGTCCCAAGAGGGGAAGTCATTACATTAGGGCTTCCCAAGAACAGACCCAGAACTGGAATCCGTACCTCCCGACTCCCTGATGCTTCCAGAGAAGAAGTGGGGTGTACATATAAATAAAGAGAGGGGTGAAACCAACAAGAAAATGACACGTTCTGTTGGCTCCCTGAATGCCAGTCGCACCTTGCCTCACCTCAACCCCATCAGCTGCCTCTAGTCTTCATCAACCCTCACCTCTTAGAGGTTCCCCTAGCTGGGCTTATCTTCCTAACCTGGACCCCCAGGAAGAGTCCCTGGGATGTCAGTGTCTCTAGAGAGGCCCATGGGTACCGTGTTGGGAGGCCCGTTGACTGTCCCTTTGACATTATTCACTCATTCATTCATTCAGCACCTACTTCTTAAACACTTGCTGTGCGCCAGGCCCTGTGATCTCCTCCAGGATGGAGAGGCAAACCGGGCTGAGGTGGTCCCTGCCCTTGTGATGCTGAAAGTCCACAGGGGACACAGGCTTTCAAACAAGCACGAGAGTTCCTTATGATAAGGGAGAGGCGGTTCTCATCTTCCTGGAAGAGCTGATGCTCATGACGAGAAGTGAAGGATGAGTAGGGGATGGCAGAGACATCTGCAGGTGCCAAGCCCGGGAAAGGAGAGAATGTGGCCTATGGGGTCCTGAGCGTCTAGAGGGAGGACACAGAGGGAGCCGTGGCATCGAGGAGGCTGCCGAGGTGAACAGGCCCATGAGGACAGGGAGGAACCCCTGGAGGATCCTGGGGCTGTGTCAGGAGGGCCTTAGAGGCCGCATTGGACCTCGCTCTACCCTGTCCCTGGCAGGTGGATGTGAGTCCACCCAGGTATTCGCAGCACTGCAGGGCTCACTCCTTGACGAGGTGGCCTTTCCCTGCCCATCGGCTCTGTTAGTTCCTAGCAGGTTCCTGCTGTCAGGCTAAAGCCTGCTCCTGCTTCCCGATGTGCCACCACTGCGCCCAGGGTTCTGGGGCCACAGAACTCATCTCATCCCTCCCTTGGCTGCTGTCCAAGTTTCTGAAGGCCAAACACCACCCCTATAAATCTTTTTGTTTCTTAGATCAAACTCAACCAGCTCTGCCTTCCACACCTCCTATTAACAGGATGTACTACATAGCAGGCAGGCACCTTTGAGGGTGATGGCCCAGCCTCCCATAGTGCTGGGGGCCCACGTTTTAACTACCACCCCCTTAACCCATGTTGGTTCTGTGGGACCTCCCCCACCACCCCGGCCACAACTGCCCAGGAACTGGGCCCAGATCGGCCCATCAACTCCGTTCTCTTTGGGACCACTGTTATGACCCAGCCATTGGGTGAGGGCGGTCCCAGGGGGAAGTTGCTGAAGGCAGCCACCTTCTGCTGAGGGGGGCGGGAGTGGAGGGTGGGGGTGGGAGAAGGGGCAGTGCCTGGGTGTCGGGCCTTTGCTAGCTCCGCAGCTACCCTCCCTCAGGGCCAGCGCATCTCTGCCCCAGGGCACTGCTCCGCCCCACCCCCTGGCTGAAGCTGGGGTTCCCTTCCTTGCAGGCAAAGCTCTCCCAGCGCCTTCTCCTTTCCCTCCCTGTCCTTACCTCCCTCTCCTCTCCTCGGCACCAACTGGGTGAACTCAGCTTGCTAGGATCTCTTTTGAAATAAGGTGCCTGCAGCAGAGGCCAGGGGAGGGGCTCCTGCAGGTGCAGGGGGAAGAAGATTGTCTTGGAGATTCTGCTGCTTCTACGAGTGAGCCTTGGCCAGGGCAGGCTCTCTGGGCTTCAGAGCCAAGCCCTGGGACAGGAAATGTTCCTGTCGATGTTGCCCCCCTGCAGAGGGTGCCCACCTGCGGCCAAGGGTTATGGCTGGGGTTGCAGGCCTTTTCCCCTCAGTCACTTCCCTGCAGCCCCAAGCCTGGGGAGCTTCTTTAGTTTCTGAGAAAGTTCCTCTCCCGGTTGTTAAAGAGTCCTTTAAGGCAGCCACCATCTTGCCCAGGAGCCTATGATTAGGATGTTACTATTATTTTCGTTATTGCGATGTATGATAACAATGAACACAACTTCTGCTGAGAACCCACAAAAGCCCTGGCTGGGAGAAAGCCCACGGGGACACTTCTCCAGGACTGAAGAGGG
The DNA here is from genome assembly GCF_000001405.40 of Homo sapiens. NCBI lineage: Eukaryota > Metazoa > Chordata > Mammalia > Primates > Hominidae > Homo > Homo sapiens. Next base: position 77,853,856 of record NC_000017.11, on the reverse strand, counting down.
CTCGTCCCACCACCCCTCGCAGCCCGGGGATCTCCAGGGCCACACATTGGCTTCATTGAGCCCAGGTCCCATGGAGCTGTAGACTGTTGGGGTGGGGACAGTCCTTGTCACCTGGAATAATCTGTTCCTTTGAGGAGAGGGCCATGGGGCCTAGCGAGGGAAGGGATGTACCCAGGGGCATGGTGTGAGGCAGCTGCAGGGCCTGGACCAGAGATCCGCAGACTCCAATTCCGGGCTCCAACCCTGGGCTCCAATCCGGGTTGCTGGGCTCCCTGGTGTTTCCTCTCCCAGGAGGGCTGGGGGTCTTAGACCAGAGATGTGGGCCAGTGGAAGAGGACGGCCCTCGCCAGGGCAGGCCATGGCCCTTCTCGCTGGACTCTTACCTTCGCCTGTCTCTTCTGCCCAGGCCAGCCAGGGTCATGCTGATGATGTGGCAGGTGTGGCCTGGGCTTTGGGTCCAGTTCCTGGAAAGGGCCAGCCAGAGGCTTGACAGGGAGGCTCCGAGGCCAGGGCTTGGCTGGGAACGTTTGGAGTCTGGGGGACTCCTCCATCAGGGAGCGTCAGCCATCATCACAGCTGGCTGATCTGGCACGGGTGTGGCTAGGTCCTTCCCTAAGGCCCCATTCCCAGAGCGTCGATGGCACAGCTTTGAGACCAGACAGCTGCATTTCTATCAGGCAAGGGCGGGCGTTCGGCTGAATGCCCATGCTTGCCTGCTCATTTTTAGGTGTCATTAAGGGAACAATCCCTGAAAAAGGCAGTGGGCAACCCCCTCCTGGGCGGCCCAGTCAGCACCTGGCCTGGGCCATGCATGATTTAGGTGCTGTGTCTGCTCGCAGGGAACACTCGCCTGATTGTCAGCCACAGGGCGCCCTCCTCCTCGCCTCGCCTTGGCAGCAGCACTCTGGGCTTGGGGGCACGGAGGTGAGGCACTCCCTCTGTGTGACCAGGGCAGGAGCCAGGCTGCCCGCGGTGCAGGGCCCCCCTCCACCCCAGCTCCTGCCCACGCCGCGGCTCTGCCCTGCCGCCTCTCTGCCTCCACCAGCCGGGAGCTCAGTCGGCACATGCGCTAGTGCTTTACCCTCCTGAGTCTTTCATGGTGCTCTAGAATATTGTTCAAGCATATGCGACGGGGTCACTGCAGGGCTGCGTGCTCCAGCAGCAGGGTCGGGAAACAGAGCAGGCAGAGGTGGCGAAGGTGGGGGTGGGGGCCTGAGAGAGGTCGCGGAGGAGGCACAGACCTGAGTCCCAGCCTCAGCTGGTGAAGGACCAGGGCAGCTTCAAGAAGCAGGCGGAATCTCCCAGCAGTGGGCACTGCTGCTGGCCGTGTGCACACACATGCATGTGAGCGGAAGCGCACACACACAAAAACACACACACAAACACACAAACACACGCTTGTGCACACACATAAACACATATACAAATAAACACACATAAACACATGCACACACACAAAACACACACACATACACAGAACACAAACACATGCTCGCAAACACAAACACATGAAACTCGCAAACACACATAAACACACACACATAAACACACACAAACATATGCACACACACACAAACGCATGCACACACAAACACACACAGAACGCACAGAAACACACAAACACACACACATAAACACACAGACACACACAGATGCACATGCACACATAAACGCACACACATGCATGCACAAACATGCACACACATACATAAACACACAGACACACTCACATGCACAGACACACAGATGCATATGCACACATAAACACATGCACACACACACGCACACACACAAACACATACACACACCTAAACACACACACACAGACACACACAGATGCACAGGCACACATACACACATGCACACACACATGCACACACACACAAACACATGCACACACAGACACACAAGCATGCACACAAGCACACACGAACACACACAGACACATAAACACACACATACGCATGCACGGCATCAGGAGGGGTCTATGGATAGTCCTGGCTCAGAGAGAGGTGGAGACAGAAGAAGAGGGGCCCAGATGGAACAGGAGGAAAGCAGGACAGTGGGCAGGAGGATGGCGGGAGGCCCTGGAGGAACAGAGAGAGCTGAGAAGGAACACGGAGGAGAAGGCAGAGGCCCTGGCTGCAGCCCCTGTCCTCCTGTTCAAGCCCATTTCAGGGGCTTTTGTCATGTGGCAATCCAAGTTCTCCCCACTCCCCATGCTCCTACCCCATGAGAACATAGACAAGGCCACTGACGCCTGACCCCCAGACATGGTCCCCTGGCCTGACAGAGATGAGCCGTGTGGGCCTTTCCCCAAATCGACAACAAACGTGTCCATCAAACCCACCTTGCACTGATGCTCACAGAGAACAGAGAAGGAGGGATGCCTCTCGGCTCCTTTTATGAGGCAGTTTAACCCTGATACACAGACCTTCCGACCGAAACGTTGAGAAAAGAAAAGAAAATTACAGGTGGGCCTCACTCATGAATATGAGTGCAATCGTCCTAAGACAAACACTGGCAACTCCAACCAAACAACATGCAGAAAGTGAACACGTCACAACCAAGTTGAGTTTATTCCAGGAAGGGAGAGGTGGTTTAATAATGGAGAGCCTATCAGTGTAAGTCACTGCATTAACTGAATAAAGGAGAAGCCTCACCTTGAGAGAGTCTGAGAGGGCATTTGTAATCCACATCCATATCTATGATATGTCTATGTCCGTATCCATATTTATATCCATATCCATATCCATATCTACATCCATATCCATATCCAGTCTATACATATTTATATCTATATCCACAACCATAGCTATATCCACATCCATATCCATATCTATATCCACATCCATATCCATATCTATATCCATATCTATATCTATATCCACATCTATATCCATATCTATATCTATATCCACATCTATATCCATAGCCAATCTATCCATATCTATATCCATATCTATATCTATATCCACATCTATATCCATATCCAATCTATCCATATCTATATCCATATCTATATCTATATCCATATCCATATCCTTATCAATATCTACATCCATATCTATATCCATATCCACATCTATATCCATATTCACATCTATATCCATATCCAATCTATCCATATCTATATCCATATCTATATCCATATCTATATCTATATCCATATCTATATCCTTATCAATATCTACATCCATATCTATATCCATATCCACATCCATATCCATATCCACATCCATATCCATTTCCAATCTATCCATATCTATATCCATGTCTATATCCATATCCATATCTATATCCATATCCATATTCAACCTATCCATATCTATATCCATATCCACATCTATAGCCATATCCACATCTATATCCATATCTAATCTATCCATATCTATATCCATATCTATATCCTTATCAATATCTACATCCATATCTATATCCATATCCACATCCATATCCATTTCCAATCTATCCATATCTATATCCATGTCTATATCCATATCTATATCCATATCCATATTCAACCTATCCATATCTATATCCATATCCACATCTATATCCATATCCAATCTATCCATATCTATATCCATATCTATATCTATATCCACATCTATATCCATATCCAATCTATCCATATCTATATCCATATCTATATCCTTATCAATATCTACATCCATATCTACATCCATATCCACATCTATATCCATATTCACATCTATATCCATATCCAATCTATCCATATCTATATCCATATCTATATCCATATCTATATCCTTATCAATATCTACATCCATATCTATATCCATATCCACATCTATATCCATATTCACATCTATATCCATATCCAATCTATCCATATCTATATCCATATCTATATCTATATCCATATCTATATCCTTATCAATATCTACATCCATATCTATATCCATATCCACATCTATATCCATATCCACATCCATATCCATTTTCAATCTATCCATATCTATATCCATGTCTATATCCATATCCATATCTATATCCATATCCATATTCAACCTATCCATATCTATATCCGTATCCACATCTATAGCCATATCCACATCTATATCCATATCCAATCTATCCATATCTATATCCTTATCAATATCTACATCCATATCTATATCCATATCCACATCTATATCTATATCCACATCCATATCCATTTCCAATCTATCCATATCTATATCCATGTCTATATCCATATCTATATCCATATCCATATCTATATCCATATCCATATCTATGTCTATACTCATATCTATGTCTATGTTTAGTGCCCGGAATATATAAAGAACTTCAGTATGAAAGGACAGCTGAGCCCCCACGTTTACTGCAGCACTATTCACGGTAGCCAAGAGATGAGATCAACCTCAGTGTTCATCAAGGACGCTGGATAAGGGAAATGTGGTTCATATGCCCAGTGGAATATTATTCAGCCACGAAAAGAATGAAATCCTATCATGTGCAGCAACATGGATGGAACCGGAGGTCATAATATTAAGTGAAATTAGCCAGGCACAGAAAGACAGATACTGCATGTTCTTATATGTGGGAGCTAAAAAAATGGATCTCATGGCAGTAGAGAGTAGAACAGTGGTTCCCAGAGGCTGGGAAGGGTAGGGAGTTGGAAAGAAGATGAAGAGAGGTTGGTTAATGGGTACAAAAATACAGTTAGATAGAAGGAATGTGTTCTAGTGTTCAATAGCATGGTAGGGTGACTATGGATATCAATAATTTGTAGTGTATTTCAAAATAGCTAGAAGATTCAGAATGTTCCTAACAAAAGGAAATGGTAAATGTTTGAAGGGATACATGTCCTAAAATCCCAATTTGATCATTACAGATTGTATGCATGTACCAATATATCACATATACCCCATAAATACGTACAATTATTATGTGTCTATTAAAAACCCAAAGTAAAAAAAGAAGGTGATGGCGTAGAAAAAGGTGCTCAACCACATTAGTCATCACAGAAATACAAATTACAATCACAGCATTACACCGAATCCAAGAGAGTGGTTCAAAAGAAAAAGACATCCCAGATGTTGGTGCCGAGGGGCAGCTTGGGGCCTCCCACAATGGTGGAGGGAGGGTGAATTGGTACGACCACTTGAGAAAGCTGGCAGGACCTACTGCAGCCAAACACATGTCCACCCAACAGCCCAGTAATTCCCTTCCCAGGCATTTCGCAAAGGAAACGTGTGCAAATGTTCACCAGGAGACTGCTCATGACAGCACCGTAATAGCCCAGACTGAAAACCGAGCCAAGCATCCATCCACAGAGGCATATGGATATATGGATGGTGCTTTGTTCATGAGATGGGCTGGGCTACAGCAGTGAGAGGAAGGAGCTATGACGTCATGTGGTGAGGCTCAGACTCCACGTGGGAGGAGAGAGGCCAGATGCAAGAGCGTACCTGTCGTGTAATTCCAAAGGAGGCCAGATTAACCTCTGGCGTTAGTAGTCAAGGTCGTCGTTGTCTTGGGGGTATTAATGACAGGAAGAGGTAGAAGAGGACTCGGGAGCTGGCAGTATTTTCTTCTTGATCTGAGAGCTGAGGACATGAAGGTACTCACTTTGTGAAAGTCCAAATGGAGTTGGACACATAGTGTTAGACTTTTCTTTATTCATACTGTACTGCAAGAGAAAGTTAACTTAAAAGAAGCTGATGCAACAGGGACCCCCAAGAAGAAGGTCTTGAGCCCAGTTGGGGGCGCTTACTCCGGGCTTGCATTCGTGCACTGTGAGGCTGAAAGTGGGACAGAGACCACATGGTTTTCAGAAGGTCGTCACAGCCATGGACATCCCAGCCACGGACTTCAGAGAGCGCCATGCTTCCGAACGCTCACTCTCTGAGAAGACACAGCACGGGGTATGGAGGGTCTGGGCAGATGACTTGTCCAAGGCCGCTCACAGGGAAGACCAGAGCTCAGCATCCCAGAGAACCCTGCCCAGTGCTCATTCTGAGATCTCGTCCCTGTGTGACTGGTGGCTCTGCCTGGGGACAGCGGCTATTTTCTTCCCTCTACTGGTGGACTTTGGAGCCTCCATCGTTCCTGGTCTGGGGTCCTGATGACTTGCCCACCTCCAGGCTGTCCTTGACCTGCCAGTCAAGTGGATGAAACATGTCAGTGCTACATCAGATCCCCACCCACTGAGAGCCTGGGGCCTGGGTGACCCCTGCAGAGCCAGACCAACTCAAAGGAAAAGAGCAACACAGTCCTAGGAGGCTGCTGTGGCAGGAACAGGGGAGTGGAGGCAAAAGGGGAAGCCTTGCCACCTCAAAGACCGGGGAGGGAGGGACTCAACAGTCTTGGGCAGAGTCCTGGGTCCACCCCTCGAGATCCTGTTCAAGTAGGCCGGGGAGGGTGGGAGCCCAGGACTGCTTTTCGCCAAATGCCGCAGGTGAGTCTTGGGCAGGTGGGCTTCCTGCACAGCTGGAGGCAAGCCTGGGAGAAGGGCTCTCGGCCGGCCCTGCCTGAGGTTTCTTTATCGCGTCCCTGATGCCATCAGAGGGGCAGTGCTTGGGGGTGGCCAGAGGCAGAGTTTTGGGACGGGAGGAGGCTCTGCCACTCACTGGCTGAGTTCCTTGGGCAAGCTGGGCCTTTCAGATCTTCAGTCTCCCCATATGGTAGGGCCTCCTCTCAAGGCTTCTTTGGGGATAGGAGTGAGTCTGCAGCAAGCAGCTGCCCACCCCACTGCACTCCACTTGCTGAGAGGGAGACAGGAAGCTGCTTTCCCATCCAGCGATGATCACAGCTCCATCCTGGACCTGCAAGGTGCAGATGTGTGAAGACCACGTGGGTGCTTGACCACCTGTGGCATTTGCAAAGCAGTGAGAAGAGTGAGGCTGTCCATGCCAGGCTGTCTGGCTGGTCCCCAGAGGCCACACCCACAGGTTGCCTGGAACTGGGGGCTCCTTACTTATCTCTGCCCCCAAGCTCTGGGTGTTCCTCCCCTTCCTGCCTTGCTGCTACCCTGAGACTTCCCCACCCCATGCCCAGCCTGCGGTAGACAGTCCAGGCCTTCACACACCCCATCCCCAGGGCCTTCTCTCTTCCCTCTGATTAACAGTAGCAGGGCCTGAGCCACAAGTGGGAGGCCCCAGAGGAGGAGGTGGAATGTGAGTGTGGTAGAACCTTCCAGGCCCCCCCACCCACAGGAAACACCTGGCCTCCAGGGCGCTGGCTTCACATAGGAGCCCAGAGGAAGCCCAGGACTTCAGGGCCAGCACCTGCCAGGAAGTCCTGGGTGCCAGGGGCTCTGTGGGGAAGGAGGGCCAGTCGGCCCAGGTGGCTCATGGTAGGTCACTGGGGAGGGTGTGACAGAGCTGTCCTGTGGCTGTGCTGGGAAAGAAGGGACCATATGGATTCACGGTGGGGAAAGGGGGCCGGAGGCAGGAGCACCCAGGCCCTGGGTGGTCAACAAATGTGCAGGCAGGAGGGTCCTGGCTGAAGCTGAGGGCACTACTTCTGGCTTTCATGGAACCTTCTGGGACTGTACTGAGCCCCCTCCTGACCCCAGGGGTCTATAATGAATTTGCCTGTTCCAAGATGACCTGTGCGAGGGAATTGCAGCCTCTTCAGGGTGACAAGTGCCAGCCACCCCTGTGGGGTTTCATAGGAGGAGCTGATGGCTGCCCTGACGGTCACTATGCAGTCCCCGGCACCTTGTCCACCCCACTGGGCTGGGGCTCCTCCACCTTGAAGCCCCATGTGTCTGTGGATGAGACCAGCTTCTTGGCTTTTTTCCGCCCAGTCCTTCCCTGACCCTCGGGATGGAGGTGCGAAGAGAGACCCCACAGCTGAATGGTGAGAGCTGCAGCCGTGTCCAGAGTCCACCCTTAGCCTGTGACACCTTCCCTGCAGCCCCGGGAAGCAGAGAGGCCCAGTCCCACCCAGGGGGCCACCTGCGGGCAGCTCTGCGGATTCTCTCCCCACCTGTTTCTCTAGTGTGTCTTGACAGACAGAGGAGACAGACGGCCCCTCCTCAGCTCCCCAGCTGCCAGGGGCTCTGAGTAAAATGCAGTGCCTCTTCCCGCAGGCCTTCTGGGGACAGTGAACTTACCTTCCTACCAAGGGTCATTTCGACAGGAGACAGGAATGATTCTCCGGCCCCAGAGAGGAGCTGCCCCCACGGTCAGGCTCCGACTGACTGAGCTGAGCGAAGGCTAGAAAAACAAGAAGGAAGAGCCCCCCGACACCCTGCAGGGCAGGCCCGTGAGGTGGGGGCTGACTGAGAGGAAAAGGGGGGGCATAGGAAGACATAGCCCTGAGACGTCCTTAGAGGGGCAAAGCAGCGGCCTCAGGAGGTGACCTGCTTGGCTGCTTGGGTCTTGTCCTCCCTGGGTTTTTCTTATCTTTTCTTTTCTTCCTTTCCCTTCGGTTCTCTCTCTCTCTCTCTCTCTCTTTTTTTTTTTTTTTTTTTTTTTTTTGTGAGATGGGGTCTCGCTCTGCCACCCAGGCTGGAGTGCAGTGGCACAATCTCGGCTCACTGCAACCTCCACCTCCTGGGTTGAAGTGATTCTCCCACCTCAGCCTCCTGAGTAGCTGGGATTACAGGGGTCCGTCACCACACCCAGCTAATTTTTGTGTTTTTAGTAGAGACGGGGTTTCGCCATGTTGGCCAGGCTGGTCTCGAACTCCTGACCTCAGTGATCTGCCCACATTGGCCTCCCAAAGTGCTGGGATTACAGGTGCGAGCCACCATGCTTGGCCTCCCTGGGTTTTTCTGAGTAATTTTATGAGGCAGTTTGCAGCAGTCTGGTGGGGAGAATGGCAAATACCCCCCAGTGCCGTTCACTGGACTTGCCCAGTGGAAGAGGGTGGGTGACCAGCACAGGGTGGTGGTCGGGGAAGCCTGACCCCGGTGACAAGCAAATGGCGAGTGGACAAGTAGAGAGAGCCTTTGGAGAAGCATGGGGAGGCAGGCCTGAGCTAGGGGGGACTAGCAGCGACACAGGCTCCAGCGGTCACGGAAGGCGGGCTGGTGGGTGTCCTATGCTCCGGGGCCGGCTCTGTGTTCATCAGTTGTGTGACCTGAAGTACAGGTTTTGTTTTTGTTGTTTTTGGTAAATCAAGGTGAAGCTCACAGCTCAAAATGAGCCGTTTTTAAGTGTACAATTCCTGGCATTTAGTATATTCAATGTTGTGCAGCCACTACTTCTGCAAGTTCCCAAACCTTGGCATCACCCAAGAGGAAACCTCGTACCCAGTGGCAGTCAGTCCTCCTTCCTCCTCCTCCAGCCCCTGGAAGCCACCAATCTGCGTTGTTTGCATGCATTGCCTCCTCTGAACAATTAATAAAAATGTAATCAGTACTTTGGGAGGCTGAGGCGGGCGGATCACCTGAGATCAGGAGTTCAAGACCAGCCTGGCCAACACGGTGAAGCCCCCTCTCTACTAAAACATACAAAAATTAGCTGGAGGTGGTGGCGAATGCCTGTAATCCCAGCTACTTGGGAGGCTCACGCAGAATGGCTTGAACCTGGGAGGCAGAGGTTGCAGTGAGCCGAGATCGTGCCGCTGCACTCCAGCCTGAGTGATAGAATGACACTGACTCCATCTCAAAAAAAAAAAAAAAAAAAATGCAATCAGGTTAAATGGGAGCTTTTGCCTGTGGCCTGTGGCCTCTCTCACTGAGCTTTATGTTCTTAGGCTTCATTCATCTAAGAGCTTCATTCCTCTTTAAGGAATCATATTCCGGTGTATGGATGGACCAAAATTCATTTGTCCATTCATTGTTTGATGGACATCTGGGTTGTTTCCACCTTTTGGCTGGCATGAATAATGCTGCTATGAACGTGTGTGCACATGTATTTGTTTGAGTGTCTATTTTCAGGTTTTTCTGGCTATATTCATAGGAGTGGAATTGTGGATTATATAGCAATTTTATGATTAACTTTTTGAGGAATCACCAAATTGTTTTCCACAGTGGCTGAAACATTTTACATTTCCACCAGCAATGTGTAAGTGTTCTAATTTCTCTATAACCTCACCAACGCTTATTTTCAGTTTTAAAACAAAATTATAGCTGTTGTCGAGCGTGTGAAGTGGCACCTCAACCTCATTGTGGTTTTGATTTGCATTTGCCTGATGACTAATGCTGGTGAGCGTCTTTTCGTGGGCTTCTTGGCCACTGGTATGTCTTCTCTGGAGAAATGTCTACTTACGTCCTTTGCTTGCCCCTTTTTTGATCAGATTCCCAGGCAGGTTTTTTTTTTTTTTTTTTGAGACAGTCTCACTTTGTCACCCAGGCTGGAGTGCAGTGGTGCGATCTCAGCTCACTGCAACCTCCGCCTCCTGGGTTCAAGCAATTCTCGTGCCTCAGCCTCCCAAGTAGCCAGGACTACAGGCATGTGCCACCACAGCTGGCTAATTTTTGTATTTTTTGGTAGAGACGGGGTTTCACCATGTTGGCCAGGCTAGTCTCAAACTCCCAACCTCAAGTGATCTGCCCGCCTTGGCCTCCCAAAGTGCTGGGATTACAAGCATGAGCCACCGTGCCTGGCCCCGAGGGAGAGTTTTAAGCCTCTTTGAGCCTCAATTTTCTCATCTATAAAATGGGGATCATGATAGCGCCTCCTTGGTGGAAGGTGGCCAACCCTCCTGGTTTGCCTGAGATTATCCCAGTTTTTGCAATAGAAGTCTCTTGTCCCAGGAAGCCCCTCAGGCCTGGGCCATCTGGGACAGTTGGTAACCCTACATGGGATTGTCGAGAGGCTGAACCAATAGGGTGCATAGGAAACTCCTAGCACCGGGGACGGCCCAGAGTTCCTGCTCAGCCAATGTCAGCTCTTATTCATTGTAATCCTCTTAGACACATGTGCATGGTAGAGACCTCTGACATGTAAAAATGCAAAGGCAGAAATAAAAATCATCAATAGCCGACCACATGTGGGAAACATTTTGGAAGGTTTTAGTTTTCTTAGGTGATAGAACACTGAATGTGTTAATATAGAGAGGGGGAAGAGGCAGGAACAGCAGTGACTATTTAATGACTCATATTTATTGAATGCTTATTATGTAGCAGCCATGGAAGGGGGAAGTTGGAGGCACAGGATAAAGAGGAGAAAGCTGATGGTGGGAGGGTCCCTTAGAGGCAGGGAGGTGAAAAGGAAGTTGTTGGGGATAATGGCGACACGGACGTTTCCAAGAAGGGAAAGTTTCTTTCGGGTCCTACTTCTTCTCGTGGCCTTTCCATTTCCCTAGAACTTGAAACTCAGCCTCAGCTCCAGCCGACTCACTCACTTGCAGGCAGGGTTGCAGCAGGGGCCTCCTGAAGCCCTGTAGATGCTCTGCCTCTCCTCTCACTGGGCTCAGGCAGGCTGTGCCTCGCCTCTGACATTCCCAGCCAAGGTCTTCAGATCCTGTGGACTCAAATCATCCATTCAACCCTTGCTGAATTCGCCATGGGTCAAGGCCTATACTGCAGCTGCAGGTGCAGTGATGAAGGACCTGGGGGCCCCTTGCAAAGCTCCAGAGCAAATGGACTTGACTGCCAGGAAACTGGAAGCCTGGAGGCTGAACTAGGCTGGGCACTCAGTGCTGGGGAGGCCCCGACACCCTAGGAGGTACACTGGGTGTGGTTATTCCTGGTGGGAGAAGGAGAGCAGGTGCACAGCAGTCCTAAGTGAAAGCAGGAAATGACTACCTGGATCCCTGCTGCAGCCCGCAGAGGCCCGCTGCTCACCTGTGTCTGGCTTTGAGGATACCACATCTAGTTTGCTGGCCAGGGATCAAGGCAGTTCACAGAAAGTAGAGGAAATATCTTTGAGTTGCAAACTCCCAGGATGCAGGGTCTAGGCCTGTCTGGTGTCCCTGTCTCACATTCAGTCACACACAAAGATAGAGAGGCAGAGAAATGCTGGCAGTCAAGAGGCCTGGCTTCTGACACCTGCCATTTACCAGCTATGTGACCTTGAGCAAGTCATGTGTCAGGGTTGGAATAGAGCCTCTTAAAGTGCCGGTCTCCCAAGGAAGGCTATGAAGGTCTGTCCCCCGAGACACAGGGTAAGCAAGTTCCCATACAAGGCCAACTCTGCATTTGAAAGCAGCGAATAAGCTGCTGAGACAACTTCTTGAACCACTCTGTTCTCTATTCTCGACATGTAATTATGGAATATCTTTGATGTGCCTGGAACTTTCCAACAACCCTCTTCTAAGAGGATACAGCAAATCCCTGCCCTCCTGGAGTCCAACTTCTGCCAGATTAGAATTTTTCTTTTTTTTTTTTTCTTGAGATGGAGTCTCACTGTGTCACCCAGGCTGGAGTGCAGTGGTGTGATCTCGACTCACTGCAACCTCCACCTCCTGGGTTCAAGAGATTCTTCCACCTCAGCATCTCGAGTAGCTGGGACTATAGGCATGTGCCACCATGCCCAGCTAATTTTTTTGTATTTTTAGTAGAGATAGAGTTTCACCATATTGGCCAGGCTGGTGTTGAACTCCTGAACTCGAGTGATCTGCCCGCCTTGGCCTCCCAAAGTGTTGGGAATACAGGGGTGAGCCACCGTGCCTGGCCCAGATTAGAATTTTTCTATGTCACTCCAGACTGCAGGGCTTGGAACAATGATTAAAAGCCATAGGGAGATGGATTTGGGTTTGAGGCTAGGAAGAACTTTCTAACCATTCAAGTGACATCAGAATGGAATGAGCTGCCTTGTGAGGGAGTGGTCAGTGTGTCTCTGAAGATGTTCAGGGAGAGTTGGAAGACCTAGCAGATGAGGTGGACAGGGTGGATGCTGGCCCCACGGTCCTACCTGCTGGTGTTCACGGCCTTATGCAGTCCTCTCGCCTTCAGTGCAAGCAGCACCTGTGACTTGCCTTTAACGTTGCAAGAGAATACAGCAAAGTGACGGGATGTCACTCTTGTGATTTCATAAGATTGTGACATCTGTCTTGCTGAGAGACTCTCTTGCTGGCCTTGATGGAGTAAGTGGCCACACTGGGGAGGCCCACAAAGCAAGGAGCTGACAGCAGCCTCTGTCCAATGCATGACATGATGGTGACCTCTGGCCAATAGCCAGCAAGAAAGTGAGGCTTTCCATTTAAGAAGCCACAAGCAACTGAATGCTGCGACCATCCATGGGAGCTGGGAAGCAGATCCTTCCTCGGTTGAGCCTCAGAGAAGCCTGCAGCTCTGATCTTGGCTATAGCTTTTAGATGAGACCCTGAAGCAGAGGGCCCAGCTAAGCCACACCCAGACTCCTGACCCACAGAAACTGTGAGATAACAAATGCGTGTTGTTTTAAGCTGCTGTTTTAAGCTGTTGTTTTAAGTTTGTGATGACTTCGGTTTACAGGAATAACCAGCATGCGATGCCGAGAAGGAGATTCCTGCCTTGGAAGGTCAGACTGGCTCTCCTGTAGAGTCTCTTTACCACCAGGACTTACTTGAGTATCTTTACCTCCTGCATTGCACTTAGTTCAGTTTCTTGCATAACATAGGGACTCGGCGAATATCTGTTAAGTGATATGTGGCGTTAGCACTGGCTTATGCATCGGGGAAACAGGAGGCTGGCCTGTAAGGAGGATGTGTCAGAGCAGCACTGCGGTGGAAGCTGGAAGCCTGGATTCTGGGCTGGCTCCGGCTGCTTCCTCCCGGTGTGACCTTGGGCAAGGCTATCTGCGCTTTGTGTACCTCATCGGTAAAATATAGAACTTACCCACTCACAGGTATGTGCAAGTCAAATGAGCCAGTATGACTGCCTCTTAGGAAGCCCACGGAGGTAAGAAATTGTTATTATTTGTTGTGAAATGTCACAAGCATTCCTGCTGGTTGATTATGAGGCTCAGACACTGGAGAGTTTCCTTTCCAAACAAGGCTCAGACAGTGCTTTTCATTTGAGTCCAAAGTCTCCAGGCAGTGGGCTGGTCTGAAGGTCTTGCTCCTCATACCTGTTCTTCCTGCTTGCTCCTTAGAGAAACCCACGCTGAAAAGATTTCGTTACAGAACCCAGATCTTTGTAGAAGCCAGTGGGTGGCCTCCTCCCCGATGCATAATGTGTGGCTTGTATTTATTTTTAATACGAGTGCTGATTGTATGCCAGACACTGTCTGAGGATTTAGAGATACAGCAATAAGCAAAATAGACCGAGTCCTTGTTCTTGTGAAGCTGATGTTCCAGTGGCAGAGGCAGGTGACAAAGAGGTAGACAATTGTCTACATATCACATGTCAATGCATACCACCAAGAACAACTGAGCTGAGGAGAGAGGAGGGAATGGTGAGTTGATTTTTTAGATCAGCTGTTGGCAAACAACGGTCCCTGGGTCAAATCAGTCCATGGTAGCCAGTGTTTATAAATAAAGTTTTATTGGAATACAGCGCTCTTCCTCCATGCATGTGTGGCCGAGGACTGCCTTGGAGTTGAAGAGTTGCTGCGGAGACTGCCCGGCTTGCAAAGCTGAAAATGTTTACATTCTGGCCCTTTCCAGAAAAAGTTTGCTGATCGCTGTTTAGATGGTGTGGACAGGGAAGACCTCTTGGGGAAGGTGAAGAAGCGAGCCAAACGGTTTCTGGCGGGAGACGGCTCAAGGCACAGGGAACTGCAAGTGTCAAGGCCCTAAAGCAGAATGCGCTGGGTGCCGTGGAGGAAGGCAAGAAGGCCTGTTGGGAGTGAGAGAAGGAAGTTGTGAGGGTTGTGTGCTTCCTCTGATGAGGATGAAGGCCGCTGGGGTTTTCTGAGCCAAAGAGGTTGCTGTGTTGACACTCGATGTGTTCCGACACTGCGGGGGACGGGGGGCTAGGGGAAGCATGGGGAGCTGTTGGGAGGCTACTGGAGTCATCGCATGATGATATTTGGGGAAGGTAAGAAGTGGCTGATTCTGGATAAATTTAGAAGGCAAGAGTGCCGTGATTTGCTGATGAGACAAGAATGCAGGTATCTATGTTTTTAATGCTTTGGAGAGTTTGTTGAATGAATGAATGAGGTGACTTTCCAGAGATCAGGGAGCCGGTCAGTGTCCCAGCAGGGCCCAGCAGCCAGCCCCCTGGCTCCTGTGACCCTCCCCGCCGCATGGCTCTCCTTTTAGGGTCCTCCTTGGCACTAGTTGTGCGCTGACCTATGGACACTGGGAGTCCCAGATCCTTTGGTCACACGTGAGTCCAAACTTCTTGTCTCCTGTAGTCCAGGCCAAGATTTCTTCTTGAGCAGCCATTGCCACAGATTCTTTGGGTTAGCTGGCGGAGGCAGCAGGCACTGCGTTTTCTTACCTACTCTGAATTCACCAGACTCTGACCTCATTATGCTTCTCCAGGCCATGAGACCAGGCTTGCAGGGAGAAAAGTTGGAGCTGAGTCCCAGAAGAGCTGTCGGGGAGGCTTTCACCACCTTTAATCATCTGATACCAACAACAGCCTCCTAATAGGTCATCACTGCATTGCAGTGTTTACACTAATTAGTTAATATCCACAGAATGCTTTGAAGGTGCCAGGCCTGCCAGGAGCACACAGGAGAGCAATTCACAACAGAAGGAGAGACGGCCCGAAATCTTGGAGGCATCGCCCTTCCGATGCATCGGCAGGGGCTACAGGCTCCAACAGGCAGCCTGGTGGGCGGTGTGCCTTGGGAGAGGGAGCTGGCCCTCCAGGGCCTGCCTCAGACACCCACTGCTGGCGGCTGCCATGGTGAGCCCCATTTGTTCTGTGTTCAGGTCATCTGTGTGGAGCCCTTGTGGTGCTGGGGAAAGAGAGTGGATGAGGGAGCTCAGTCTCCAGTCCCCCCAGCTCTCCCACCCACCCTTAGGCCTGGGTTCAGGTTTGAGTGGGGTGGTCCTGGCCAGGCTATGAGCCGCCTGAGGTCGGGGCCAACGACCACCCTGGTGATACCCCCGAAGGCAGGGCACAGGTTACTTTGTGGGGACTCGCCTCCAGTCGCCTCCCTTTGTACCTCCCCTAACAGAGCCTGGTACATGTCAGCGAGCCAGGTTAGATTTCCTCGTGGATGTTTGGAGGGACACCTGGCTCCTTGCAGGGGTTGAGGCTCCTAGAGATGCTTCAAGCCCAGAGAGTCCACCTGTCCCACCAGGTGCAAAAGCCAGGTCTGCTAGACTCCAAACCATCAACCTCTGCCTGTGGCCTGGCCTGCCCATTTGAGGTTAGGGGAAGCTGAGACAGTCACCTTTGATTCCGGAGAAATATGGGAGGAAGTTAAATGGTGGCCTCCCTTGGAGAGGAATAAGAGCCCCCTGTTTGACAAAAGCTGTGGGGATCTTTCGCTCATTTTCTAAAACACAGTTGCATTGAGATATAATTCATATGGCCTAAACTGTGTCCTTCCAAAATTTATGTTGAGGCCCTCATCCCCAGTCCCTCAAAATGTGACTGTATTTGGAAATAGACCTTTAAAGAGGTGATTAAGTTAAAATGAGCCTGTTAGGATGGGCTCCAATCTAACAATTGATGTTCTCCTGAGAGAAGGAGATTTGGACTCATACAGAAACAGCAGAGATGCCCACAGGCAGAGGAAGGACCCTGTGACACCAGGCACCAGGAGAAGGTGGCCATCTGCAACTCAGGGCCAGAGGCCTCAGAAGAAACTGACCCTGTGGGCCGGGCACAGTGGCTCATGCCCATAATCCCAGTCATTTGGGAGGCTGAGGCGGGAGGATCGCTTGAGCCC